>NC_000010.11:98476428-98779458 GCF_000001405.40 Homo sapiens | reverse complement strand
TGGTACCTCTCCTCATTTGTTCTTCCACTGCTCACATTGAGTGAGTTGAATAATGTGGGAGGGGTCCTTTCTCTAGCTTTAAGACACTTGATTCCACCCCACCCAAGTGTCCATTTCAGTGTGTGGAAAGAGCTTTGAGTCTTTTGAAAGAAAAGAGAGTTGAGAGATTGAGTGATTTAAAAGTATTATTTTATTAGTTATATTGGGTACTAGTCTTCCCCAGAGCTTTAAATAATTTATCTCTGAATCTAACAGGTGATGGAAAATGAGACACTAAGAAACTAATTTTTCTCCTTCATGGGCTACATTTACATAGATTCACAGACTCTGAGCCTGTCTTCTGCCTAGTAACCGAAAGAGGAGCTGAATTTCATACTGCAGTTTAAAATTAATCTGTCTCTTAATGTCTTTTTCAACATGTTATTTAGATATTCATTTGCAATTTGATATAAATCTTAAAGATGGCATGTTTTGGATTTCTTTTATATCATCAGTGAAGTCCATTAAACCTGACTGTGATTTGGAACTTTATCCTTTATTTGACTTTCACAACTTCTTTAAGATAATTTCTCCTAAGAAAATCTCTTCTTTGCTAAAATTTAATCTCCTTTGTAATTTATTCATAGCAAGTTCATAGATTCATGGACATTGAGAGCACAGAGCAAATGAACATTGGAGATCATCTGATTTAATCATCTACTTTATAGATGAACAAACTGAGGCTCATTGAGGATAAGGGATTTGCCTAAGTAGCCAATATGGAAGCAATGTAGTGAATTCTTGTAAGTGTGCATTGCCTCGGCATCCATTTTGAATATAAATTTTACTTCCTTATACCAGAAGCAGGGCTCAGTCACCCTTGACAGTTTCCATTTACACCTCCTCCCAGTTTCTCAGTGTGGTTGATCCAGATATAACTGCCTCCTGACCACTTCCCTGTGGGACAGCTAGATAAAACTTACTTGACTTGCCCCACTGACCCTCACATCCCGCACTAACTGTGTAGATATGCCACAGAGACCACATCTCAGTCACAGTGTGACCCCCCAGAACTCATGCCTTCTTGCTCTAAACCCACCAGTTAGAGCTTCGTAAGAGAAACCTAGTTGGGTAATACCCTAGATCCCAATAAAGGCTTTGGCTAACAGGTCTTTCTTGCTTTCTCTCTCTCTCTCTCTCTCTCTCTCTCTCTCTGTCTCTCTCTCACTGAGCATCCTGCAGTCTCCAGATTTCTTGTTGGTCCTCATGGGCATGTGCTTCTCCCATGGATCTTTAATAAAATTATTCTGTTATTTCATGTGTTTTGTTATGCACCCACCTCTGTGTCCCACCTAACTGACACACCTGACCCTAACTTTCCTCCCATTTGGGGCTCTCCCTGAAAGTGGGTGTCCTGGATTATGGCCTCTATGGAGAGAAACCTCAAGGCCAAACCAGAAGAAATCATAGCAAGCAGAATCATGGTGTCCTGACTCCCTGTATGTATAGAGTTGGTCTTGCGTGTTGCTGTGTCTAGTATGTTTGCGTTAGGCATACCTGTGCCATGAAGGACCACATCATGTTTCCCTTAATTTAAACTACCATCAAGAAATCCTGGTGGCCTGACAGAACCTGTGCTTTCAAGTAAGTACAAGTAGTTAAATGTGGCTGTAGCTTAGGGCATAAAAGAGCATGATGTGACAAGGGAAGAAGAAGGACAAGGAGGCAGGGACTCCTCCATAAACAACCTCTGGGTTGCTCGTCTAAATGCAATAAGAATTTTTATCAGGGCTTAACATAGAGGTTTTTAAAAATTGTTTTGTTATAAGGCAAAAGAAAATTATAGAGGACAAACAACAAATTAATAATGCTAATAGAAGAGAAACCAAGACTCAACCATCCTGTTTTTAAAAGGGTAATGTGTTTACTCTTGGAAAACCTCTAATATTATATAATAATGCACATTATTGGTTTGACAGTTATAAAAACTCTAGTATGGAATTCAATTTGGTTTTGCCTTGGTTTTCCCATTTCTAAAATGAAGCTAAGTATCTCATTTGGTTATTATGAAGATTCAATGAGAGTTTGCATGTAATTGTTTTTATATTCTCGTGTATGTAAAAAACAAAATGACTGGTTTGAATTCAGTTTGTCTGTTGAACTACCTATCTACTTCTATATATAGCTTTTAGGTTTTGGGTCAATTGTGTTATTGTGTTTACTCTCTAATTAAGCCTGCCCAAGGTGATAGGGATGAGAGTAAATGGCTTTGGTAATTTAACCTTACTGACCTCCCTACCATTTGTTTTTTAATCTCCCGGAACTTCAAGTTGTTTTTGTAACATGAAAGTTGTCTACTGGAAGAAAAGTTTAGCAGTGGTGACTGGCAAAGATCTTTTCTTTCTTCTTATTTTTTCTTCTTAACTTTTTATTTTGAAAACTTTTAAACAGAAATGAAAGTTGAAAGACTAAATTAATCAATTGTTTACATTTTACCAAATTTGTTTTCTCTCTATCACCTATGTAAGATTGGCTGAATTGTTTGAGAGTAAGTTGCAAACATCATGACATTTTAGCCCTTAGCATGCATCTCCTATACTAAGAACATTCTCCTGAATAATCACAATACTATTACTACACCTAAGAAACCCAATATTCATTGATTCAATAATCATCTAATACACAGTTTGTATACTAATTTTTCCTAATTATTCAATAATGTGTATGCTGGCTATTCCCACCCACTACCCCACCAATCTCGGATCCAAGCAAGAATCACACTTACATTTAGTTTTCTTGTCTCTTTAGTCTTTTAAAATCTAGACTCGTTTCCCTAATTATATTTTGTCTTGTGTGACATTGACATTTTTTTAAGAGTGCAAGCAAGTTTTCTTATAAAATGCACCTAAATCTGGATTTATCTGATTGCTTCCTTATTGTTAGATTCTGTTTAAATATGTTTGGCAAGAATACTACATAGGTGATCTGTAGATATACTGTTTATTATTATTATTATCGTTATTATTATTTTTGAGACAGAGTTTCACTCTTGTTGCCTAGCCTGGAGTACAATGGCGTGATCTCGGCTTACTGCAACCTCTACCTCCTGGGTTCAAGTGATTCTCCTGCTTCAGCCTCCCTAGTAGCTGGGATTACAGGCATGCGCCACCACACCCAGCTGAATTTTTTTTTTTTTTTTTTGTATTTTTAGTAGAGATGGGGTTTCACCATGTTGGTCAGGCTGGTCTCAAACTCTTGACCTCAAGTGATCCACCTGCCTCAGCCTCCCAGAGTGCTGGGATTACAGGCGTGGGCCACTGTGCCTGGCCAGATATGCTGTTTAGAAAGCTCCCCGGGAAGAAATGTGCAGATTCTGTGGGATTGAAGGGTGCTAAATGGGAAGGCTGTGGCAACTATTTGAGTGAATGATATAGAGGCCTGAGTTAGAGTAATGGTTGTGGGGACTGAGGAGGGACAAATCTAGGAAGAGTTTAAAAGATGAACTTGATGACCTGTTTTGGTTATGATTAGATAATAGAGAGGAACCTAGGACAATTTCCAGGTTACTGAAATATGACTGTGTTATTCATCAATTCAGGGAATATAAAAAAAGAAACAGATTTATTGGGGTAGCTGATGAATTTATTTTTTCACATGCACCAGTTGAAATGCCTGTGAGTTGTTCAGATAGAAATGATTGATATCGCTGGCCTGGAGTTCAGAAGAAGCCTGGACTGGAGATTTAAATTTCGGACTACAATATTAGTATATAGGTAGGGGGTAAAGCCATAAGGGATAGATGAGTTTGCCTAGACAGAGTATTAGATGAAGAGAGATAGGTGATAAAGCATTCTTAGTGAAGATTTAGCAGTAGTTCCTAGTACAGTGCTCTTTTCCTATAGTTGTTGCACAGTTTTTCAGAATTTTAAGTTCTAAGGTTGTCCCACTGATTTGCTCTTTAGATATCAACTAAACTTATAATTGTTGGGCTTCATCACAGATTGCATTTGCCCCAACTAGACTAGAGAATAACTGGCACTCACCCCATACTCATAGTGATCTATGTTTCATCCTGGTACCCTTCGATGTATGTGAGACTGGTTTCTCCCAATGGAGATGTGCCCTAGTTAAGATGGGGTTCCAGACCTCCTCCATCATTACTTGGTTCAATCCCAGAATGTGCTGAGGCACAATATGCAAATCAACCAGAGACAAGAAAGATGATCATATATCAGCTGTGCATGTGCACATGTGTGTTTCTGCAATCTGGATTGCAATTCTGCAATGAAATAGTTCCAGACTGGCCTAGCAGAAGAAAAAGAAAGGAAATCTAAGGAATGTTCTCTCAGCTCCATTTAATACTTTGGCTTTATCAAATTTGTGTGCTGTGTTTCTGCCTGTATCTCTCAGCATATGGAGAAAAGAGCCAGGACTCAGTTGTTTCTCCCCATTCCTCCAAGAAATCTTTTATATTTCCTCCACAGGTTGAAGCCTAGGTCACCAACAACACTAAAGTGTGTTTTATTTGACACTTGTGGATTCTATTGCCACTTTTCCATTTCCAACATACTTAGAATCATGTCAGATGAATATCTACAAAATGGAAATTTTTATTCAATGAACTCTAAAGAGTCCCACGATGAAGGAGATGGGGCAATGCAAGAGGAAAGGGAAAAGCCTAGGTACTTCTTGCAGGGAAAGGAAACACTGAGCCCAGTGGGGAAGACTACGTGTTCAGCTGCCAGTACCGGTTACTTAAGGTTGACATTTTCCAGATCTTACTTCAGGGAAAGCAACACCTGATTTCACTTAAAACTGCAGCATCTGCCCTGCTGCTTTTTCCTGAGCAGCCCCATGCCTCACCCACCAGATCCATGAAGACTGAAGGAATGGAGGATACAATTAGTGGGGAAGGGGGTTGGGATGAATAGGAACCCCTTGAGAGCCTCCACCAGATTTCTGATCTGATTGTGCAGCTGACTTAGGTTTCTCCCACATGGATAACACTAACAATACAGTCAAGTCCCAAGAAGCAAGAGAGAGAAAGAGAGAGCTGACACAATCATTTAAACAGAATACTACTTTTTTTGTTGTTTGTTTTGGTAGTGGTTGTTGTTTTAATAGCTGTGGATGTCTAGCTTCTGTTTTCTGCTTGATATATGGAGCAAATAGGAATTTTTCTCTTGAATATATTAGTCTTGCCAAGGAGAACTGTAAAAGATGATCAGAGCACTAATACTCAATTATTTTGTTCTTTTTTATTCTAGTCCTTACTGTCTCTCTGCTTTTACTGTGTATGTGTGTATAGATAGGAATGTATATATGTATTTACAGACATATGAAAATATGTTTTAAGTATATATATTTATCCAAAAGTTGATCCAAATTTTCTGATGTTGATTTTTATCCTTTTTTTGCTACAGGATGTCACTCCGTCACCCATACTGGAGTGCAGTGACACAGTCATGGCTCACTGCACCCTGCACCCTTGACCTCCTTGGGCTCAAGTGATCCTCCCACCTCAGCCCCCCAGTAGGTGGAACTACAGGCATGTACCACAATGCCTGGCTAATTTTTAAAATTTTTTGTAGAGATAAGGTCTCACTATGTTGCCCAGGCTGATCTCAAACTCCTGAGCTCAAAAGCAATCCTTTCACCTTAGCCTCCCAAAGGCATGAGCCACTGTCCCTGGCCTCAAAAGATAAATTTTTCTATAGTACCTTTATTGATTGAATTTCATCGTATAGATTTATTTATTCACTCTTCTTTTTAGTCATCCTCTCTGTTTGCCGTGAAATAAAGCTGAGATGAACATTCTTATGCACTTGTGCATCCCATTCTGATTATTTCCTCAGAAAAAAATTTTAGAAGTGGAGATTTTTAGTCAAAGCATATATACGTTTTTAAAGCTTTTGATACATATTGCCAAAATGTCCCTTTCCAGAAGTGTTTTTGGAGACTTATAAGGATGACCCAACTTAAAATTTCCACATGCAGATTGGAGTTTACAGCAGGGAATTACAAATTATAAGGGAGATCACTGCTATATATCCTAAAAGTATCTAGACCAGTTTAATTGGGTAGTTATATTTGAAGACTATGCAATAGTAAGTCCTATCCACCCTTCTGGACTGGCTTAGAGAAAGAAAGACAATCTGATAACTGAACCTTTGATTCTCTATTGATGGTGTATTAATTAGAGAAAGGAACCCACAGGATCCTAGAGCTAGTCTCATTTAAAAAATTATAGGAGAATATAAGGATATAATGTTGTGTACAAAAGTAGTTAAACTGTAAAGGAATAGATTCTTGCATATGTCCCTACTGAATTAAATACTTCTGATACTCAGAATGCCCTTGACTGCTGGTTGGAGGCTCCTATGCCTCTGGCTAGGATCTTGAAACAGATCACCATAGGAAGAAAGCTTTTAAATGGAGGGCAAGTGAAGTAGAAGTTAAAGGCCTCCAAAAGAAGAGGAAATAGGTCCTTCCTAATCAATCATAATTCTTTGTTGACCTCGTGAGCTTATTTCAGCCTAATGGAAGAACTGTCCTTGCAATTCTTGCCTTTCCTAGAAACCTTCAGTCTAATAAATTCTTGCTTAGAATTTCAACCTCCTAGCAATAACTCTCATATCAACATTTTTTGCTAATTATGTTTTTGCCTGTAGAATTTGTACATGGAAGATTATTTTTTGTAGTCATGTCCAAGGAATAAAATCTTTCTCCTTATTTTTCATAACCATTCTTGTAGTGAATCAAATCAGTCAATAAGTAATAGGCATCTAATTTGCATTAAGCACAATTCTAGGATTCCACTTATTGCCTGGCCTCCATAAATTCCTCTGGAATAAGGAGGGCATGATAATACTTTGGGTTTCCAGGTGTCACTGTCTGCTCAGAGCCTGTATTAAATATTCCTCAAAATGTATTTGTTTTCTCCTTTTCCTTAGTTTACAGTCACCTGAGTAAATGACCATAGGTCCCTTTGAGGAAGGAGAATTATAATATATAATGCTACAGCACCCCTCCTAAAGTCCTGGCCATGTCTTCAGTCAAAGGGTTCTGGATCTGCAAATTGGCTCGGGACCAGGGACTAACTAGCAAAGGATCAGGACTCTTGATTGGGGCAACCATCCTCAGTTTCCCAGTCATCCATTTTTGTCTTTTTTTTGTGATTACAGTTGTTAACTAACACTCATGTAGTCTGCTCATCTATTATATTTGCCCCTGGGGATGTCATGCTCTGTTAACCATTTGTGTAACTGTCTGCCAGTCAAGGACCCTTGGCTGCCCCTCTGACCTTGCTAGTCATTATAGTAATTGTAACTTTTTGGCTTCTGGAAGTTAAGCACCGACACCTAAGGCTCTATTGCTTTGCCTCTCCAACCACCATCCTTACGGTTATTGCCCAGTCCAAAACTGGCCTGCAGATAACAGCCATCACTGAACTTCTTAGTGATGCTGTGTGCCTCTCACCAGCACATTCCTAATGGCCTTAGCAAATGGTGTCCTTTGGGTTCTCCCCTGGAACATCCTCTGATGAATCTTCTGTCCTTATTAATATATCCATTCCAACCACTTCCTTCAGTCTCTTTTATACATACCTGTCTTTACCATCTGCCAGGGCAACTCAGGTACTTCTACGTTGCTCAACATGGCTATTACTTTTTGCAGACCTCTAAAAGTCACCCTAGCAGGGAGTTTGCCCCATCCACTGGGATCCATGCCAGAGTGTTAAATCCCACATCTCAAGAGAGTAACCTGAAGTCACTGAATTCTTGGTTATCCAGTTGTACATCCTGGCCCCCTTGATCAAGCTCTTTCAAAATCCAATCCTAGGAGTATATCTCTGGCTCCTATTGATACATCTTAGCTAATTTTCATAACTCCTGGCTACATAGTCTCATTTGTTTTCTTAGTTGGGCTATCCTGGGCTTTAATTCTAGTTATCAGCCTGGTATCCAGGAGAGGAGGTGGGAGTGGCTCCCAAAGGGATCAACTGTTGCCTTGCAGGGATAGGCTTCTGCCAGGTTTTCCAACACAGGGCAGGTGCTACCTCTTATTAGGGAAGGGTGGTCACTAAACTCTGAGGGTTCAGGGAGGTCTTCAGCTCCAATATTTGGAGCTGAAATCCATCTAAATGGGCCTATCTCATATTTCAGGGTACTGGGTTTTTCCAATATAGCCCTGATAGCATAACAGACCAGCTTAATTGATTGAGTATTCAAACATCTCTGAATCCCTATAACTCCATCAGATCTTCAGTTTTCTGCTTAGCCATGTCTGTTTTTCCACCACAGGATATAACAGCCCTTTTATTAATGACCAGAGAAGTCCTCTGGCTCTCCCATTTAGCCATTAGTTACTTGTTAACTCCCTCAGTTTCTCATTTTTTCCCAGGGCCTCAATATAATTTTGCGGTAGCCTGCAACTCTGCTCTCTTGATAGATATTTTCTCCTCATGTCTTTTAAATCCCAGAATTATTGCAGCTGCATCCCTCTACCTGGCTAAATTCTTAGATAACCACTAATGAAATATTTAGTAAATGAGCCATCACCTTTTGTCAGGGGCTGTTCATGCTCACCTACCCCATTCAGGATGGCCCCCCTTTTCCCTTTTGGTTGATGAGTCAGTCACAAATCCCCATCGTATTCCCTGCTTTTTTGCTCCATTTTCACTGTTACTTGCAGTAGATTGAGTCTACCAAGAAGCAGACACTAAGATACGATTAGATGTTCCAGAGATTGATTGGAAGCAGGGAGGAACTGGTGAAGGTGAAGAAAGCCTTCAGACCAGTCTAATGTCTGTGGTTGGGGGAAGGGGAGGCGAGGAGAAGGGAAGGCATCTTAGACTAGGGCATTTCCAAAAATGATTCAGCCAGGCTCATGGGGAGTCCTCAAGCCAAAATTATCTGCAGGAAGAGTCCTATAATTTGCTGGAATAAACCTGCCTTAATATCCTTGGCTACTGTGTTCAGTCATTGACTAGAAGCAGCTCATGGGAAGTGTGACCTTGGCACAAATGCAGTGATATATGTAGAAGAGGAGTAGCTAGAACCATTAATCAGTTATGCTCCCTGTGGCAGATGTGAGTGGTGCATTTTCATGGCACACACATACACATGCACACACATACACAAACACATATATACACACAGATAGTTACACCTAGGGATCAGATTCCACCATTCCATTAGTATTATAATTCCTTATTCAGAATGGATTTGTACAACCTTTTTTTGGCCCATCTAAAGAAATGACCCTCACTTGTGGCTTTCTTTCAATGTGAAAACACATACCAAGTTTCCAACAGCTGACTCACAAGTAAGTCTTTGGAACACAACAAAATTAAAAGCGGAGAACTTTCTAGCCATGCAAGGCCACTTGGACTATTTCTGGGAACTTTGAGATATGTCACCAAGTGCGTGCCCTATTACTATTTCAGTGGTTTGGGCAAAGGGATTTCTCTTTCTAGATATACTTTGGACCTTTTAGATAGACTCTTCAAACTTAGCAATAACATTCCATCTTTGTATCCAAAAGAAAAATAATATACTAGTAATATAAAAGTGTGGCTTTTGTATGTGATCAATATGAATAGTGCATATGTTTTTGACTCATTATTCCATCCCATGTTGATAGTCTGCTGGTGGTGTCCAAGTTACTTATGTCTCAGCCTATAAATTCCTTGAAAGCAAGGACCATGTCTCAGCTTTGATTATACTCAGTACCCAAGTGACTAATTCAGTGCCAACAAATATTTGGTGACCTCTTTTCTTAACCATCTCCTTCCTTCCGAGGCTAGCTCTTTATAGTCTCACATTAGAATCACAATATTTGGAGAGAGGCCCCATATCTCTACATAGTCATTGCTCTTCCCTGGATTATTTAGCACCCACACCCCGCACTCATGGGACAGCCAGGTCTGTCCTAGAGCCAAAATGGTTTTAAGTCAAGTAAGAAGTGTTATACTTGTTACTGCTTTATCACAGGCTCAGTGGAACCTTTGCCAGAAACTGAGTAGTGTGTCATCATGCCATCTTAAGAAATTTCTTCCTAAGAAAACATCTTTAATTATGACTAAAGATGTCCATTTCCATAATATTTCTACACAAAATATCATCCCCCAACTCCCACCTCCACTCCACCAAAACAACAAGCTATATTCAGACTTTCAAGACACATATATGGAAAGAGGGTGTTTTTTATGGTCACTAACATGTTCTGGAAAACCATGGACTGTGGATATTTATGTGATGATATGATCTCTTGAGAATTCTTCCCAATCTTCCAGTGGTCTCCTACATTTCTTCAATTTGCGTATACTTTATACCTTTCAAGAACAGTTTATTGATATCCATTTTCTTATTTGAAACTTAAAATAATGTTGGGACATAGACAAGTTATTATTATGATTATTACTATTATTTGAGATGGAGTCTTGCTCTGTCATGCAGGCTGGAGTGCAGTGGCGCGATCTCCCTTCACTGCAACCTCTGCCTCCCAGGTTCAAGCAATTCTCCTGCTTCGGTCTGAGTAGCTGGGATTACAGGTGCTTGCCACCAGCCTGGCTAATTTTTGTATTTTTAGCAGAGATGAGGTTTCACGATGTTGGCCAGGCTGGTCTTGAACTCCTGACCTCAAGTATCCACCTGCCTCAACATCCCGAAGTGCTGGGATTACAGGCGTGGGCCACCATGACCAGCTGAGACAAGTATTATTATTGACTTTTGTAAAACAAGGAATCTGAAGTACCATAGAGTTAAATGATTTGTCCAAGGGAACAGAATAAATTTGGGGCCAGTGATTAGAAAACAGACATCATATTTATATATGTGGACTATAATATTTAGTAAATAAAATAAAACAAACAGTAAACATGTACTTAGTAACCACTCTGTGCTGGGTACTGATGCTAAACTTGAAAACTACAAGATCAAATATGATCAAGTCATCAAATAATTTAGAATCTGAAATTGTGCTCACCATTTTCTACTATCAGTTCATTTTTATTAAAACAAAAATAATTTTGTGAGAATTATAAACTGACAAAAACAAATCAAATAGTAAAGAGGAGCTCACGGTGAAAAGCAAGAGTCTCCTGCCCGCTTTCCTCCTACCACCACCTATCCCAGCCCTTCTCTCCGGAGACAAACTTTTTAATTGGAACAAGTAAGTGTGTTGAACTTTTTTTCCTTCTAGTATTTTTATTAGGAAAAAATAAAACTATACAAAAAAGTGTAGGGAATTATGTGACAAACACCCATCACCCACCAGTAAGTAACTTTGTTAAGACTGATAAATCTTTACACAAGGACTATTTGCTTCCAATATTTTAGAAGAAATAAGAGTATAGACATAATTTAAACCTGCCTGAGTATTTCTCTCCAATCCCATTATTTTCCAGTATAACACAGAGGAGGTAAAGTATCCTGAATTTTTAATTTACATTTCCCTTTGTTTTATTTTACTTATACTATATAAACAGATAGTTATTTTTAATGTATCACTATTATATAGTTATATATTACTATGCCATATATAAATATGTATCAGTTTAATATATTATATGCTTATTTAATATATATTTCTATATAAATGTTTATATAGAACATATGTCTTTCAAGGATATAAATGTTTATATAGTAATATATATTAAATAAGTGTATAGTATATTAAATTTATACATATTTATATATGATGTAGTAATATATAACTATATAGTATTGATACATTAAAAATACATGTATGTTTATATATGAATTTATTATATATCATGTATAAAAATATTGATATAATTTATAGATACATAAATAATATATTTAAAATAAATATTAATAAATATTACATATTAACATATACTATACATGTTATAGTATTGTATATAACTACATATTATATATAGCATTACATAATATACATATATGTATATACAGTATAATATATATAGTATATATAGTGCAATATGCATAACATATACATGTATATATCATGTATTATATAAACATATAATGTATTTCCATAATAAATTGTATAGTACTATTTTGTATGTCTTAACCATCATACAAATAGTATCATGCTGCATGTATTATTAGGCAACTCCCTTGTTTTTCTCTGTAAATTATGTTTTTGAGATTTATTTCTGTTAATACATGTAACTCTGGTTTATTTTTCAAAAAATTACTTATCAATTCTTATAGATGGACATTTAGGCTATTTCTAATTTATTCTTATTGCAAATAGCCTTTCAGTCAAAATTCTTGTTCTTGTCTCCTTGTACACAAGTGAAAAAGCTTCTCTGGAGAGAGAAAACATTCAATTTTTCACTATTAAATATGACATTAGCTGGAACATTTTGTAGATGCCATTTATCAAACTAAAGAAGTTCATAGCTATGAATTTTTTAAAATAATGAATTAATGTTGAATTTTGTCGGATATATTCTCAGCATCTGTTGAAATTATCATGTGCTGTTTCTTATGTAGTCTGTTAATATGGTGAATTACATTGAGTTAATATTGTGGGGTTTTTTTTGTTTTGTTTTTTGTTTTTGAGACAGGGTCTTGCTCTGTCACCCAGGCTGGAGTGCAGTGGTGTGATCATGGCTCACTGCAGCCTCGACCTCCCAGGCTCAGGTGATCCTCCCATCTCAGTCTCCTGAGTAGCTGGGACTACAGGTGTGCACCACCATGCCCAGCTAATTTTTGTATTTTTAGTAGAGATTGGGTTTCGCCATGTTGCCCAGGCTGGTCTCCAATTCCTGAGCTCAAGCAATCTGCCTGCCTCAGCCTCCCAAAGTGCTGGGATTACAGGCATGCGTCACCACACCCTGCCCATTGATTTAATTTTGAATGTTGAATCAGCCTTTCATTGCTGGAATAAACTCCACTTGGTTGTGTTATTTTTCCTTACATTTGTGAATTAATTTGTTAATATTTTGTTGGGGATTTTTGTTACATTTTTATGAGAGATGTTGGCTTATATCTTTTATTTCTTGTAATGTCTTTATTTCATTTTGTTACAAGGATAATGCTGGCCTCAAAATGCATTAAGAACTATTTCCTTCTGTTTTCAGGAAGAGATTGTTTAGAAATGGTATTATTTCTTCCTTAAATGTTTACTGATGTAGAATTGGTGTCAGCAGTGAAATCAACTAGTGTATGTTCTGTGGTTTTCTTTGTTGAAGGTTTTAAACTATGAATTCAATTTCCTTGGTAGATATATGATTATTCCTATTTTCTGTTTTTTCTCGAATGAATTTTGGTAGTTTGTGTCTCTCAAGGCATTGTTCTGTTTTATGGACGTTATTCTTGAATTTATGGATAGTGGATAGTTCATAATATTTTATTTTCCTTTTAATATTTATATGGTTTATATTGATTCATCTCTTCCCTTCTTGATACTGGTAATTTGTATGTCTCTCAGCTCGTTTTTGGTCTGTTAGAGTTTTATCAATTTTACTGATCTTTTTGAAGAGCCAGCTTTTAGTTGATTGATTTTTATTTATTTCAATTTTATTTCTACTCTATTTCTTTCTGCTTGCTTTAGATTTTATTTGCTTTTCTTTTTATAGCTTCTTAAGGTAGATGATTAGATTAATGATGTGAAACCTCTCTTCATTTTATTTTTTTATTTAGACAGAGTCTTGCTCTGTCACCCAGGCTGGAGTGCAGTGGCGTGATCTTGGCTCATTGCAACCTCTGCCACCAGGGTTCAAGTGATTCTCCTGCCTCAGCCTCCTGAGTAACTGGGATTACAGGCACGTGCCACCATGCCATGCCTGGCTAATTTTTGTATTTTTAGTAGAGATGGGGTTTCAGCATCTTGGCCAGGCTGGTCTTGAACTCCTGACCTCATGATCCACCCGTCTCGGCCTCCCAAAGTGCTGGGATTACAGACGTGAGCCACCATGCCTGGCCTCTTCATTTTAAATAAGAGCATTTTTTGCTATCAATTTTCCTGTAAGCACTGCTTTGGCTACATCACACAAATTTCGATATGTTCTATTTTCATTTTTATTCCATTGAATATATGTTATGATTTCCCTTCTGACTTGTCTTTTACCTAAAAGTAACTTATAGCAGTAGTTTAATTTCCCAATATTTGGGAGAATTTTCCAGATGTTACCTTTCTGTTACTAATTTCTGGGTTAATGCCATTATGGTCATATAAAATACTTTGTATGATTTGAGTTCTTTTATATTTGCTTAAGTTATGGCCCAGAATATGGTCTGTCTTGGTGAGTGTTATGAGCACTGCTAAAGAATGTACTTTACTATAGTTGTCTTCAGTGTTCTTCAAGTTTCTGTTAGGTTAAGTAGGTTGATAGTATTGTTCAGGTCTCCATCTACTTGTTCTATTGATTACTGAGAGAGAAGTGTTGAAGTCTCCATTTGTAATTGCAGATTTGGCTGTTTCTTCTTTGAGTTATGTCAATTTTTGCTTCATATGTTTTGGAAGTTTATTAGGTACATGTACTTTTAGGATTGTTATATTTTGTTTGTGAATTGACCTGTTTATCATAATTTTATGGCCTTTTTTATTCCTAAGTTTCCTTTCTCCAAGGAAAATACAGAAACTCTAGTTTTTTTGTTTGTTTGTTTGTTTTTTATGACGGAGTCTGGCTCTCTGGCTCTCTGTCACCCAGGCTGGAGTGCAGTGGTGCCATCTCGGCTCACTGCAACCTCCGCCTCCCTGGTTCAAGTGATTCTCCTGCCTCAGCCTCCAGAGGAGCCAGGATTACAGGCACGTGCCACCACACCCGGCTAATTTTTGTGTTTTTTTAGTAGAAGACAGGGTTTCACCATGTTGGTCTGGCTGGTCTCGAACTTCTGACCTCAAGTGATCTGCCTGCCTCTGCCTCCCAAGGTGCTGGGATTACAGGCGTGAGCCACCACGCCTGGCTTATCCATCCTTTTAACCTATTTATATAATTATATTTTAAGTGGGTTTCTTGTCATAGTGTATAATTGGATTTATTTTTAAAAATCAAATCTAACAAGTTTGTACTTTTTGGTACGTTTACATTTAATCTAATTATTGATATGGTTCTATAGATTTCTAAATTTGTTTTTATTTGCTTTCTTTTTGTCTTTTATTTGCTTTTAACAAATTTATTTATACCCCTCATGTTTTTTTGGTACCTCTATTCCCCCATTTCTCCCATTGTTTGGATTAAATGAATATTTTTAGTGTTCCATTTGAATTTATTGATTTTTGACTACATTTGCAGTATTTTAATGACCTCTTCAGGAATTAAAAAATACATACATAACCTTTCTCAGTTTACTTAGAATTAGTATTTGACCATTTCTACCATTTTTACTAAATTATAACAAAAATTATAATTATAACCAAAATTATAACATTATCTGAAGGAATTTCAACATACATAGATGTAATTAATACATTAAATAACTAGGGGCAAGAGGATAGTTGTTTGATGTATTACATCTATGTATGTTGAAGTTCCTTCAGACAGTGTTGTGATTTTTGCTTTAAACTGCCATACATCTTTTAAATTATTTGAGAGGAGAAAAATAGCCTATTACCTTTACCCCCAAATTTACTATTTCTGTTGCTTCTCCTTTGTTCATTTCCCTTTGGCATCATTTCTGTTTAGCCTAAAGGACTTCCTTTTGCATTTCTTTTAGAGCAAGTTTCTTCACAATGGATTCTACTAGTTTTTTTTTTTTCATCTGAAAATGTCTTTGTAACACCTTTATTCCTGAAAAATATATTCTCTAGATATAGTCTTTTCTTTTTCAGCACTTTGAAGATATTTCACTTTCTTCTGATCTCCATAGTTTCTTATGATAAATATATAAGAAAAAAACCCTCTTTTCTCGTCAGAAAAATATATATTTGGAACAAAAGAAGTGAGGAAAAGAGTCTTTTAAATCCAGATAGAGAAAATGTTTGAGAGCTGGCAGAAGATTCCAGAGAAGAGAACACATGAGAAGTACATGATCATTTAAATCATTTTTCTCTTATATGTAATATGTTGCTTTTCTCTGGCTATTTTCAAGATTTTTTTTCTTTATACTTGGATTTAATCAGTTTTATGATTATGTGTCTGGGTATGTATGGGTTTTGTTTTGGTTTTTAGTTTACATTGTTTTGAGAGTCACTGAGAATCTTGATTTTGTTAAGTTTATTTTTTAAATCAAATTTGGGAAGTTTTCAACTACTGTTTCTTTAAATGTTTTTTTCCTGTAGTAATGTCTTTCTTTTCTCATTTGGGATGCCAATGACATGAGTCTTAAACCTTTTGATATTGTCTCACAGTTCACTGAGACTATGTTCATTAAAAAAAAATCTGTCTTTAAATTGTATATTTCTCCTGTTTTATCTTTAAGTTTATTGATTTTTTTCTTCTGTCATTTTTGTTCTGGTATTAGGCCCATCAAGTAAAGGTTTTATTTCAAATATTATATATTTTAGCTCTAAAATTTTCATCTGGTTCTATTTTATGGTTTCTAGTTCTTAGGCATATTTTATTCATTTAAAACATGTTCATCACTACATCATGGGTGATGGCTATACTGGCTGCTTTCAAGTCTTTGATAATTGTTATTATTATTTGATAATACAATGTCTGGATCATCTCAGGATTGTCCTCTGCTGATTGTCTTTTCTCTTGAGAATTGGTCAGATTTTCTTTTTGTTTTGTTTTATTATTTTTTTCATGTGGCTTAATATGAATCATATTCTGGACATTTTGAATGTTACATTGTCAGAACCTGTGTCCCATTTTTTTTTAAAAGTATGGGATCAATGTGGTTATGTTCAGACTGTAAATTTGGTCTCATCTCCCATGCATGGTGGTTTCAATGTCAGTTCTGTTATTAAAGTTTGAGTCTACCCAGTACATGTACCACTCAGAAATTAGTTTGGGACTTGGCCCATGGTTTTATCACATTTCAATTCTTAAATACTTTTCTGTGCTTCTTTGGGTCTCTTTTGCCTGCAGGTAACTCCAGCATGATCCTGGTACTTCTGCTGTTTCATATCCAGAATTAGATGAGTCCCCTTCTCCAGTGTTCTCTTCTTGGGAATCCTCCAGCCCCGAACATTTTCTCTCTGTCTCTCTCCTTCTCTCTGGATTTAAGAGACTTTTCCTCACTTCTTTTGTTCCAAATATATTATCTTTTTTCTCAAGGTTTTAGCACCCCCCACCCCCCACCCCCGCCAGGTTTTCAGTTCTGTGAGACTGGGACTTCTTTAGAGGCAAACTGGTGAGAAAGAGGGATTTTTTAAAAAGGAAATTCTTCCACATTATTTAAGGAACAAGGTCCCATTTTTCAATTCTTCTGTGCAGAGAGACAAGTCCCTTTTCAGGATCTTAGGTGCCTCTGTCATCAATGTCATAGCCATAAAACTCTGTAAGTGGCTAGTCCTATGGGCAGGGCTGGGAGAGAAATGAGAAGAAAAGAAAGGGAAGGAAAGGAGAGGAGAAGAGGGGAGGGGAGGGGAAGACAGGGGAGAGGAGGGGAGGGGAGGGAAGGTAAATGAGTATTCTCAAACTGTCTGGCATGTTGCGGGGGGCCTCTTTTTCTGATTCTATGGCTAGAAATAATGCTTTGTTTTTCAGAATTTCTACTTTTAGCGCCTATCACACTGTTCTGCCACTTGGGCCTTATCTTAGTCAAAGACTGGAGGTAAAGGAAGAACATAAGACCATGAAACTCACCTTCATTACAGATCATTGTCCAGATTGTAAGTTAAGTCCCCAGTCCGCTTGCTACTGTTTACTTTTCGGAGTTCTTAGGTCATTGCCATTTGTATTCTGTCCAGAGATTTTAGTTGTAGTCAGTATGAAATATACACTGTAGTTGGCTTACTCCATATTGGTTGACAATGGCAGTCATGTCTTCATATTTGGAAGCTATTTTGTTCTGGGTAAATAATTTTATGTTGAAATTTTCACTGTCAGAATTATAAATGAAGAAGGAGGTTTATAGTAATAAATGCCTACATTAAGAAAAAAGAAAGATCTTAATGAACTTTTTATCTCAAGGAATTAGAAAAAGAAGAACAAATGAAACCGAAAGTTAGCAGAAGGAAGGAAATAATAAAGACGAGAACAGAAGTAAATGAAATAGAGATTAAGAAACAAATAGAAAAGATCAAGAAAGCTAGGAGTTGCTTTGTTGATGTTATCTTTTCAAAAAGCCAACTCTTAGCTTCCTTGATCTTTTCTACGGGTTTTCTAATGTCTATTTCATTTATTTCTGTTCTCATTTTTATTATTCCCATGTTAGTTAGACTAAACAAAAAAGAGAGAAGACTTAAATAAAATTATAAAGGAAAAAGGGGATGTTACAACTGATACCACAGAAATACAAAGGATTATAAGAGACTACTACAAGCAATTGTACACCACATATTGGATAACCTAGACAAAATGGAGAAATTTCTGGAAGCATACAACCTATGAAGATTAAACCATAAACAAATAGAAAACCTGAACAGACCAAAAATAAGTAAGATTCTCAGTTGTCAAAAACCTTCTAACAAAGTAAAGCCCAGGACCAGATGGATTCACAAGTGAACTCTACCAAACATTTAAAGAATTAATACCATTCCTTCTCAAACTCATCCAAAAAATTGAAGAGGAGGGAACACTTTCAAAGCCATTTTATGAGACCAACTTTAGTGATACCAAAGCTCATATCAAAGACCTGATACCAAAGCTGGACAAGGTCACTACAAGAAAAGAAAATTATAGGAAAGTATCACTGATGGACAAAAATGCAAAAATTCTCAGTAAAATACTAGCAAAGCAAATTCAACAGCACAGTAAGAGACTAATTTATCATGATCAAGTGAGATTTATTCCGAAGATGCAAGATGTTCAGTATACACAAATCACTAAATGTGATATACCATATTAACAGACTAAAGGACAAAAACCATGTGATCATCTCAATAGATGCAGAAAAATTATTGGATAAAATTCAACATTCTTTATGATAAAACTCTAAACAAATTGATATACAAAGAATGTATCTCAACATAATAAAGGTCATATATGACATGCCCACAGCCAAAATCATATTCAACAGTAAAAAGCCAAAAGCTTTTCTTCTAAGATTAGTAACAAGACAAGGATGTCCATTCTTATCACTTATATTCAACATAGTACTAGAAGTCCTACCCAGACCAAGTGGACAACAAAAAAGAAATGAAACCTGCCAAGGCTAAATCATAAACAAATTATTAATAAAAAGGAAAAAGTGAAATTGTCTGTTTACAGATGACATCGTTTTATATAGGGAAAACCCTAAATACTTCACTAAAAAATTGTTAGAATTAATAAATGAATTCAGTACAGGTTGCAGGATATAAAATCAACATACAAATATCAGTAGTGCTTATATATATTAACAACAAGCTATCTGAAAATGATATTTTTTAAAACCCCATTACAATAGCATCAGAACAAAATACTTAAGAATAAAATTAACCAAAAAGTGAAAGATTTGCATACTAAAAACTATAAAACATTAATGAAAGAAATAAATAAGATACAAATAAATGGGAAGATACCCATGTTTATGAATTCAAATAATATTGTTAAAATGTCTCTACTACAAAAAGCCATCTACAGATTCAATGCAATTCATATCAAAATTCCAATGGCATTTTTCACAGAAATAGTAAAACAATTCTAAAATTCACATGGAACCACAAAAGACCCTGAATAGTCAAAGCAATCTTGAGCAAGAAGAACAAAGTTGGAGGCATCATACTCTCTGATTTCAAAATATTATTACAAAGCTAAGCTAATAAAAAGAGAATGGTTCTGGCATAAAAATAGACATATAGATCAATGTAACAGAACAGAGAACCCAGCAATAAACCCACACATTTTTAGTCAACTGATCTTTAACAACGGTTCTGAGAACTCACAATGGGGAAGAGATAATGTCTTTAATGTATGATATTGGGATACTGGATATACACACACTGAGGAATGAAATTGGATCCTTATTTAACACCATATGCAAAATTTAATTCAAAATGGATGAAAAACTAAAACAATAAGACCCAAAACTTGTAAAATTGCTAGAAGATATCACAGGGGAAAAGTGTCTTGACATTGGTCTGGGCAATTACCTTTTCTTCCAACTTTTATTTTAGGTTCAGAGGAGACACGTGCAGGTTTGTTGCATGGGTAAATTGTGTGTCATGAGTATTTGGCATACAAATTATTTCATCACTCAGGTAATAAGCATAGCACCCAATAGGTAGTTTTTCAATCCTCACCCTCCTCCCACACTCTACCCTCAAGTAGGCCCTGGTATCTATTTTTCCCTTCTTTGTGTCCATGTATACTCAGTGTTTAGCAATAACATGTCAGTGAGAATGTGCAGTGTTTGGTTTTCTGTTCCTGCATTAATTCACTTAGGATAATGGTCTCCAGTTCTATCCATGTTGCTGCAAAGGACATGAGCTCATTCTTTTTGTGGCTTCATACTATTTCATGCTGTGTATATACCACATTTTCTTTATCCAGTCCACCATTGATGGGCATTTAGGTTGATTCCATGTCTTCACTATTGTGACTAGCACTGCATTGAACATATGCATGCATGTATCTTTATGGTAGAATGATTTATATTCCTTTGGGTGTATACCCAGTAAAGGGATTACTGTGTCAAGTTCTAGTTCTGTTTTGAATTCTTTGAGAAATCTCCAAACTGCTTCCCACAATGGCTGAACTAATTTGCATTCCTACCAACAGTGTATACGCATTCGTTTTTCTCCGCAAGCTCACCAGCATCTGTTATTTTTTGACATTTTAATAACAGCCATTCTGCCTGGTATGATATGATGTCTCATTGTGGTTTTGATTTGCATTTCTCTAATGATTAGCAATGTGTTGAGCATTTCTTTATATGCTTGTGGGCCATGTGTATGTCTTCTTTTGAGAAGTGTCTGCTCATGCCCTTTGGCCAATTTTTAGTGGGATTGTTTGGCTTTTGCTTGTTAATTTGTTCAAGTTCCTTATATATTCTGGATATTAGACCTTTTTTGGATACATAGATTGCAAATATTCTCTCCCATTCTGTAGGTTGTCTGTTTGCTGATAGTTCATTTTGCTGTGCAGAAGCTCTTTAGTTTAATTAGGTCCCATTTGTCAATTTTTTTTTTTTTGTAATTGCTTTTGGAGTTTTCATCATGAAATCTTTGCCAGGGCATATGTCCAGAATGCTATATCCTAGGTCTTTTTCTAGGGTTTTTATAGTTCTACATTTTACATTTACATCTTTAACCCATCTTGAGTTGATTTTTTATATGGTGGAAGGAAGGGGTTCAGTTTCAATCTTCTGCATATGGCTAGCCAGTTATCCCAACACCAGTTATTGAATAGGCAGTCTTTTCCTCATTGCTTGTTTTTGTCAAGGTTGTTGAAAATTGGATGGTTGTAGATGTGCAGCTTTATTTCTCAGTATTGTAACCATTCCATTGGCCTATTTGTCAGTTTTTGTACCAGTACTGTGCTGTTTTGGTTTTTGTAGCCTTGTAGCATAATTCAAAGTCAGGTAATGTGATGCCTCTGGCTTTGTTCTTTTTGTTTAGGATTGCTTTGGCTATTTGGGTTCTTTCTTGTTCCATATGAATTTTAAAATATTTTTTTCTAATTCTGTGGAAAATGTCATTGGTAGTTTGATAGGAATAGCACTGGATCTGTAAATTGCTTTGGGCAGTATGGCCATTTTAACAATATTGATTCTTACTATCCATGTGCATGAAATGTTTTTCCACTTATTAATATTTGTGTTGTCTCTAATTTCTCTCAGCAGCGTTTCATAATTTTTGGTGTAGAGATCTTTCATTTCTCTGGTTAGCTGTCTTCCTAGGTATTTTATAATTTTTTTATGGCTATGGTGAATGGAATTGCATTTTTGATTTGGCTCTCAGCTTGGACAATGTTGGTGTATAGAAATCCTACTGATTTTTGTATATTGACTTTGTATCCTGAAACTTTACTGAAGTTGTTTATCCATTCCAGGAGCCTTTTGGTGGAGTCTTTAGGGTTTTCTAGGTGTAGAATCATATTGTCTGTGAAGAGAGATCATTTGAACTTCCTCACTTCTTATTTAGATGCATTTTGTTTCTTTCCCTTATCTGATTGCTCTGACTAGGACTTCCAGTACTATGTTGAATAGAGGTGCTAAGAGTGGCCATTCTTATCTTGTTCTGGTTCTCAAGGGAAATGCTTCTAGCTTTTGTCCATTCAATATATTACTGGCCGTGGGTTTGCCATAGATGGCTCTTATTATTTTGAGATATGTTTCTTTGATGCCTACTTTGTTGAGCATGTTTAACATGAAGGATGTTGAATTTTATGGAAAGCCTTTTCTGTGTCTATTGAGATGATTATGTGGGTTTTGTTTTTTGTTCTATTTATGTGATGAATCACATTTATTAATTTGAGTATTAATATGCAATGTTGCATCCCAGGAATAAAGCCTACTTGATTGTGGTGGATTAACTTTTTGATGTGCTGCCAGATTAGTTAGTTTGCTAGTATTTTGTTGAGGATTTTTGCATCTATGTTCATTAGAGACATTGGCCTAAAGTTTCCTTTTTTTGTTTCCTTCCTCTGCCAGGTTTTGGTACCAGAATGATTCTGGCCTCATGAATAAGTCAGAGAAGAGGTTCTTCTCCTGGATTTTTTGGAATAGTTTCAGTGTGATTGGTACCAACTCTTCTTTATATGTTTGGTGGAATTTGGCTGTAAATCCTTCTGGTCCAGGGCTTTTTTGTTTTTTGGTTGGTAGGCTTGTAACTACTGATTGAATTTTAGAACTTGTTATTGGTCTGTTCAGGGTTTCAATTTATTCCTTGTTCAGTCATGACAGGTTGTATGTTTCCAGGAATTTATCCTGGTTAGGTTTCCTAGTTTGTGTGCATAGAGGTGTTCATAACAGTCTCTGAGGGTTTTTTTAATTATTATTTCTGTAGGTTCAGTGGTAATGTCCCCTTTGTCATTTCTGATTGTGTTTATTTGGATCTTCTTTCTTCTTTCTTTATTAGTCTAGCTAGTGGTCTATCAATCTTATTCTTTCAAAAAACAAACTTTTAGTTTTATTGATATTTTGTATGGTTTTTCACATCTCAATTTCATTCAGTTCAGCTCTGATTTTGGTTATTTATTTTCTTCTGCTAGCTTTGGCATTGTTTTCTCTTGTTTTCCTTGTTCCTCTAGGTGTGATGTTAGGTTGTTAATTTGAGGCATTTCTACCTTTTTCATGTGGGTGTTTAGTGCTATAAACTTTCTTTTTAACACTGCTTTAACTGTGTCCGAGATTCTAGTATGTTGTATCTTTGTTTTCATTCGTCTTAAAGAATTTCTTGATTTCTGCCTTAATTTCATTGCTTACCTAAAAGTCATTCGGGAACAGGTTGTTTAATTTCCATGTAATTATATGGTTTTGAGAGATCTTTTTTGTTTGTTTTTTGTTTTTTTGAGACAGAATCTCTCTCTGTTGCCAGGCTGGGGTGCAGTGGCACCATCTCGGCTCACTGCAACCTCCAACTCCCTGGTTCAAGCAGTTCTCTCACCTCAGCCTCCCGAGTAGCTGGGATTACAGGCATGTGCTACTACGCCCAACTAATTTTTGCATTTTTCATAGAGATGGGGTTTCACCATGTTGGCCAGGATGGTCTCGATCTCCTGACATCGTGATCTGCCCACCTGAAACTCCCAAAGTGCTGGGATTACAGGTGTGAGCCACCACACCCAGCCAAGAGATCTGTTTAGTATTCATTTCTATTTGTATTGCACTGTGGTCTGAGAGGGTGGGTGATATGATTTTTTAAAATTTTTTTGAAAATTGTTTTATGACCGAGCATGTCTTCTATTATAGAACATGTGCCATGTGCAAATGAGAAGAATGTATATTCCGTTGTTGTTGGGTGGAGTGTTCTGCAGATATCTGTTAGGTCCATTTGGTCAAGTGCTGAGTTTTAGTTCCCAAATATCTTTGGAGTTTTCTGCCTCGATGATCTAATACTGTCAGTGTGGTGTTGAAGTTTCCCATTATTATTGTGTGGGTATCTAAATCTCTTCATAGTTCTCTAATAACTTGTTTTATGAATCTGGGTGCTCCAGTGTTGAGTGCATATATGTTTAGGATATTTAAGTCTTCTTGTTGAATGAACCTTTTTTCATTATGTAATGCCTTTCTTTGCCTTTTCTGATCATTGTTGGTTTAGAGTCCATTTTGTCTTAAATTGGATTAGCAACCCTTACTCTTTTTTGTTTTCTGTTTGCTTGGTAGATTTTTCTCCATCTCTTTACTTTGAGCTTATGAATCATTGCATGTGAGATGGGTCTCCTGAATACAGCATATAGTTGGGTCTTGCTTCTTTATCCTACTTGCCACTTTGTGCCTTTTTTGTGGGGCGTTTAGCTGATTTACATTCAAGGTTACTACTGACATGTATAGATTTGATCCTGTCATCTTGTTATTAGCTGGTGTTTATGCAGACTTGATTGTGTAGTTGCTTTATAGTGTCAATCAAGTGTGTTTTTGTAATGACCAGTAAAACAGTCTTTTGTTTTCATGTTTAGTACTCTGTTAAGAACCTCTTTTAAGGAAGGTCAGGTGGTAACAAATTCCCTTACCTTTTGCTTGTCTGAAAAGGATTTTATTTCTCTTTTGCTTATGAATCTTAGTTTGGCTGGATTGGGCACCTGTAGTCAGCATTCTTAAAGAAAAATTCTAACCCCAAATTTTTTTTCTTTAAGAATGCTGACTACAGGTGCCCAGTCTCTTCTGGCTTGTAGAGTTTCTGCTGAAAGGTCCACTGTTTGCCTGATAAAGTTCCCTCTGTAGGTGACCTGCCCCTTCTCTCTAGCTGCTTTTAATATTTTTTTTCACATCAACCTTGGAGAATCTGATGACTGTGTGCCTTGGAGATGGTCTTCTTGGATAGTATCTTACAGGGGTTCTCTGAATTTCCTAAATTTAAATGTCAAACTCTATAGTGAGGTTGGGGAATTTTTCATGGAAAAAATCCTCAAATATGTTTTTCAAGTTGCTTGTGCTCTCTCTCTCCTTTCAAGAATGCCAGCGAGTCATAGATTTGGTCTTTTTACGTAATCTCATATTTCTCAGAGGTTTTCTTCATTACATTGTATTCTTTTTTCCCTATGTTTGTCTGATTGACTTGATTCAAAGAACTAGCCTTCGAGCTCTGAGATTCTTTCCTCAGCTTGATCTATTCTGCTGTTAATACTTCCAGATTGTATCACGAAATTTTTGTAGTGAGTTTTTCAACTCTATCAGATCAGTTTGGTTCTTTCTTAAAATGACTGTTTCATCTTTCAGCTCTTGTATCATTTTATTGGATTTTTTAGATTTTTTGGATTCAGTTTTGACTTTCTCCTGAATCTCAGTGATCTCCATTGCAATCCAGATTCTGAATTCTATATCTCACTTCAGCCATTTCAGCCTGGTTAAGAACCATTGCTGGGAAGCTAGTGTGGTCATTTGGAGGTAAGAAGACACTCTGGGTTTTTGAGTTGCCAGAGTTCCTATTCTGGTTCTTTCTCATCTGTGGGTGCTGATGTTCCTTTAATTTTGAAGTTACTGTCATTTGGATAGGGTTTTTTGCTTTTATATTCTTTGATGCCCTTGAAGGTTTGACTGTGGTATAAGCTGGATTCAGTTGACTAGTTTCTTTTCTGGATTTCAGGGGCCGAGGCTCAGCTAAGCATTTCTGGGCTGCATGCTCTAACCCTGGGGGGCTGGTACCAGGCCCAAGGCTTTGTCCTCCGGCCCCCAAGGTTAAGCACTTGCTGCTGTGCTGGAGGGGCCAATATGTTCCCAGTCTGCTGGCCACAACACTCTGATGGAAGGTGCCAGCAAAAGTGCTTCATTCCTTTTTATGGGTGAATAATATTCCAATGTATTGATATACCACATTTTGTTTATATATTTATTAGTAATGGACACTTGAGTTTTTTCCACCTTTTTGGCTATTGTGAATAATGCTGCTATTAACATTGATGTACAAGTATCCTTTTGAGTCCCCACTGTCAGTTCTTCTGGATATATACCTAGGAGTGAAATTGTGAATCATATGGTAATTTTAGATCTAGCTTTTTGAGAAACCACCACTGTTTTCCACAGAGGCTGCAGCATTTTACATTCCCACCAGCAATGCAAAGCGTTCCAATTTCTCTTACCCACGCCAGCACTTGTCATTACCTGACTTTTTTTCTCACATAGTTATCATTTTTTTAGTGATAATACATAACATCTGTTCTCTTTACATTTTTACAGAATACAATGTATCATCATTACCTATAGTTGCCTTGTTCCACAATAGATCTCTTGGAAATTATTCCTCCTATGTAACTGTAATTATGTATTCTTTAATCAACACCTCCTCACCCCCACCTCCCAACTAAAGTCCTCAGCATCTGGTATCCACCATTCTACCCTCTGCTTCTTTGAGATCAACTTATTTTAGATTCCACATATGAGTAAAATCATGCAGTATTTGTCTTTCTGTGCCTGGCTTATTTCACTTCACGTACTGTCCTCCATGTTCATCCACATTGTCACAAATGACAGGATTTTATTCTTTTTATGGCTGAGTAGTATTCCATTGTGTATGTGTGCTACATATTCTTTATCCATTCATCTGTTGATGGACACTTAGGCTGATTCCATATCATGGCTACTGTAAATAGTGCTGTGATAAACATGGGAGTGCAGATATCTTTTTGGTCTTTTGGCAATATTTCTTGATGCTCTTACAGCTCTGTAAGATGAGAATATTAATACTGATGTCCTTTTATCTATGTCCCCTATACCCTTTCAAGACTTTTGCCATTTTCACTAACACGTTTATTTTTACTTTATCATTGGTGTTATTACATTTTGTTCTGCAATCCCAGCCAAATTATTTACAGTTTTCTGTAGAAAGTATCCAGATACTGAAAAGCAATGAAGAGTATTTATATAATTATGATGATATAAATGTCATTTACTGCTGGGACAAGATCTATGTTAGGTTAATATTTTCTGCTATATAGTCTAATGTTAAAACCCATAGGCTACCCAAAGAATCTTCCTATCCTCAAGGTCAAATTTGTCTGTCTTTACTTTGTACTCTTTTAACTGCTTAAGACCATATCACATTTTAGTTTATTTCATATTGGACTTGACTTTCTTATGCAGCTCTTTTGTTCCCAAGTTTTTCTGACTTTTTTCCTTATAAAATGTGTCTTTGTCACAGTCACATATTTTTCTATCCTTTTCATAATAGTGTTTATTTTTCAGAGCCTGAAAATTCCTTTCATAAACCTAGATAAGAAGAATCCAAATGTTCTTTGTCTCACTACAACCAAATGCAAGGTTATATTAAGAGCAGTGAGTAGGGAGCCTGTCCTCTCCAAAATATACATGGAATAGACTGATAGAAAGATTGAGAATTGTGTTTAAAAAGAACAGAGTTTATGAAGAAGAGTTAAGCAATAGCATTAAAGACTTACTTTTTAAAAAATCTTTCCACAAAAGTAAACCCTTAAATTTTAACTTCTCAGTAATTTTGACTTCCAATTTTGCTTCTTGAGTTCTATCACAACTCATTAAAGCTTCTTCATAGCTCAATACTTAAGATGTCATCCCTAGTATTAACCCAACCCCAAATAGGCCCCTTTCCATTGCATGTTTTTCCCCCTTGGGGAACTATGGGGAAGCTGTTCTCAGAGGCCTGACATCAAAGCGTTGAGTTCTGTTCAAGTATGTCCAGTCTCTAGATTTTGTTGTTCATGTGACTTGATAATCTGTCCATATTCTCACATGCTCACAATTAGAATAAGTTGATACTGTTCTATAGGCACCCATTTTTCCTTCTGGAGTCACCAGCCCTGTCTTCCAAGAGCTAAGGGTCTGGATCATGTGCCCAAGTTCTTAACCACACAGAAAAAACACTCTTTCTTCATGTGAAGGTTGCAAAAGAATAAAATAGTCACAAAGGGGTATTAGAGTTATTTTTGCCAATTAAGAAAAGAACAGTATTGAACTGAGTCCTTAAAACAAATTAACTATGTTTTCTATGTGAAACTTGCATACACTTGGTCTCAAACACTAGTCTAATAAAATTTGTGCCAATTTAATTCCCAGGTAACAGTTGTTGCTCCATCATTTCTATGGAAGAGGAGCTTAGAGGGGGCCATCAATTTGAAAAGTGAGGGCTGGAGCCATGTCTATAAGCTTTGTTTGCATAGTAGCTTACAAAACATGAAGAAAATGTTAATCGTCTCTGTCAAATAATGGAGGGAAAGTAAGGTAGCTGTGACTTTGAGGGAAATACGTAACAAAAACAGGATAAAAAGGTGGGAAGTTAATTCTGAATACGGAATCAAGGAAGGTGAGACTCAAGTAGATGCTCAGCATTAAGGGGAGGAGGGGGAAGAGCTGGGATGGAAACTAAGCTACTTTAATGACATTGGCATCTGTAAACTGGAAGATCCCTATGACAGCTCCTGTCTCTCTTCTTTCCAGTAAAAGGTTCTCTATCTCTCCCAACCTTTGAAAATGTTTTGCTTAATCAGCTTTATACTTCCCATCCACATCCCACTGCTTAACTCTGGATTTGCATATTCTGCCCACTCAAATTATTTACCTATACATCTAAGGACATTACAAACTTAACATGCCCCAAGCCCAAATTCTCATCTTGGCCTTCTTCTCTCTTCTCCCAATCTTTCACACTTCCTTCATAAATATCAAGTTTATCTTTCTGTTGCTTAAGCCAAAAACTTCAGAGTTTCTTGACTCTTTTTTTCTCACACACCACATTCCAATCCTTCAGCAAATCTTACTGGCTCAACCTTTAAAACATCCCCAGAAACCAACCACTTCTACCGCTCTGCTGCTACCACCCTGGTCCAAGCCACAATGATCCCTTGCTTCAATTATTGCTATAGACTCCTAATTTCCTTGCTTTCACCCTTGCTCTTCCCATCCCCTTCAGTCTCTTCAGCTCAGCAGCCAGAGTGATGATTTCACAGTGTGAGTTGGGTCATATTCAAAACCATCTAATGGCTTCTATGTCAATGAGGGCAAAAGCCAAAGTTCTTATAATGACCAGTAAGGCCCTTCGTGACATGTCCTTGCTACCACTGTGATCTCATCTCCTACTGCTCTCCCTCTCATTCATTCTGGGGCAGCTACACCAGCCTCTCAGTGTTCTTCACATTCATCAGTCTCACATGAGTCTTGGGCCTTTGCCCTTACTGTAGGACCCTCTGCCTGGAATTCTTTCCATAGTTATCTACTTGACTTGCTCCCTTCTTTCCATTGGGTCTCTGATCAAATGACACCTTAATTGTGATGCTTATTTAAAATAGCATACTAGCTACTATTGGTTCTATACTATCTCCTACCCTGCTTTACTTCTCCTGCCAGCCACATTAAATGTAACCTCCATGAGGGTAGGGCCTGTTTTCTGTTTTGCTCATTGCAATATAAATGTGTGTGTAAGTGTGTGTGTATATATATATATATATAGTGTTTAATATATATATATAAAATATATAAATTACACATGCAGATGCTCCTCAACTTATGAGGTTATGTCCCAATAAACTCATCATAAGTTGAAACTATGGTAAGTCAAAAATGCATTTAATACACCTAACCTACTGAACATCATAGCTTAGCCGGGCCTACCTTAAATGCACTCAGAACACTTACATCAGCCTACTGTTGGGCAAAATCATCTAACTGAAAGCCTATCTTATAATAAAGTATTGAATATTTCAAGTAATTTATTGAATACTATACTGAAAGTGAAAAACAAAATGGTTGTGTATTTGAAGTACGATTTCTACTGAGTGTGTATTGCTTTTGCACCATCATAAAGCTGGCACTATTATATACTATATAATCTTCTTTTATATATGTATATCTATCTTCTTGTATGTATGTATATATGCATATATATATCTGTATATATACATGCATGTATATATGTATATATGCATGCATATATGTATATATACAGAACAGATATATATATGCATGTATATGTACAGATATACACGCATGTATATCTGTATATATAGATATATATGCATGCATATGTGTATATTTACAGATATATATGGTGTATAATAGTGCCTGTCACGTAGTAACTGCTTAATAAATATTTGTTGAGTAATTTAATAAGTTAATGAATGTCCAATTTTTTGTTTGTTGGATTGCTTGTCTGTTTGGTTTTTAAAGTGTCAAGTACTAGGGAAACTAAGAGAAATAATCTGTCATTCATATCTTAGTGTGAATTCATTGACCCTTATCTACATTTTCCTAATAGAAAACTGAGATTAACTTTATTAAAGAAGTAGCTTACCTTGGATCTTGCATTTAAAAAAAACAATCTGGTTCTTCTCTCATTACTATTTTGTTTCTTTTCTTCTTTTTATTGCCACAGAACTTCAATAAGTAAGCTGAATGTATCAGAATCTATTCCTTGTTCATCTACTCATTCTTTAAGGTCTCATCACAACCTAAATCTAATTTCTAACCTCACTGTTTGATTAATCTAATGGTTTTTTTTTTCTCAGTCCTTTTCCTCCTCAGTTTGTCATGAACACCTACTGTTATGGAACAGCACCTCCTTGCAACTCTCTTATTTTGGGTTCCTTAAGACTGCATATCTGGGTTCTTCTTCTTCTCTTTTTGTTGTTGTTGTTGTTCTCCATGACCCTTATATGTGGACATTTCTTAAGGTTTTCTCTTCAGCCATCTTTCTACATTTTGCCCTTCAGAAATCTCAAGAACTTTCACAGCATCAACTGTCAGCACTGAGTGACACCCAAGCCTGTATACTTTTACATCTTTCTCAAGTCCCAGCTCCTCATCTTCAACTGCCCACTATCCAGTGCTTCTTAGAATTATATGCCTGTGAAATGTCAATGCACCCTGACTATAAGACATAGAGGCATTGGCCCCCTCTGGTGGAGGGAGTAGAAAGTAATCTTTAAGTATCTATTTGTTTTGATGGAACCTGAGCAAATTTTCTAAGGGAGATTACATGTGTTGAATATCTACTAAATTCTCTATATTCAAATATATGTACTTTTCTAATAAACTGTAGAACATATGTCTTAGATTAGCAATAATTATTATTTTTTGAGACGGATTTTCACTCTTGTCACCCAGGCTGGAGTGCAATGGTGTGATCTTGGCTCACTGCAATCTCCACCTCCCAGGTTCAAGCGATTCTCCTGCCTCAGCCTCCTAAGTAGAGTAGCTGGGATTACAGGCATGTGCCACCACACCCAGCTAATTTTTTTGTATTTTTGGTAGAGACCAGTTTCACTATGTTGGTTAGGCTGGTCTCGAACTCCTGACTTCAGATGATTCACCCACCTCAGCCTCCCAAAGTGCTGGGATTACAGGTGTGAGCCATTGCGCCCAGCCTAGCAATAATTATTTTAGACAGATCTCTCTTTTGCCTCTTTCTACTTCTTATAGGCCACTTTTATGCAACACAAAGGATTTGGGCCTTGAGAACTCTTCGGCATGATATTAAGGCAGAAAATTGCTGTGTGTTAGATGCTATGAAGGATATAAGATACGGTACCAAACTTAAGAAACTTCACAGTTTAACTGGGAAAACAAGTTGTTCACTCTGGAGAAGTGAATAAATCAAGAAGTAAATCCCAAGATAATATTATGTCACAGATAATATGTCACAGAGCAGTGAGATGCCAAAAAATGGTATAGCTCTTGAGTTTAGAGAAAGTCGAAATCACTTTCGGGAGGTTGGTGTGTTCAGGAATGGCGTCATGGAAGAGGCAGGACTTAAACTTATTCTTAAAGAAGTATTTCCCAAACTTTTAGCATTCTAGTTCCCAATTTTTGCTATGTGAACAAACTATCCATACTGTTTCTCCCATACTGCTCTTTATGTTGACACATTTTTTGTAAATACATTTTGCCTTGCCTTAAACCATCAAATCCATGAAATCAAAGGTTTGATATGCTTTTGTGTTTGATGTGTGTTTGTGTTTCTAATACATGTGAAACATACACAGTAAAATACTCATTATATGGAAATAGTTTTAGAAAAAGATGACTTAAATGGAATCAATCTATCCAAAAGGAATATCAGTCATTCATATTAAATTTTGATGCAAACATTTGATATGGATTTTAGTATATAAATGAAACCAAAAATTATGAAAATAAGTAATTTTATTGCATGCTTAATAGATGTCATTGAAACTATGGATGAATAAAATGTTATTTAATTGAATATTGAGTATTTTTTATGATAATATAACTTTCATGACATGAATAATAGAGGACTTAAAAATGGACCTCTGTTGATCTTATAATACTCAAATTATTTTTTGAGTAACCTAGAATAATAATTCTCAAATCTCAAGGAAACTTCTGGATAAAAGTTATTATATCTAAAGCTCATAGTATATTAGAATGACTATTGAGTTGTAGATATATAATTATCCAATATTGCCAGTGTTCTGTTAAATAGAGAGTTATATTTTCCTTAGAATCTGTTTAGTTTGGCCAGTTTCTTAACCTATTTATTTTTTGCATTGTTTCCCTCTCCCCACAAAGGATACCAATTCTAATGGTATAGATAAAAGAAACTTCAGTTTTTCTTTTTAAAAAAAAATCCTACTAGATTTTTTTTGTATCTTATACAAGTGGGCCTCAAAGTCTTAACACAAATTTCTGTTGTATCAATACTACTGAGGTATGGTAAATGCAAGTCCTATTTAAAACTAAATAGGACAACTATTTTAGACAACTATGATTGAAAAGAAAAAAAAGAGTAGTTATCTGTCTTTCTTGAAATTAATTTCATCATTTCCTTTTCATAAATTTGAAAATCTTATAAGGCAAACATAATTTGTTTTTGTTAAGTAACTAGTTTAAGCCACAATGGGATAAAATTTTTCTAAGGGTAGGTTTGTTAGGTTTAATTTAAATAAAGGTTATGAATTTACTTTAATATTATTTTGAATATAAAATGTATTAATGATGTTGAATAGTAAAGCATGTAAAACTATACATCAAAGCAATATGAATAAAATTATAGCCTATGATACAATTTTATATGATACTTTGACAAAAATTATTTTTTTACCTAATGGCATGTAGATAATTATAAAATTATTATATACTGGTTTCATGATCACTTTACTAAGCTATAAATGCATTTTAATTTTAATTGTTATTTTGGAACTAAAAATAATAATTAAATGTATTTCCTGAATGTGAAATTTATTCCTTTTGTTGTTGTTGTTGTTGCCCAATTACTCAATTCTGGGTAGAGTATGATGTAAGTTGACATCGATTTTATTTCTGGGTAGAGTATGATATAAGTTGACAGAAATGAGACAATTTCTGTCCTTGTTCTTGGTGCTTCTTAAGAAATACTTTCTTATATATGTAAGAAGATGAAAATGGCAGTCTTCCTATATCCTGCTTCAAAAACTGATAAAATACTCAACCCAATGATAATGGTTCTTTTTTAAAGGACTAAAAGATCTATAACAAAATTGCTAATGGGGTAACTTGGACACTCTGCATCATCTCTTGCAGAACCTCTGGTGACCTCTTGTGGAACCCTAGTGTTTCACAGAACCCCATTTGAGAAACTCTGCATTAGCTTTAACGGCTACTAGGATAACGTAAACTCTTCTACATAATTATTAATCTAAGAAGCTTTTTAAAACTGTGTACTACCTGAAGTCATATTATCCATACCTTGGGATACACTGTGTAAAAGGACAAGTAAAATATGGATATGTTTTAAAAAGCAGTAAGGGCATGACAAATAAGGAGAGCAAAGGTCAATGGGGCAAGGAGTTCTCTAACAAATAAACTGGCTGACATCAACAAAGAACTCATTAAGAGAAATAGGGAGGCCTAAAGTTGAGGGGAAAATTATGGGTGAGTTGTAGAAGCCTTGAATTAAGGAAGAAAATGGTCTTGAAAATCCACTGGTTTTGAGGATTGAGTAAAACTGGCTGAGAGTGACTGGGGGAAGATGAATTGGCCGGATGGGAAGAATCTAGAAGTAGACAGGCAAGTACAGAGATTATAGTAAGTTATCCAAGTGTAAATGACAGCCAGAAAAAGAATGGTGGCAATAGAAATGAAGGAATGGGATAAATAGGAGACACATGGTGATAGAGTTGATGGTATCTGGTATCAACCTGATAATGAACATATTTCTTTTTTTTATTTTATTTATTTATTTGAGACGGAGCCTCACTCTGTCACCCAGGCTGGAGTACAGTGGCGCAATCGCGGCTTACCGCAAGCTCTGTCTCCCAGGTTCACGCCATTCTCCTGCCTCAGCCTCCTGAGTAGCTGGGACTACAGGCAGCCGCCACCGCGCCTGGCTAATTTTTTGTATTTTTAACAGAGACGGGGTTTCACCGTGTTAGCCAGGATGGTCTCCATCTCCTGACCTCGAGATCCACCCGCCTCGGCCTCCCAAAGTGCTGGAATTACAGGCGTGAGCCACCACGCCCGGCAATGAACGTATTTGTAGTAGTGGTCATAGTATTTCCATTGTCAGAAATATTAGAAATCTGGACTTCAGTGAAAATTTTTGGAAATCATACTAGGCTGAGCTATTTTCCAAGACTCACCAGCCAGTTATCCTTCCTGGCCTTGTACCCTATTATTCATCTTATGTCCTGTAGGAATATGGACCTAGCAGTGCCATATTGTCTGACTTTTCAAGGAAAATTAAGAAATTCAGCTACTTTGTGAAATCTTCCCATTTTCAAACATCAGCAATTTAACTTTGTTAAATAAAACATATGATGGACTAGATTTGGTTGCCAATTTGCAACCTCTGTCTGGAATTCTCTCTGCTGCTTGTTTTTTTTTGTTTGTTTTGTTTTTTTGTTTTGTTTTGTTTTTGAGACGGAGTTTCGCTCTTGTTGCCCAGGCTGGAGTGCAATGGTGCAATCTCGGCTCACCACAACCTCAGCTTCCCAGGTTCAAGCGATTCTCCTGCCTCAGCCTTCTGAGTAGCTGGGACTACAGGCATACACCACCACGCCCAGCAAATTTTGTATTTTTAGTAGAGATGGGGTTTCTCCAGGTTGGTCAGGCTGGTCTCGAACTCCCGACCTTAGGTGATCTGCCCACCTCGGCCTCCCAAAGTGCTGGGATTACAGGCGTGAGCCACCGCGCCCAGCCCTGTCTGCTGCTTTCTAAAGTCAACTTGAAATGTACCCAGACCAAAAGGTAATAGTCCCTTTTAGAAGCCTGTCTGTGTTATTCCTTATTAGTGGGAAGCTCATAGAAAGGCTTTTTATATTAGCTACTATTTTCCTTTTGTTGGAATGTTGATTTGAAAGTTACAAGCCTTTCTCTGCTTCTTCCCAGCCAGGTCTCTAGACAAACTTTATAACTTTGCTGATTGCTCTGGACTCCACCTGATATTTGCTCTAAATGCACTGCGTCGTAATCCCAATAACTCCTGGAACAGTTCTAGTGCCCTGAGTCTGTTGAAGTACAGCGCCAGCAAAAAGTACAACATTTCTTGGGAACTGGGTAATGGTAAGTAAGGATGTTACTTCCTCTGAATTGACAAAATAAAGGGGAAAAATAAGTTGGCTTGTGATACAGTCTCAATCAGACCATCTCTAGTACCCTGGCCCAGAAAACGTTTGTGATGTTTGGCCACTGAGTTGACTATCCAAATGGTAGAAGACCAAATAGTGAAGGACAGTATATTTAGTGAATACACACCATTTGCATCTATAGTTATCTCTAGTTACCTCATTCCAAATATGGGGAAAATGCCACAAAATGGGAAATATATAGTGATTTATGACTAACAAATTGATTTTATAACCTGTTTGCACAGCCTGAGCTGCCTTTTACAATGTGTGTTCTGTGGAACATTGGTCCTACAAGATGATCCTTCTAAAATAATAATTGAAAAGAGCTTTGGTCAAATATATTTGAGGACCTTTATACAGTATGTGAACCTCCTGAAGGTTCACAGTGCACATTAGTATATAAAAGGCTATAAGAAGTCTTGTTGCAAAGAAATCTGTTAGACATTTTTTAACCCAGCATTTCTTAAACAATTTAACCGAGGCTAGTTTCAAGGGTGTGCAGCCTGTGCAGTCACATAGGGCCCATGCTTAGAAGAGACCCATTCTTGGCTGGGCGTGGTGGCTCAGGCCTGTAATACCAGCACTTTGGGAGGCCTAGGTAGGCGGATCACGAGGTCAGGAATTTGATACCAGCCTGGCCAACATGGTGAAACCCCGACTCTATTAAAAATACAAAAATTAGCCAGACGTGGTGGCAGCCGCCTATAATCCCAGCTACTTGGGAGGCTGAGGCAGGAGAATCGCTTGAACCCAGGAGGCGAAGGTTGCAGTGAGCTGAGATCATGCCACTACACTCCAGCCTGGGCAACAGCAAGACTCCATCTCAAAAAAAAAAAAAAAAAAGAAAAGAAAAGGAAAAAAAAGAAGAGACCCATTCTTGGTTTCATTCTCTGCAGTCACCATCTTGAAATTCATAATAATGTTTTAACGAGGGGACTCATAGTTTCATTTTTCATGGGGACCTGAAAATTATGTAGCCAGTCCTGTTTAATCATTAAAGTGTGTGTGTGTGTGTGTGTGTGTGTATGTATGTGTGTGTGTGTATGTGTAACATAAGTTATCATTCATTCCATGGAACAATACTCCATGGAACACAATTTGGAGAAATATTTCCTAAATCGTGCTATTTTCTCAATGATATATATTTATTTGTGACATATGTTATTCTGTAGATTTCATGAATCTGTAATATTGAGTCAATATGGATTATAGTTAAAATTATTGATAGTATAGATATGAAAATATGTGATTCTCAAATTAAAAGACCTTTTGGTATACTTTAGAACAAAACAATTGAATCGAACAAACCAAGAATTCTCTTAAAATTACTGATGCAAATTGATTCCAACATTTTCATTAACAGTCTTATATGTCTCTAGCTAACCCATATTTGTTTGGAGCACTATATGTGTGAGTGTGTGTGTGTGCCCATGTGTATTTATTGCATCTTGGAATTTGGATTTCTCAAAATAAGATGGCAAGGGAAGAAAAGAATAAATGTCCAACTTTCCTACCAGTAGCCACTAACTGGAACGTAGCCCTCAGTTTCTTTCCTCTTTCTCTGCTTTTCTCTCTTCTTTACCTGTGGAAATTTGGGGATAGTTAGTTGACCAAATGGAGACCTGTTGAGTTAAACTCAGGATACCATGACTGTAGGAGTCTCAACTAGGGTAGCCTGAAGTTTTTCGTATTCCAGACTTGCCTGAGTATCATACATTTGACAACAAAAGCAGGAATGATATGATCAGCTTTGAAGTAGGCAAAAGTATTACATTGTCAGTAAAGTCTTTTACTGATCCCTTTCCATCCCATCTTCTATTTATATTTTTTGACATTTTTTGGTATTTTATGTTGTATACTCATGACCACTCACCTAACCTTACCCTCCTCAAATATCAGGCTCTGCCCAACTTAGCTTTATTCTCCAAACAGGGCAAAATATTCTTCAAACAGGGCATGACACCTGCCATGAGAGACCAATTAGGCATAATGGTTAAAAGAGGTGAGTATCAGACACTAAAGAATGGTGGGGCTTTTGTTGAACTGGAGAATACATGCCCAAAGGCTTTGTTTGGTTTTCTTGTAAAAATATTGTGCTGCCTACATAAAACTGGTTTGTAAAACATCTCAACTAATAATAGATACGCCCAAAGCAATTAAAACTTACCTACAAGTGATTGATGGGAATAATTATTCTAGGGTTTTTGGCATCTCTGAATGTGGGAGCTTGTTAAATTAAATAAATCTACAACTGGCATAATTGGAGTGATTTTGTGGCGGGGGTGGGTTGGAGAAGAGAATATATACATCTTTCTGTATATATCTGTTCCAGACAAGTAAGAACTTGCCCCTCCCCATCAACCTCCTTCCTTCAGACTGTGCTACATAGTTCAGAAAGGGAGCTAATTACACTTAAAAAAATGTTATTTAGACACCTTAACCACACATCATTTGGTTCCCATCATTGTCTTTTAAAGTGCCTCCTCAGGGGTTAACAACAACAAAGAATTATTTATAAAGAGGAGAAAGGGCACTGTCATTGATAAGAAAATAGGAATATAGATAGGAAAAGAACAAAAAAAACTCAATAAAGTGAAAAATAGCCAATAATGTGTATTTCTATAGGTCATTATGAATCTCGTCAGAAAATCTAGATTTAGTGTTTTCCCCTTAGAGTGCCTTTCTATTTTTTCTGTAACCATAATAAATGATTAATAAATAATAAATGATTATTAATGATAAATAATCATTTATTAAAGCTACATTTTAGAGTCTAAAGAATACATTTTATTGTTTGAAGATTTATTTTGCTGTTTCTCTAATTCATTTTACAACTACTGATAGTTTTTCTTGTACTAGAATCATCTCTCTTAAGATATCCAATGTACAGTATTCTGCTCAAAACTATTCTGTGTTGTATATTGAGCCTCTTCCCCCTCAAAATATTTTCATGGTAGACATGTTTCTCCAATATTCTAGCCATTTCTGCTTTGTAACCTTATCTTTTTGGACAGAGGTAATCATTTAATCATTATATTCACATTCAGGAAAGGACAATAGAACAGGTCAGTCTTCTTATCACTCATCTTTCCATATACCTACACCATGTTAACAAGTATTTTATCTCTAGAGCAAATCTAGCATTGGAAAAAACAAAGTATAAGTTTCTGTGATTGTTTCTTCTAGAGTGGCTAAACTTTAAGTGACTAACCTACCTCTTTTCCTCTTCTTTGAAAGCAGTGAATAGTGTGGGCTACAGACCACAAAAGCAAGATATACCCAATATCAAGAGGCAAAGATGAGAAAGGTTAGGATGTTAAAGAATATGAAAGAATGACTTTCTTCGGCCAGGCATGGTTGCTCACACCTGTAATCCCAGCACTTTGGGAGGCCAAGATGGGAGGATTTCTTGAGGTCAGGAGTTTGAGACCAGCCACAGCATAGCAAGACCCCATCTCTACAAAAAACTAGAAAATTAGCTGGGCGTGGTAGCATGCACCTGTGATCCTGGGTACTTGGGAGACTGAGGCTGGAGGGTCACTTGAGCCTGGGAGGTTGAGGCTGCAGTGAGCCATGATCATGCTACTGTTCTTGAACCTGGGTGACATGGTGAGACCCTGTCTCAAAAAAAAAAAAAGACAAAAGAAAAGAAAATCAAAAGCAAAACAAAAAAAAATGACTTTCTTGACACCATACTTTTTTACAATTACTTTCTTTGGATATAACATATTTCCCTAAATGTCCATAAATTGTAAACTCTGTAACTGATTAATGTAATGATTACAGATTTTTACATTTATATTAACCATTGGTGAATCTAAAGTAAGAAAGAACTGGAGAAATTTTTGAAGCTGGGACTCAAACTCTGGAAGTGTATATAAATTCTAGTCCAACTCCATTTCAGGGAAATGGTGTTTGTTCTCTAGAGAGCTATACTTAATCACAAAAATTACCTTAAGATAATGTAATACCTCTAATTGAATGAACACTGAACTACATTATGAACTATAAATGTGCTTCCCAAATATATCTGCCCATTTCTATAAGCAAGTAAAAGCTACTATAATTAATTATTGAATCAATATTATATATTCATACCCATAACCTGACCTATATACATTCACATGTTATTCTTTTATAAGAATTAGTTATATGACTCAGTTCTCTGGAGCCTGTCTACTAAGTAATTTTGTAAAATCAAGTTTCTGACCTTAGAAAGTCAGAGATGATGATTCTTATGATTCTGGCAGCACAGCTTGATTAATGCATTCCCTCAATATTTATTAAGCTTTTAGCCTGAGTTTAGGTGGATAAATGTATGATGTATTTATGTACTTTTTTTTCTTTTTTTCTTCTTCTTTTTTTTTTTACATGTGCAGAATGGGCAGGCTTGTTATATAGGTATACATGTGCCATGGTGGTTTGCTGTACCCATCAACCTGTCATCTACACTAGGTATTTGTCCTAATGATATCGCTCCCCTACCCCACTCCCCACGACAGACCACAGTGTGTGATGTTTCCCTCCCTGTGCCCATATGTTCTCATTATTCACCTCCCACTTATAAGTGAGAACATGCAGTGTTTGATTTTCTGTTCCTGTGTTAGTTTGCTGAGAATGATGGTTTCCAGCTTCATCCATGTCCCTGCAAAGGACATGAACTCATTCTTTTTTATGGCTGCATAGTATTCCATGGTGTATATGTGCCACATTCTCTTTTTCTAGTCTATCACTGACGGGCATTTGGGTTCGTTCCAAGTTTTTGCTATTGTGAATAGTGCTGCAATAAACATACGTGTGCATGTGTCTTTATGGAAGAATGGTTTATAATCCTTTGGGTACATATCCAGTAATGGGATGGCTGGGTCAAATGGTATTTCTAATTCTAGATCCTTGAGGAATCGCCACACTGTCTTCCACAATGGTTGAACTAATTTACACTCCCACCAACAGTGTAAAAGCATTCCTATTTCTCCACATCTTCTCTAGCATCAGTTGTTCTCTGACTTTTTAATGATCATAATTCTAACTGGCATGAAATAGTATCTTGTTGTGGTTTTGATTTGCATTTCTCTAATGACCACTGATGATGAGCGTTTTTTCATATCTTTGTTGGCTGCATAAATGTCTTCTTTTGAAAAGTGTCTGTTCATATCCTTCACCCACTTCTTGATGGGGGTTTTTTTTCTTGTAAATTTGTTTAAGTTCTTTGTAGATTCTGGATATTCGCCCTTTGTCAGATGGATAGATTGCAAAAATTTTCTCTCATTCTGTAGGTTGCCTGTTCACTCTGATGATAGTTTCTTTTGCTGTGCAGAAGCTCTTTAGTTTAATTAGATCCCATTTGTCAATTTTGGCTTTTGTTGCAATTGATTTTGGTGTTTTAGACATGAAGTCTTTGCCCATGCCTTTGTCCTGAATGGTATTGCCTAGGTTTTCTTCTAGGGTTTTTATGGCTTTAGGTCTTACGTTTAACTCTTTAATCCATCTTGAGTTAATTTTTGTTTAAGGTATAAGTAAGGGGTCCAGTTTTATGAATATGGCTAGCCAATTATCCCAACACCATTTATTAAATAGGGAATCCTTTCCCCATTGCTTGTTTTTGTCAGGTTTATCAAAGAACAGATGGTTGTAAATGTGTGGTGTTATTTCTGAGGCCTCTGTTCTGTTCCATTGGTCTATATATCTGTTTTGGTACCAGTACCGTGCTGTTTTGGTTACTGTAGCCTTGTAGTATAGTTTGAAGTCAGGTAGTGTGATGCCTCCAGCTTTGTTCTTTTTGCTTAGATTGTCTTGACTATATGGGCTCTTTTTTGTTTCCATATGAAATATGAAATTTAAAGTAGTTTTTTCTACTTCTGTGAAGAAAGTCAATGGTAGCTTGATGAGCATAGCATTGAATGTATAAATTACTTTGGGCAGTATGGTCATTTTCACAATATTGATTCTTCCTATTCATGAGTATGGAAGGTTTTTCCACTTGTTTGTGTCCTCTCTTATTTCCTTGAGCAATGGTTTGTAGTTCTCCTGGAAGAAGTCCTTCACATCCCTTGTAAGTTGGATTCCTAGGTGGTTTTTTCTCTTTGTAGCAATTGTGAATGGGAGTTTACTCATGATTTGGCTCTGTGTTTGTGTATTATTGATGTATAGGAATGCTTGTGATTTTTGCACTCTGATTTTGTATCCTGAGACTTTGCTGAAGTTGCTATCAGCTTAAGGAGTTTTGGGGCTGAGATGATGGGGTGAGCAGAAGCAGGGTGGGGCATCACCTCACCCAGGAAGTGCAAGGGGTCAGAGAACTCCCTCCCCTAGCCAAGAGAAGCCATGAGGGACTATGCTGTGATGGATAGTGCTTGCTGGCCCAGATACAACACTGGGCTGCACCCACTGTCTAACCAGTCCCAATGAGATGAAGTGGGTACCTCAGTTGGAAATGCAGAAATCACCTTCCTTCTGTGTTGGTCTTGCTGGGAGCTGCAGACTGGAGCTGTTCCTATTTGGCCATCTTGCCAGGGAATTGCATTTATGTTCCTTTATGTTTAATATATAAATGTGCATTTATATATTTTGGTCCTGTATTTTTATGTGTATATAACAGGTGAAAGCCAAACATAAGATTCAGTCACAGTCTTCACACATATTGTCAATTATTTATGAGGGTAGGTCACAGCTAAGAGCTTTAGAAAACTGTATTTTCAGAACATAGAGTTTTGATAGGGAAGGAGAGGAGGGGAAAAGAGGAGGAGGAAGAAAAAAACAAGAAACCATATAGTCTTTTTACCTGCTTCTTTTCTCAGTTTTCTCTTCCTGTCTGCTTCTCTCCTTCAACCTTCATCTTCTCAATTCTTTCCCCACAGACTCTTATCCAGAAACATACTCTCATGGTATTTAGTCATTCTTGCATTAACTATGTATGTGTGGAGCACCTGCAAAATATGCCAAGTGTGAAATGGGAGTTGGAGGAATCCTTGAATTCCTTCTCTGGCCACTACTTTATAGCTTGGCATAACATACTATGACACAGAGTGAATATACAGAACAAAGAAATTCTAGTCTCCAGGAGTTTAGTATCTAAAGGTAAAGTTAGGATAAACTTAAAACTATTAAACTATTAAACTCTTATATGCTAGAACTGGAGGAATCTCTTATAGTTTGAAAGAAGTGAAGAACTGAATCAGGAAAATTGTTAAACCAACAAATAATATATAATAAAAGTATAAATTAATGCACAAATGTATTCATAAATTCATAGCTTACATTTTTAAGCACTTAAGTTAATTATCCTTTGATTATTAAGGGAAGTGAGTGAAGTTTGAATTACATTGGTTCTTGGAGTTCATTATCATGGTGGAGAATCATGTTCTCTCACTAAAATTCTGGTTACTGTCACAGTTAGATAGTTACAGAAAACATTTGTGGGACAGCTGCTGTATAAAGTCCATTTTCATGCTGCTGATAAAGACATACTCGAGACTAGGTAATTTATAAAGAAAAAGAGTTTAAAGCACTCACAGTTCCATGTGACTGGGGTGGCCTCACAATCATGGCAGAAGGTGAAAGGCATGTCTTAAATGGCAGCAGCCAGAACTGAATAAAAAAAAAAACCAAGCAAAAGGGGAAACCCCTTATAAAATCCTCAGCTCTTGCGAGACTTATTCACTACCATGAGAACAGTATGGGGGAAACTGACCCCATGATTCAATTATCTCCCACTGGGTCCCTCCCACAACACATGGGAATTATGGAAGCTACAATTAAGATGAGATTTGAGTGGGGACACAGCCAAACCAAACCATATCATTCTACCCCTGGCTCCTCCCAAACCTCATGTCCTCATTTTTAAAAACCAATCATGCCTTCCCAACAGTACCCCAAAGTCTTAACCCATTTCAGCATTAACTCAAAAGTACACAGTCCAAGGTCTCATCTGAGACAAGGCAATTCCCTTCTGCCTATGAGCCTGTAAAATCAAAAGCAAGTTAGTTACTTCCTAGATAAATGGTAGAACAGGCATTGGATAAATACAGCTGTTCCAAATGGGAGAAATTAGCCAAAATAAAGGGGCTAATGGCCACATGCAAGTCTGAAATCAAGCAGGGCAGTCAAATCGTAAAGCTCCCAAATGATCTCCTTTGACTCCATATCTCACATCCAGGTCACGCCAATGCAAAAGATGGGTTCCCGTGGTCTTGGGCAGTTCTGCCCCTGTGGCTTTACAGAGTACAGCCCCATTCCTGGCTGCCTTCATGGGCTGGCATTGAGTCTCTGGAGCTTTTCTGAGGTCTAAAGGGTGGTGGCCCTCTTCTCATGGCTCTACTAGGCAGTGCCCCAGTGGGGACTCTTTATGGGGGCTTCAACCCCACTTCTCCCTTCCACACTGCCCTAACAGAGGTTCTTTGTGAGGGCTTCACCCCTGTAGCAAACTTTTGCCTGGATATACAGGCATTTCTATACATCCTCTGAAATCTAGGCAGAGGCTCCCAAACCTCAATTCTTGACTTCTATGCACCTGCAGGCTCAATACCATGTGGAAGCTGCCAAGGCTTGGGGCTTGCACCTTCTGGAGCAACAGGTTTCAAACTTGCTTTCGCATTTCGGGTATCTTTATGGCAGTGGCCCACTACCCGGTACCAATTTACTGCATTAGTCCCTTTTCTTGCTGCTGATAGAGATATATCCAAGACTGGGTAATTTATAAAGAAAAAGAGGTATGGTACTGTAATGGTGGATACATGACATTTTGCACCTTTCAAAACTCACACAACTGTATAACACGAAGAGTAAACCCAAATGTAGACTATGGATTTCAGTTAATAATGATGTGTCAATATTAGTTTATCATTTGTAACAACTGTATCAGACCAAGGCAAGATAATAATGGGAAATTGTGTGTGTTTGTGTGTGTTTGTGTGTGTGTGTGTGTGTGTGTAAGGGACAAATTATATGGGTACTCTTTGTACTGTCTACTCAATTTTCTGTAAACCTAAAATTGCTCTAAAAATAAAAATAAAGTTTATCAATTAAAAAAAAAGTGTGAGTCATGATGAAGACCTACTTCTTGGAAATATGAATATCATTTGCTGTCTTGTTTCACTGATATTAAGGACAACACAAGAAGCAGTTAAAAGAATATTTTGGACAAAATATTTTGTGTCTCCAAAGAGGATATACAAATGACAAGCAAGTACATGAAAAGATGCTCAACATCATTAGCCATCATGGAAAAGCAAATCAAAACCACAATTAAATACCACTTCACACTTACTAGGATGGCCAAATTTTAAAAAGGAAAAGTAAAGTAACAAATGTTGACAAGGTTGTGGAGAAACTGAAACCTTCACACACTGCTGGTGGGAATGTCAAATGGTACAGCCACTTTGGAAAATAGTCCAGTAGTTCCTCAAAAAGTTAAACATAAAATTACCAAGTAACCCAACAATTCCACTTCTAGATATATATCCAAGAGAAATGAAAACATACATCCATACAAAAACTTCTACATGAATGTTAATAACAGAATTACTTTTAATAGCAAAAAAAGTGGAAACAACCTAAATGACCATCAATTGATGACTTGATAAATGAAACGTGACAAATACATACAAAGAAATACTATGTGCTGCAAAATGAAGTACTGATACATTCTACAAATGGATGAACCTTGAGAAGATTATGCTGAATGAAAGAATCCAGTCACAAAAGACAACACATTGTATAATTCCCCTTATATGAAATGTCCAGAATAGACAAATCTACAGAGACGGAAAGTAGATTAGTGTTTGCTTAGGGCTGGGGAGCCCATGAGGGGTGAGGGGTGACTGCTAAAAGGCACAGAGTTTTTTCTGGGATTATTAAAATGTTCTAAAATGTGTTGTGATGGTTGCACAACTGTGTGAAAATACTAAAAACCATTGAATTATACACATGAAATTGGTGAATTGTATGTGTTTTATATCTCAATGAAGCTATTTAAAAAGAATAACATGTTTATCTTTCATTTTAAAGGGTATAAAATGCCTATTTCTTGCCACCGGTTGATTACAAAGACTTAGTGTTACTCTCTTAGAGGCTTATATTTGTAATTATCAGCAATATTGTCATCCTATATTTGCATAGTATTTAGTTTATGTAGCACTTCCAAATAGACTCTTCTATTTGGACCTCAAAATACTAAATAAAGTGCCTGATAAAGTATTAAACAAGTGAAGAAACACATTCAAAGAGGTGACGTGATTTGCTAAAGGCAGCAGTAAGTACCAAATCTATGTCAGGAACTTGGGAAATCTAATAGAAAGTGAAGTACGTTTTCTACTGCCCTATGGTTATTACTTTTTAAATTATGTTTAGATTTCTTGGCTTTCTTCACTAGGTTAGAGAGATACAATGGTAAATAACAGGCCAGTCATGGTGGCTAATGCCTGTAATCCCAGCACTTTGAGAGGCCAAGGTGGGCAGATTGTTTGAGCTCAGGAGTTTAAGACCAGCCTTGGAAACATAATGAAACCCCATCTCTACAAAAAAATACAAAAAATAAGCAGAATATGCTGGCGTGCACCCGTGGCTCAGCTACTCAGGTGGCTGAGGTGGGAGGATCACTTGAGCCCAGGAACTCAAGGTTGCAGTGAGCCAAGGTCGCACCACTGCACTCCAGCCTGGGTAACAGAGCAAGACCCTGTGTCACACACATACACACACAATAGTAAATAACAGATGAATATAACTGCCTACATCCTTATAGAAGAGATAGATATTAAATAGAAGGACCTGAAAACAGTTGCTCTTCCCTAGTGACTAATGTTGTTGGGCACCTTTTCATGTACTTACTAGCCATTTCTACTTCTTAATTTGTGAAATATCAGCCCAAAGCTTTTGCTCTTTTAAGTGGGTTATTTTATTATTGAATTGTAAGAGTTCTTTATATATTCTGGATACACGTATTTTTTTAAAAATTCAAGTATATGATTTGCAAATAATTTTTTTACTTCGTCTTTTGTAACTTGATGGCATCTTTTAGTCTAAAAGCTTTGAATTTTGATAAAGTTCAATTTATGAGGTTTTACTTTATGGATTATGCTTTTGGTGCTATAATCTTTGCTTAATCCAAGATAACAAGGAGTTTTTTCCTATATTTTCTTCTAAAAGTTTCATTGTTTTAGCTCTTACATTTGGCCCTAAATCTATTAGGAGTTAATTTTTGTGAACGTTGTGAAGTAAGGCTATAAATTAGTCTTTTTGCATGTGGATATAGAGATTCCCAGTACCATTTATTAAAAAGACCATTTTTTCCCCATTTACTTATCTTGGCACCTTTGTAAAAAAAAAATCAATTGACCATACATAGTTTTGTTTCTATACTCTTAATTCTGTTCCGCTGATCTGTATGTCTTTCCTTATGCTAGGACTACATTGTCTTAATTACAATAGCTTTACAAAGAGTGCTAGAATTTGGAAATGTAAATCCTCCAACTTTGTTCCTTTGTTTTTCAAAATTAATTTGGCTATCCTGGGTGTTTGAATTTCCATGTAAAATTTGGGATTAGCTTGTTAATTTCTTCATCAAAGCCTCCTGGAATTTTAATGGGATAGCATTGAATCTATAAATCAATTTAGGGAGAATTACCATCTTAACAATACAAAATCTTCCTATCACGAGCTTAGATTATCTCCCATTTATTTAATTTTTAATTTATCTCAGCAATGTTTTGTAGTTTTCAGTGTATAAGTTTTGTACTTCTTTTGTTAAATACTTGTTCTTAAGTATACTATTCTTTTTGATGCAATTGGGAATGGAAGTATTTTTATAATTTCACTTTTGGATTGTGTATCAATAGTACTTAGAAATATAATTGATTTTATAAATTGATATTGTATCCCCTCCAACCTTGCTGAATTTATTCTTTAGATTTTGTATTTTTTCCCCTCCTGTGTGTGGATTCCTTAGGATTTTCTGTATGTAGGATCATATTGTCTGAGAATAATAACAGTTTTGCTTCTTTCTTTCCAATTTGGATGCTTTTTATTTCTCTCCCTTGCCTGACTGCACTGGCTAGAATCTCTAGTACAAATGTTGACTCTTAAGTGGCAAGAGCAGACATCCTTGTCTTCTCCTTAGTCTTAGGGGCACACAGTCCATATTTCACCATTAAGTATGATGTTAGGTCTAGGTTTTTCTTAGATACGCTTTATCAAGTTGAGAAAGTTCCCTTCTATTCAGTTTGTTGGGAATATTTATCAGGAATGGGTGTTGCATTTTGTCAGATGAGTTTTGGTGGTGTTGTTGCAGCTATTGAGATGATAATTTAGTTTTGGTCTTTTGTTCTATTACAATGGTATTTTACATTAGTTAAAAGGCTTTAATATTAAATCAACCTTGCGTTCTTGGCATAAATCCCACTTGGTCATAGTGTATAATACTTTTCATATGTTGCTGGACTTACTTTGTAAATATTTTGTTGGGGATTTTACATCTATGTTATGAGGAATATTTGTCTGTAGTTTTCTTGTGATGTCTTTGTTTTGTTGTTGTTGTTGTTGTTTTTGAGAAAGGGTCTCACTCTGTCGCCCAGACTGGAGTGCAGTGGCACAATCTCGGCTCACTCCACCTCCCAGACTCAAGCGATTCTCCTGCCTCAGCCTCCTGAGTAGCTGGGATTACAGGTGTGCACCTCTAATGCCTGGCTAATTTTTGTATTTTTAGTAGAGACGGGGTTTCACCATGTTGGCCAGGTGGGTCTTGAACTTCTGACCTCAAATGATCCACCTGCCTCAGCCTCCCAAAGTGTTGGGATTATAGGCGTGAGCCACTGCACCCAGCCTCTAGTGATGTCTTTGACTGGCTTTGGTGTCAGGGCAATATTGGCCTCATAACATAAGTTGAAAAGTGTTCCCTCTTCCTCCATTTTCTGAGTTTGTAAAGCATTGGTGTTTCTTATTTAAATATTTAATAGAATTCACCAACTAATCCATACGGATCTGGGCTTTCTTTGTGGAAAGATTTTTAATTACTACCTCAATGGGTTTTCGTTGTTGTTATGTGTCTATATAGATTTTCTGTGTCTTATTTAGTCAGTTTTAATAATTTCTGCATTTTTTAAAAAAATTTACCATTTTATTTAAGTTTTCTAAATTATTGGCACAAAGATTTTCATAGTAGTTCCTTATCAACTTAATTACTGTGAGATTGTTTAGTGGTGTTCCCTTTTGGTAATCTGTGACTTCTCTCTCTCTTTTTTCGGTGGTCAGTCTAACTAAAGGTATATCGGTTTTGTGGTCTTTTCAAATAACCAACTTTCGCTTTCCCTGTATTTTCTCTATTTTAAAAATATCATTGATATCTACTCTAATTTTTATTATTTCATTCCTTTGTTTTGCTCGGGTGTAGTTTTCCGTTCTTTTTTCCTTTCTTAAGGAGGAAACTTAGGTTATTGATTTGAGATCTTTGTTCATTTCTAATATAGGCACCTAAGGCTATAAATTTCCCCCTAAAGCATTGCTTAAGCTGCATCCCATATCTTTTTATGTATTTTATTTTCATTTTTATTCCACTTTAATTTTGTTTATTTCCTTGTGATTTCTTCTTTGATCAATGGATTATTTGTTAAATTTTCAAATATTTGGGGATTTCTCAATTTTTGTTGAATTCCAGTTTAATTCTATTGTGATTAAAGCACATCCATTGTATGATTTTAATCCTTTTAAATTTATGAGATTTGTTTTATGTCTTACAATATGATCTGTCCTGAAGGATGTTTTCTCTATGTACTAGAAAAGAATATGTATCCTGCTGTTGTTGGGTGGAATATTCTGTAGATGGCAATTAGGTAAAGTTAGCTGATAGTGCCAGTCAAGTCTTCTATATTCTTGCTGATTTTTTTATCCAGTCGTTTCATCTATTATTAAGAATGTAGTGTTGAAGTCTCCTTCAATTGTTCTTGAATTTTCTATTTCTCTCTTCAATTTTGTTTAAGGTATTTTGATGGTGGTGTTAGGTATATATATGTTTCTAATTGTTATATCTTCCTGATGTTGAGACCTTTCTTCTCATTATAAAATGCCTTTTATCATTATAAAATGCCTCATATTATCTCTAGTAATGTTTTTATCTTAAAATCTATTTTTTCTGATATTAGTATAGTTATTTCTGCTCTCTTATGGTTACTGTTTATATAGTCTACCTTTTTAAATTAATTTATTTATTTATTTATTTTTTGAGACAGAGTCTCGCTCTGTCACCCAGGCTGGAGTGCAATGGCGTGATCTCGGCTCACCGCAAACTCCACCTATCAGGTTCACGCCATTCTCCTGCCTCAGCCTCCCAAGTAGCTGGGATTACAGGCGCCCGCCACCACGCCCGGCTAATTTTTTGTGTTTTTAGCAGAAATGGGGTTTCACTGTGTTAGCCAGGATGGTTTTGATCTCCTGACCGCGTGACCTACCCATCTTGGCCTCCCAAAGTGCTGAGATTACAGGTGTGAGCCACCATGCTGCAGCCTACATAGTCTACCTTTTAAAAAAAAATTTTACCTTCAATCTGTTTGTATTTTTGAATCTGAAATATGTCTCATATTAGGATCTATTTTTTATTCAGTCTGATAATTTCTGCTTTTAATTGGAGTATTTAATCCATTTCCATTATTTGAGATTGTTGATATAATTGACTTTACATGTGCCATCTTGCTGTTTTCCATTTATCTCGTGGCATTTTTGTTCCTCTGTCTCACTTTTCATGCCTTTTTATGTAAAAGAAATATTGTCTAAGGTACTGTTTTCATTGTTTTGTTCTTTTCTTTTCTTTTCTTTTCTTTTGTTTCATACAAGGCCCTGCTCTGTTGCCCAGGCTAGAGTGCAGTGGTACAACTACAGCCAACTGTAGCCTCAACCTCTTGGACTCAAGCGATTCTCCCACCTTAGCCTCCTGAGTAGCTGGGACTGCAGGTGCATGCCACTACACCCAGCTAATTTTTAAAATTTTTCGTAGACATGGGGTTTCACTGTGTTGCCTAGGATGGTCTTGAACACCTAGGCTCAAGCAATCCTCCCACCTCAGCCTAGCAAAGTGCTGGGATTACAGGCATGAGCCACCACACCCACCCTGTTTTGTTATTTTCTTAGTAGTTTCTTATCACAATACATCTTAACTCATCACAATCTATTTTCAAGTAATACTAACTTAATTCTAGGTTTGTTCGTTTGTTTGTTTTGAGACAGAGTCTCACTATGTCACTCAGGCTGGAGTGCAATGGTGTGATCTTGGCTTACTGCAACCTCTGCCTCCCAGGTTCAAGCGATTCTCCTGCCTCAACATCCTGAGTAGCTGGGATTACAGGTACCCAGCACCACACAGGGGTAATTTTTGTATTTTTAGTAGAGACAGGGTTTCACCATGTTGGCCAGGCTGGTCTCAAACTCCTGACCTCAGGTGATCCACCCACCTCGGCCTCCCAAAGTGCTAGGATTACAGCTGTGAGCCACCATGCCTAGGCCTTAATTCTAGTTTAATACAGAAACTTGCTTCAGTACAGTTTCATTCCCCAGTCCTTTGTGCTATTATTATTCTAAATATTATATCTTTATATTTTATAAGCCCAACAATAGAGTTGTGTATTTTTGTTTTATGCACTGTCTTTTAAATCAGTTAAGAGAAGAAAAGAGTAATGAATATTTTTTACAGTTATTCATGTAATTACCTTTATTTATGTCTTTTATTTCTTTGTGTGATTTTGAGTTACCATCTGGTATCATTTTATTCCAATCTGAATGACTTCCTTTTTTATTTCTTATAAGGCATATTTGCTCACAACAAAATCTCTTCTCTCTGTTTTTCTCAGAATGTTTAACTTTGCATGCAGTTTTCAAGGATAGTTTGCTGCATATGGAATTCTTGGTTATCAGTTTTGTTTTGTTTTCTTTCAGCATTTTGAATATATCATCCTACCATCTTCTGGCCTCCATTTTTTTCTGATAAAAACTGAGCTGTTAATCTCATTGTGTTCTCCTGTATGAGATTAGTCATTTAAGTTCAATAATTTTATTTGACTGTTTTTTATAATTTCTTTTTCTTTATGTATATTTCTATTTGATGAATCATTAACATTATACTTTCCTTTAGCTCTTTATTATTTTTAGTTTGTTTTTTTTTGTTGTTGTTGTTTTTTGTTTTTTTGAGACAGTGTCTCACTCTGTCACCTAGGCTGGAGTGCAATGGTGCAATCTTGGCTCACTGCAACCTCCGCCTCCTGGATTCAAGCAATTCTCCTGCCTCAGCTTCCCAAGCCAAGTATCTGGGACTATGGGCGCATACCACCATGCCCAGCTAATTTTCATATTTTTAGTAGAGACAGGGTTTCACTGTGTTGGCCAGGCTGGTCTTAAAATCCTGACCTCAAGTGATCCATCTGCCTTGGCCTCCCAAAGTGCTGGGATTACAGGCATGAGCCACTGTGCCCAGACTGTCTTTAGTTCTTGAACATATTTATAAGTCTTTGACTGCCAAGTCTAATATTTAGGGCCCCTAATATAGAGGCAGTTTCTATGTTTTTTGCTGGTATGAGTCAAACTTTTCTATTTTTTTCATGTATAATAGCTTTTTTGTTGAAAACTACATATTTTAGATAATATACTGGACCAACTCTGAATTCTGTACTTCCATACCATAGGTCTTGGACTAACTCTATAGAGTCTGTCTCCCTTGAGTCGTGTAGCTACTGATATCTCTTAAGTTTTTTTATTTCTTAATCATTTTTTAATTGTTAAGACAAGTCTCCTGGGGGTTGCACTTGAGTCAACATAGCTTAATGGTGAGCTGAAGATTGATCAGAGGTTTTGCTTAATTCCCGTGAGCCAGTAAGCCTTCCACCTTTTGCCAGTGCATCTCTGTGTTGGTTGGGAAACACATTAAAAATTTAGGTCTTTTACAAGTCTAACTGGGATTTTACTCTCAGTCATGGCTTCTGATGTTTCCTTTATAAGTGTCCTAGGTTTCACACTTATCTGGAAATGTGTGGATAGCTAGGAATCCTCCTACTATCCACACTTCTATCCTGTAGTCCCTCCTAAGCATATTTAGCCTTCTAGATTACAGGGAGTATGTGTGAGATTGTCAAGGTTCACTGTGGCTGCCTTATTCCCCAAATTTTCCTATTATATTTCTTTTATTATTATTATTATTATTATTATTATTATTATTATACTTTAAGTTTTAGAATACATGTGCACAACGTGCAGGTTTTTTACATATGTATACATATGCCATGTTGGTGTGCTGCACCCATTAACTCGTCATTTAGCATTAGGTATATCTCCTAATGCTATCCCTCCCCCCTCCCCCTGCCCCACAACAGTCCCTGGTGTGTGATGTTCCCCTTCCTGTGTCCATGTGTTCTCATTGTTCAGTTCCCACCTGTGAGTGAGAACATGCGGCATTTGGTTTTTTGTCCTTGTCATAGTTTACTGAGAATGATGGTTTCCAGCTTCATCCATGTCCCTACAAAGGACATGAACTCATCATTTTTTATGGCTGCATAGTATTCCATGGTGTATATGTGCCACATTTTCTTAATCCACTCTATCATTGTTGGACATTTGGGTGGGTTCCAAGTCTTTGCTATTGTGAATAGTGCCACAATAAACATACGTGTGCATGTGTCTTTATAGCAGCATGATTTATAATGCTTTGGGTATATACCCAGTAATGGGATGGCTGGGTCAAATGGTGTTTCTAGTTCTAGATCCCTGAGGAATTGCCACACCAACTTCCACAATGGTTGAACTAGTTTACAGTCCCACCAATGGTGTAAAAGTGTTCCTATTTCTCCACATCCTCTCCAGCACCTGTTGTTTCCTGATTTTTAATGATTGCCATTCTAACTGGTGAGAGATGGTATCTCATTGTGATTTTGATTTGCATTTCTCTGATGGCCAGTGATGGTGAGCATTTTTTCATGTGTTTTTTGGCTGCATAAATGTCTTCTTTTGAGAAGTATCTGTTCATATCCTTTGCCCACTTTTTGATGGGGTTGTTTTTTTCTTGCAAATTTGTTTGAGTTCATTGTAGATTCTGGATATTAGCCCTTTGTCAGATGAGTAGGTTGCAAAAATTTTCTCCCATTTTGTAGGTTGCCTGTTCACTCTGATGGTGGTTTCTGTTGCTGTGCAGAAGCTCTTTAGTTTAATTAGATCCCATTTGTCAATTTTGGCTTTTGTTGCCATTGCTTTTGGTGTTTTAGACATGAAGTCCTTGACCATGCCTATGTCCTGAATGGTATTGCCTAGGTTTTCTTCTAGGGTTTTTATGGTTTTAGGTCTAACATTTAAGTCTTTAATCCATCTTGAATTAATTTTTGTATAAGGTGTAAGGAAGGGATTCAGTTTCAGCTTTCTACATAAGGCTAGCCAGTTTTCCCAGCACCATTTATTAAATAGGGAATCCTTTCCCCATTCCTTGTTTTTGTCAGGTTTGTCAAAGATCAGATGGTTGAAGATATGCAGCATTATTTCTGAGGGCTCTGTTCTGTTCCATTGGTCTATATCTCTGTTTTGGTACCAGTACCATGCTGTTTTGGTTACTGTAGCCTAGTAGTATAGTTTGAAGTCAGGTAGCATGATGCCTCCAGCTTTGTTCTTTTGGCTTAGGATTGACTTGGCAATGTGGGCTCTTTTTTGGTTCCATATGAACTTTAAAGCAATTTTTTCCAATTCTGTGAAGAAAGTCATTGGTAGCTTGATGGGGATGGTATTGAATCTATAAATGACCTTGGGCAATATGGCCATTTTCACGATATTCATTCTTCCTACCCATGAGCATGGAATGTTCTTCCATTTGTTTGTATCGTCTTTTATTTCATTGAGCAGTGGTTTGTAGTTCTCCTTGAAGAGGTCCTTCACATCCCTTGTAAGTTGGATTCCTAGGTATTTTATTCTCTTTGAAGCAATTGTGAATGGGAGTTCACTCATGATTTGGCTCTCTGTTTGTCTGTTATTGGTGTATAAGAATGCTTGTGATTTTTGCACATTGATTTTGTGTCCTGAGGGTTTGCAATCCTAGTCTCAGATAAAACAGACTTTAAATCAACAAAGATCAAAAGAGACAAAGAAGGCCATTACACAATGGTAAAGGGATCAATTCAAAAAGAAGAGCTAACTATCCTAAATATATATGCACCCAGTACAGGAGCACCCAGATTCATAAAGCAAGTCCTTAGTGACCTACAAAGAGACTTAGACTCCCACACAATAATAATGGGAGACTTTAACAACCCACTGTCAACATTAGACAGATCAACGAAGACAGAAAGTTAACAAGGATATCCAGGAATTGAACTCAGCTCTGCACCAAGTGGACCTAATAGACATCTACAGAACTCTGCACCCCAAATCAACAGAATATACATTCTTTTCAGCACCACACCACACCTATTCCAAAATTGACCACATATTTGGAAGTAAAACACTCCTCAGCAAATGTCAAAGAACAGAAATTATAACAAACTGTCTCTCAGACCACAGTGCAATCAAACTAGAACTCAGGATTAAGAAACTCACTCAAAACCGCTCAACTACATGGAAACTGAACAACCTGCTCCTGAATGACTACTGGGTACATAACGAAATGAAGGCAGAAATAAAGATGTTCTTTGAACCCAACGAGAACAAAGACACAACATACCAGAATCTCTGGGACACATTCAAAGCAGTGTGTAGAGGGAAATTTATAGCACTAAATGCCCACAAGAGAAAGCAGGAAAGATCTAAAATTGACACCCTAACATCCCAATTAAAAGAACTAGAGAAGCAAGAGCAAACACATTCAAAAGCTAGCAAAAGGCAAGAAATAACTAAGATCAAAGCAGAACTGAAGGAAATAGAGACACAAAAAACCCTTCAAAAAATCAGTGAATCCAGGAGCTGGTTTTTTGAAAAGATCAACAAAATTGATAGACCGCTAGCAAGACTAATAAAGAAGAAAAGAGAGAAGAATCAAATAGACGCAATAAAAAATGACAAAGGGGATATCACCACCGATCCCACAGACATACAAACTATCATCAGAGAATACTATAAACACCTCTACGCAAATAAACTAGAAAATCTAGAAGTAATGGGTAAATTCCTTGACACATACACTCTGCCAAGACTAAACCAGGAAGAAGTTGAATCTCTGAACAGACCAATAACAGGCTCTGAAATTGAGGCAATACTTAAGAGCTTAGCAATCAGAAAATGTCCAGGACCAGATGGATTCACAGCCAAATTCTACCAGCAGTACAAGGAGGAGCTGGTACCATTCCTTCTGAAATTATTCCAATCAATAGAAAAAGAGGGAATCCTCCCTAACTCATTTTATGAGGCCAGCATCATCCTGATACCAAAGCCTGGCAGAGACACGACAAAAAAAGAGAATTTTAGACCAATATCCCTGATGAACATTGATGCAAAAATCCTCAATAAGATACTGGCAAACCGAATTCAGCAACACATCAAAAAGCTTATCCACCATGATCAAGTGGGCTTCATCCCTGGGATGCAACGCTGGTTCAACATACAAAAATCAGTAAATGTAATCCAGCATATAAACAGAACCAAAGACAAAAACCACATGATTATCTCAATAGATGCAGAAAAGGCCTTTGACAAAATTCAACCACCTTCATGCTAAAAACTCTCAATAAATTAGGTATTGATGGGACATATCTCAAAATAATAAGAGCTATCTATGACAAACCCACAGCCAATATCATACTGAATGGGCAAAGACTAGAAGCATTCCCTTTGAAAACTGGCACAAGACAGAGATGCCCTCTCTCACCACTCCTATTCAACATAGTGTTAGAAGTTCTGGCCAGGGCAATCAGGCAGGAGAAGGAAATAAAGGGCATTCAATTAGGAAAAGAGGAAGTCAAATTGTCCCTGTTTGCAGATGACATGATGTCTATCTAGAAAACCCCATCGTCTCAGCCCAAAATCTCCTATTATATTTCTTGCAAGTCTACAGGTTTATTTCTTGTACCTGCCAGTATCATAGTCTCAAGCCAGCTGAGATGTTGGCCTTTCCTGGGGTATGCACACCATTCCAAATCAAATTAGCCTCCTCCAGCTGTGGAGCTGCTCGTTTCAGGGAATTTTTCTCCCCTTTTAGAACTACCAAGGTAATGGAAGCTGAAAGAGGAGGCTTTGCTCAAAATTACTTCAATTAGCTACTTTGTTATTAATGAATATTAATATTTTTTCTGACTTTTTGGCAGTGAACATCTTTATGAAGATTTCACTTCTTACCATGTGTATTAGTTTTCTACGCTTGCCATAACAAATTATCACAAATTTCGTGGCTTAAAACAACAAAAATTGCTTCTCTGATATTTTAGGAGGCCAGAAATCTGAAACCAGAGCATCAACAGTATTGGTTTCTTCTGGGAGTTTTGAGAGAGAATCTATTCCATGCCTCTTTCCTAGCTTCCGGTGGCTGCCAGCAATGCTTAGCCTAGCAACATCTCTCCAATCTTTGTTGTCACGTGGCATTCTTCTCTCTGTGTCTGGGTATCTGAACTTCCTTCTCCTTTCTCTTATAAAGACAGAAGTCATTGGATTTAGGACCCACTGTAATCTAGTATGACCTTATCATAACTAATTATATCTTCAGAGATCCTGTTTCCAAATGAGCTCACATTCTGAGATTCTGGTAGACATAAATTTTGGGGGACACTGTTCAATCCAGTATACAATTCGTTATGAAGTAGCACCTGAAAATCTGTATGGTCTCCGGTGTTGATTAGGTTATCTTTTTGTGAAAATTAGTTTGAAAATGAATGGAACAGCAAGCTAACTTGACCTTTTTTTGTTTGGGTGGTTCTTTAAGTTAAAATAATTCACACCCACTTTTTTATTGTTTTTTTTTTTCATATTATTAAGAAAAAGGCAGAGAGATCTGTGGACAGGAAAGTGTTGGCAGAACCTTACACTTCTCATTCTGACTTACATGTCTGCTTTTAATCTAGAGCCAAATAACTATCGGACCATGCATGGCCGGGCAGTAAATGGCAGCCAGTTGGGAAAGGATTACATCCAGCTGAAGAGCCTGTTGCAGCCCATCCGGATTTATTCCAGAGCCAGCTTATATGGCCCTAATATTGGGCGGCCGAGGAAGAATGTCATCGCCCTCCTAGATGGGTAGGTCAGATTATTTAGCTTTTCTTATGACATTGTTCATTTAATGAATTAATGTATTTGCATTTCTCTTGGTTATTTATTTATTTATTTATTTATTTTGGTCTTAAGAAAAAAGGAGGGACTCTTTCCATAGTGGCTTCACCCACTCTAAGACAGAGATTCTCCATCTTTCTCATCTTTCTAGGCCTTCCATAGTCAACAGGGGGTGGTGGGATGGGGAAGGTATATCACAATCTCTAGGATGGGTTGGAAAGGAAACATTGTTTGAAAAACCACAATTAATATTATGCATCTTATAGCATCATTTTATATTTTTTAAAACAAAAAAAAATTACTCTATACCAGTGTCCTCTTGTAGAAAGTGAAGCTTTACAAAATCTTGGCCAGCAAAGCTGGGTTAAAAAGTTGCAAAACACTACAAATACTGGTAGATTAAAGGTCTTAATAGGCCTATTAGCAGATATTCTAGAGAATTGCTACCACTTTTCCTATTTAGTTTTGACTGAATCTGACAATCATTTTTAAAAATCACGCAAGGCAAGGAAAGATACTGATCAGGAATTTTTCTTTTATGTGTCAGAAAAAAAAAATAGAGATTTATCTCTCTTAATGTGTATGTACTAAATATACAGTGAAATATAACTAGAAACACATAAACATCCCCAGCAACTTGAACTAACAATAACAAAAATGTCAGCACTCTAAATTACCAGCTCTGTATTCCTTTCTAATCCTCCTGGTTATACAGATATAATTTTACATAGTTGTGATCATTGTATATGCATCATTTTGAGTGCTGCATTTTTTACTCATTGCTTCACATGACCCTTTCCTTATTTCTACATAGTTCTCATATTGTCATTCTTAATAGCAATAAAATATACCATTGCATTAGTGCACCAAAGTCTGCCTAAGCATTCCCTCACTGTTGGGCATTGGACTGTTTCCAAATTTTGCTTGTAATACATAGCACAGCTATAAACATTTTTATACAAATCGGTTATTTATTTCTTTTGAATTACATCCTTGGGCTATATTCCAAAAAGTAGGGTTTCTTGGTCAAAGTATATGATCATTTTTATGGCTTTTATATTTGTTGCCAAATTTTTTTCAGAACAATTTCATCAGGTTTCAGGGCAGCAATGTATTAGTATATCTTTTTCCCTAATATCTATAGCAATAAATGTTGTCAATTTTATTAATTTACCCTATTTTAATTAATGCAAGATCATGTTGCATGGTTGTTTTAACTTGAATTCTGTTAACTATGAAAATAACTCAGCATTTTCAAATCCTTATGTTTCCTCTTATCCCCCAAATTTGGTTAGTAACACAACCAAATTCTTATGTTTCCTCTTATCCCCCAAATTTGGTTAGTAATGCAATAACCATTTTGCCTGAGACCCAGACATGGAAGCCGTTTTAGATCAGTCTTTTCCTTTGTTCACACACTCAATTCGTTATTAAGTACTGTAATTTCTGATTTCTTATTATCCCTCATATCCCATTTTCTTTTCATTTTTATTTTAAACCTTATTTTATTTTCAACCTTACTGTTTTTAATTCTAAGTGATTTCTTGGTATCTAGCTAGCCTCAAACTCTAATAATCTTTCCATATAGATTCCTGAGTAGTTATTTTTTATTGTTGTTTTTTAAACACAGAGTCTCACTCTGTCAGCCAGGCTGGAGTGCAGTGGCATGATCTCGGCTCACTGCAACCTCCATCTCCTGGGTTCAAGCAATTCTCCTGCCTCAACCTCCCGAGTAGCTGGGATTACAGGTGTGTGCCACCATGCCTGGCTAATTTTTGTATTTTCAGTAGAGATGGGGTTTCGCCATGTTGGTCAGGCTGGTGTTGAGCTCCTGACCTCAGGTAATCCACCCGTCTCGGCCTCCCAAAGTGCTAGGATTACAGAATAGTTTTTTTTCTTCTTCTTTTTTTTTTTTTTTTTTTAATGCAACATCTGGTCAAGTCACTTCTGCTTGAAATCCAAACCCTTTCAGATGCACTCATGACGTTTAGGGTCTGCGCCTGCCTAAATTTGCAGCTAATAAGCAGTGATACCCCCTTGCCCTCTAATTACATCTAACTACATCAAAGTACAGTAAATTTTTAATGTAAATTTTGGAAGATACCCTACTCTTTTATACCTTTACATCTTTTTATTTTGTTTCATTTTGTTAAGAATACCAGCCTCTCCTCTTGTTTTTCTCCTTTCTCTAGATCTTCTCTGACATGTTGAGGCAGGGTTTCTTAGGGCCTCCTCTGTCCTTGCATGGCACTGTATTTTTCTGCTATAGCACTTATCAAATTGATGATAACATTTGTTTATATATCTGCCAGCCATGATAAACCACAGAGTAGGGTCAGGACCCCATTTGTTTTATTCATTCTATATCTTCAGAATCTAGGAACATAGTAAGTGTGTTATAAATGCTTGTTGAATGAGTAGTATCTGTCTTATTCAACAACTGATTTTAAGGTCATCTAACGTAAAAACAGTATGCATAATTGTAATTATGAAGCATTGAAAAGCATTGTATAAATAATGATTTGAATGGCTTATGTTGATTTTATAAATCATGACTAACTTCAGTTTTATGAAACTATACCAATGTCTAAGTTTTTAAAAAATTTTATTGATACATAAAAATCGTACGTATTTGTTGTACATATTTATGACAATTTTTAAATTATTTCTTTGTGTTGGGAACATTCCAAATCTCTTCTCACTATTTGGAATATACAATAAGCCACTGTTAACTATTGTCACACTACTGTGCTATTGAACACTAGAACTTATTCCTTCTATCTAACTGTGTTTTTGTACCCATTAACCAACCTCTCTTTATCCTCCCTCTCTCCTTCCCTTCCTAGCCTCTGGTTACCACCAATTCTCTACCTCCGTGAGGTCCACTTTTTCATTTGCTCCTACATGTGCATGAGAACATACAATATTTGTCTTTTTGTGCCTGGCTTGTTTCACTTAATATAATGTCTTCCAGTTCCATCCGTGTTGCTGAAAATGACAGAATTTCACTCTTTTTATGGCTGAATAGTATTCCATGTGTATATATACTACATTTTCTTTATCCATTCATCCTTTAATGGACACAGGTTGATTCCATATCTTGACTATTGTGAATATTGCTGAAATAAACATTGAGGTGTGCATAATATTTTTGATATACTGACTTCCTCTATTTTGGATACATACCCATAGGTGGGATTGCTGGGTAAGCTTTTTTATTGAGGTAGTTACAGAACTAAACAGGACTGTCTTTCCAGTTAGGATATGAACTCTATGAAGACAGAGATAGAATCTTCATGTTCGTATTTAGTATCTTCAGGGATCAGCCTGTGGCCTGGAAAATGGGAATTACTTAATAAAGTGCCTATTTTATTGTTTTCATTTCCTTATTTGGGAACTGGCTATTCTTAATCATCAGTTTTATCTAAAGGCATGAGAATTACTATTTAGAGTTATATCAGTTTCTTGTTTTTCTTTTGTAAACTTTTATGCATCATCTATGTAATGACAATTTTATCTTAATCTAGTGCTTTTCTTGTGTGTGTCCTAAAAGATGTTTTTATTGTCTTAGAATTTTCTTTTCATTATGGTTTTTCTTGTCTCATATTGTTCAACAAGCTCTGCCTACAAAATAGAAATCCTAGTCAAAAGGAGATTTATCTAAAAAAATTATATATCCAATAACAGAGAAAAACCTATACCTCTACCTTGACAAATCTACTTAGTCCCTAATTTTTAAAAATGAGTACAGGCAAACCTCATATTTATTGCGCTTCACATATATTGAATTTTTTATAAATTGAAGGTTTGTAGTACCTCACTTCATGTGTCTGTGTCACATTTTGGTAATTCTTGCAACATTTCACGTTTTTTCATTATTATTATATCTATTATGGTGATCTGTAATCAATGATCTTTGATGCTGCTATTGTAATTATTTTGGAGCTCCATGAACTATAAGATGGCAAACTTAATCAACAAATGTGTGTTCTGTCTGCTCCACCCACCAGCCATTCTCGCATCTCTCTCCCTGTTCTCAGGCTTTTCTATTCCCTGAGATGCAACAATATTAAAATTACACCAATAAATAACACTACAATGGCCTCTGAGTGCTCAAGTGAAAGACTTACATGTCTCTCACTTTAAGGCAGAAGCTCAATACGATTAAGCTTAATGAGGAAGGCATGTTGAAAGCCATGACAGGCTGAATGCTAGGCTTCTTGTGCCAAACAGTTAGCCAAGGTGTGAATGTAAAGGTAAAGTTCTTGAAGGAAATTAAAAGTGCTACTTTAGTGAACACAAGAATGATAAGAAAGTGAAACAGCCTTATTGCAGCTATGGAGAAGGTTGTAGTGATCTAGATAGAAGATCAAACCAGCCACAATATTCCCTAAGCCAAATCCTAATCCAGGACAAGACCCTAACTCTCTTCAATTCTATAAAGGCTGAGAGAGGTGAGGAAGCTACAGAAGGAAAGTTGGAAGCTAGCAGAGGTTTGTTTATGAAGTTTAAGGAAATAAACTATATCCATAACATAAAAAGTACAAGGGAAAGCAGCCAGTGCTCTACAGAAGATGCAACTTAGATAATTAATGAAAGTGACTAAACAACCGATTTTCAATATGGATGAGACATCCTTCTCTTGGAAATCTGAAACTCTGAAAATCGTAGGGTCTCTATGAATTATGTTAAATCTGCTCCACCTGTACTCTATAAATGGAACAATACAGCCTGGATAACAGCATATCTGTTTACAGCATGGTTTACTGAATAGTTTACACCCACTACTGAGACCTACTGCTCAGGAAAAAAAGATTCCTTTCAAAATATTACTGCTCATTGACAATGTGCCTGGTCACCCAAGAGCTCTGATGGAAATGTACAAAAGAAATTAATTTTTTAAGCCTGCTAACTCACCCTCCATTCTGCAGCCTAGAGATCAAGGAGTCATGTTGACTTTCAAGTCTTATTATTTAAGAAATACATTATTTGAGAAGTACATTTTATAAGGCCATAGCTGCCATAGATAGTGATTCTTTCTCTGATGGATCTGGGCAAGGTTAACTGAAAACCTTCTGGAAAAGACTCACCATTCCAGATGCCATTATGAACATTTGTGATTCATGGGAAAAGGTTGAAATAGCATTATTTTTTTAAATTTATTTATTTATTTATTTATTTTTTATTATTATACTTTAAGTTTTAGGGTACCTGTGCACATTGTGCAGGTTAGTTACATACGTATACATGTGCCATGCTGGTGTGCTGCACCTAATGCTAGATGAAATAGCATTATTAACAGGAGTTTGGAAGAAGTGGACTCTAGCCCTTGTGGATGACTTTGAGGGATTCAAGACTTCAGTGGAGTAAGTAACTGCAGATGTAGTGGGCATAGCAAGAAGACTGGAATTAGAAGTGTAGCCTGAAAATGTGACTCGATTGTTGCAATCTCATGATAGAATGTGAATGGATGATGAGTTGCTCATAAATGAGCAAATAAAAAGGTTTCTTGAGATGGAATCTACTCCTGATGAAGATTCTCTGAACAGTGTTGAAATGATACAAAAGGATTTAGAATATTACATAAACTTAGTTGATAAAACAGTGGCAGAGTTTGACAGGATTGACTCCAATTTTGAAAGAGTTTCTACTGTGGGTATAATGCCATCAAACAGCATTGAATGCTACAGAGAAGTCTTCCATGAAAGGAAGAATCACTTAATGTGGCAAACATCCCTGTTGTTTTATTTTAAGAAATTGCCACAGCCATCCCAGCCTTCTAGTAATCACCACCTTGATCAGTCAGCACCATCCATATCAAGGCAAGACCCTCTATCAGCAAAAAGATTATGACTCACTGAAGGCTCAGATGATCGTTATCATTTTTAGCAATAAAGTATTTTGAATTAAGGTATATACATTGTTCTTTTAGACATAATGCTGTTGCATACTTAATAGACTATGGTATAGTGTAAACATAACTCTTATATGTACTGAGAAACCAAATAATTTGTGTGACTCTCTTTATTGTAATATTCACTTTATTGCAGTGGTCTGGAACTGAACCTGCAATACCTCTGTGGTATGCCTGTAGAGAGCCAAAGATCACAAGACACAAAAAAGAAATCAGTAGCATGAAAGAAAAAAACCAAGATAAATTAATTAAACAATTGACCCAAGAAGAATTATAATTCAAGATCCAGTGCTTTAAAAATAAAAATCTGTAATTGGTATCCTTATAATGATATAGAAATATATGGTATTTATGGAGTAAAAGCAATTTCCATGAAAAAGCTATGAATCAGTACAAAAAGATCATTTTGAAAGTAAATATATTCTTGCTGAAATTTTCTAATAAAGTTTAAGGAGTGATTTCTTAGATACAACACTAAAGGCAAATGTGATAAAATATATCAATGATAAATTGGACTTTACCAAAACTAAGAACTTTTGTGTGTCGAATGACACCATCAAGAATGTGAACAGATAACATGCAGAATAGGAGAAAATATTTGCAAGTCATATATCTGATAAGAGAATGGTATCCAGAATATATTTAAAGAATTCTTACAACTCAACAATGAAAAGACAAATTACCTAACTAAAATATGGACAGAAAGGATATGAGTGGACATATTTACCAAGTTATACAAATGGCCAATAAGCACGTGAATAGATACTTAACATTGTTAGTTGTTAGGGAAATGCTAATCAAAACCACAGCGAGATACCACCTCACATCCACTAAAATAGCTATAATCAAAAAGATTATATACAATAACAAGTACTGGAGAGGATGTAGAAAAATTGCAACCCGTATACAATGCTAATGGGAATATAATATGGTTCAGCTGCTTTGGAAAACAGTCTGGCAATTACTTAAAATGTTAAATGTAATTAACATAAGGCTAAGCACTTCCTAAGAGAAATAAAAACATATATCCACACAAAAACTTGTACGCAAATATTCATAGCAGCAGTATTCATAATAGCTAAAAAATAGAAACAAAGGTTCATCACTTGATTAATAGGGAAAATGTGGTATATCCATACAATTAAATATTATTAGACAATGAAAAGAAATGAAGCACCAATACATGTTATAACATGGATAAACCTTAAAAATATTATGGTCACTGAAGGAAGCCAGTCACAAAAGGCCATACATTGTATGGTTCCTTTTATATTAAATGTCACAAATCAATAGAAACAAAACATAGTTTAGTAGTTGCTTAGGGCTGGTGAAGATTTTGGGGAAATGAAGAGTGTCTGTAATGGATACAGGGTTTCTTTTTGGAATGATGAAATATTCTAGAATTAGATTGTTAATGGTTGCACAACACTTACAATATAATAAAAACTACTGAATTGAACACTTCTCTGAGTGAATTGTATGATATGTAAATTATATTTCCAAAAAGCGTTTAAGAGTCTAATAAAATATTTAGAAGATAAAAGATAAAGCTCCTATACACCAAGCTTTATACAGAGACAGAGAAATATTATTGATATAGAGAATCAATTAAGGATATCCAACAGCTGGCTTATAGGACAGCCAGATCCCAAAACAAGAAAGAGAACTATAGTTACAGAAAGAATGAAAACTTTGCCAACCTTGGCAATATAAAAGTAAAGGGACAGTTGATAGAAATAGAAGGTAGAAATGGAGAGAAGAAATACCATATGTGAGGGGTGATATCCTTACATAATATATGATGATTCAGAAAATATTGTCTAAACTATTAGAATAATAAATGGAGAGGTAAAGGAGAAGGGACCCAGTAAACCAAGCACATGGAATTTGCTTGACTCTTGGTTAGAATGACTTATGGCAGCACTTTCTTAAGTATGCTCTGGAGAATATCACTTCTACAGGATATTAACATTATGTGGAGGAAAAAAAAATAAAACATTCCATGGTCAAGTAAGCTTGAGAAATGCTGGGATCCACACATTTACTGAAACACTTACCTGTGCTTTTAATATATTAGTTTACATTCGGAATCTCCAAGAAGGGGATTTAGCATGCAGAATTTTCTGAATTTTTTTGACCACAGCATCTTACTTTCAGAGACCATCTTGAGGGATTAATGTTCCACTAACATGTTTGGATCACATTGACTTCGAATATGCACTCTGGTTTCGGTGGGTGATGGCAGTAAAGGAAACGTTAAAAAAAAGAATTACAATTTGGAGGATTCAGAGAACCTGGATTGCCTCAGTACCCTCATTACTACTCTGCTTGCGTGCATCTTGTTCCCCTCCTATCTGTTCACTCAGTTGCCAGAAGAATCATTTACAAACCTAGTTCATATGATGTCAGTCACTTGCTAAAGATGCTTTAATGACTTTTCATTTCTCTTAGAATAAAATGTAATCTCTTGACCATGGCCTGCAGGGCTTTACAATGAATGAGCTGACCTCTATCCAGATCTTCATTTTTATCTTCTACCACATTCTCTTTTTCTTACCTCACTCAGTCCTCATGGGCCTGGTTATGTGCTAAGCTAGTACCATGCTAGAGCAGTCTCCTCCCCACATGACTGGTTTCTTCTCATCCATCAGAGTGCTTTCTTGAGTCATCTAGCGAAGTAATTCTCTATCTAAACTAACAGGCTATAGATAGTTATACTTTCTAACTATATATTTATTGTTTGTTTGCTTGTCCTTTATAGATTATAAATTCCATAAGGGCAAGAAGTATGTTGTATTTACTATTGTATATGCAGTGCTAGCAACAAGCCTGGTACATAATAGGTACTCCAGTTTGTTGAATGAGTGAAGAATGAAGAATGGAAGTTAATCCAACATTCTACAGAATTGCTAGTGGAATATTCTAACCTGAACCTGTGTTAGAATAGAAAGCTAGACAGTTTTCTGCTCCTATCGTGGCTCAGAGAGCTATGGGAAGCATTTAAAGTTGAGCAAAGGAGATAGAAGCAGGACAAAACTAGGAAGCAAATAATGGTCTTTGCCACCACGGCAGACCACATGATATATGCTATATGTTCAATAAAGCACAAATAGAAAAATTGCCATTTTATATCCAGATTTCTGTCTTTAGTTGTGTCTAATCAACAACACTTCTACTAAGTGCCTAATCCTGATTTATCGATTCCATCTTTTCCTCAAAGCATGGGTAGGTATGAAAGCTGTATAAGTGGATGAGGATGGAAATTTTACTGTATTCCTATACACAGACTTCCATTGTGACTTTTATGGGCCCAAGGCACTTTTGACTTCATGAGTCCCTTCCTTAAAGACATATTAAAAATTATATTTACACTCCATTGGTATAAAGACATATAACAATTTTTTTCAACCTTAAACTTGTTTTTTTTTTCTTCTAATTTTAACAACAACAACAAAAATACTGTCATTATAATGGAGGATGTTTCTCTCTGTCTCTAATACCAGAGAAGTCAGTCTGTCGAACATTGGAGATGGAGGCTGGAGTCCTGAAACATAGACTTCGATTTGACACTTTACTAGTCAGATGGTCTTGAGAAATATTCTTCCTCACTTTCTTATTTTCCAGTTTTTCCTCTGTTCCCTCTTCTTTCCCTCACAACCCTGCTTTCCCCTCCAAGAATGCTCTCCCCTTATAGGTGCTGCTAAGATCAGAATTTGTCAGAAGTATAGTCCATGGTCCTCCTGCATTAGAAGCACCTAGAGGGATTGCTATGCATGCAGCATGATTCTTAGGCTCCAGCTCAGACCTCCTGAAGCAGATGTGTGGGGATGTGAGCCAGATATTGGCATTTTGAATAAAGACCTCAAATAATTCTTTACACACTAATGTATGAGAACCACTACCCTGTAATATAGGCAAAGCAAGTTTTATTATCTTTATTTTAAAGATCAAAGAATGTAGGTGCACAAATATTAAATGATTTACAAAGCTCAAAAACCAGAACCAAGAAGAGGAAACTGACATTTATTGAGTGCCAACAGTGTACCAGACACTACCTTTGTTTCTCGTTTTCTTGTTAATTCTCACAACACTTTTGGGAAATAGGTTCTGTTCTTTCCATATGACATGGATCAAGGAAGTTAAACAACTTACCCAAGGTCACATGGCTAATGAACTGTGGAGCCAGGTCACAAATCAGATAAGTGTCTGACTCTGGGGCCCATGCTCTTGCTATTCAGTGATGCTATTTTTCTGAATCTTCATATTTCAATTAAGCTAAATAGTCTAGCATACAAAATAAAATACAGTTCTTCTCAACCTCAGTTCCTCAATGTTCACACTTACAGTCAGGTTTATAGCAGGGCTTGAGCTCCAAAAGAAAAAGTTTGCTTTTTCATGTGAAATAAATAACAAAATCCTGATGCATTTTTCCTCCTTCTCACCAGGCTCTACAGCCAGGTCAAATCATTTCAGGTTATTAGAGCCTTCTTTGCTTGAATCCAAGTCTTTACAACTTCCTCAGCAGCATTTTGGACTGTCAAGGGGTGTGTATCATGATCTTCTAACCAGCACCTTCCAGCTCCAGCCAGAGCCTTCCAGATCTCTTTCATCATCTTTTCTCATCATCCCCCATTTCCCTGTCTTTTTCTTCTTTCCAATCAAGCAAATCTATTTGGTCTTCCTATATGTGTTATTCTCTCACATCTGCCTCTATCTTGTTCCAGACATTGTCCTATAGCCTCCCATCTCTCAACCCTTCACTGGCAGCAAATAGGCTTCATCTTGGGTGCCAGTTTTAGTAAACAGGGCCTGGCACTCTATCTTGAGAAAAAATCTTAGGCCAATTGTGAGATAAATGAGGGAGTATTGAGCTCTCTTACTATAGGCTCAGCAAAAAGGAACAATACCACATGTGGTACAAATTTGCCAACTCTGCATGGTTATAACAAGGGCTTTAGAATCAGAATTGGGTTTGAATCCCAGCTCTGCAATTAACTGCCTGTGTGATCTTGAGCACAGTTTCTTATCTAGAAAATGAGATTAATAATACCAACCTTACAGAGTTGTAAAATAGATAATCTGCTTACCAAATGCCTGTCAGTCGGCAAATGGTAATTAACTTATTTTTTCCTTTCTTCATTCAGGATTCTCCTTAAATTAAACTGCAAGGAAGTAACTTTTATCAACAAGATGGATTGGTCAAAGAGTCTCACCCATCTTAATTCCTGTATATTTAAGCCTCTATAAACCTATCAAACTAAGGGAAACATAAGCTCCAAGGGAAGCCTAAATAGAGATCTGCACTAGCCATTAAAGTCGACAAACATATAACTATATACTTTTTATTGGTCCACTGCCAATGTGATATTATTAATATACATAAATAGGGATGGGGAGAGGAGAGGCAAGGAGTGAGTAAAGGAGAAAGAAATGGAGGACTGAAGGTGAGGGAGAGAAGGAGAAAGGGAGAAAGAGAGAGAGAGGTCAATATTTCATTTCTTCTATGTAGCACCCAGTCTAGCTCGACATATAATTAACCATGAAAAAGTAAGTGGCTTTGGACCAAATGAAAGATGCCCCAAAATGTTGTTTATCTAGAGTTCAGCCTGGTTTACTATAACTCAGGATGAATTATTTTCTCACAAGCTTTCCCTAGGCTTTTGTGTAGAACGGCTGTCACATCTTATTTGTGTTAGTTAGCATAACCAAAGATTCTCTTTGTGGACAGGAAAGATCAGGCTACTATGCTCTTATTAAAGTATGTACTCAGTTAGATATCCAGTTCCTGGTGAAGGATTTATCCCCTTTCCTGGGAGCAAAATTCAGAAATCAGATTTTAGGGTTGCAATCTGTGATCCAGAAGTAGAAATCAAACCCCAAAGACCATGAGTAAAGATGGGCCTTATTATAATAGAGAGCTGTGATATGCCCTGGGAGAGAAGGCTCAACAATATTTCAGATACATCATATGTGCAGGTGGATAACAAAGGAAAGAAATTCTCCTAGATTTGGAGTCCCCTGTTGGGTGGGGGTAGGAACTCTCACAATGAAAGGAGATATTTTGTTATTTTCTATAGTAGCAGAATGGCCCTGATGGGAAGGCCCCCAAATACCGAAATGTCTGCCTGGCACTGGCCAATTTCATTAGATACAGGCCCTGTCCTCTTCCCTCTCTTACACTTTTCTGTGTGACTGAAGATCAGCATGAGGGCAAAGACCCCTTGTCCTCTGAGATCATAGTCCAGATTTCTGTCACCATAATTCAGCTATGGAAACATCCAACCTTGGAAAACCAAGATCTTCCACTCTTGTCAGTATTCACAGCCTGAGTCATCATTAACTTGTACCTTCATAGACCTAAATCTAGGGATTAGAATGGAAGTGAATGGTAGAAAGTCCTTGGATAATACCAGACCCTAAACAGAATTTCACTCTCCCAGTGGAATTTCACTCCTGACAGCACTATTCCGTGTGCATGTTATTCCACCTCTAATATTACTGTTGCTGAGCATTTTGCAGCTGTGTTGAAGTTGTTCATTTATGTGGTTTGGGCCAGTTTCCGAGAAACAGGCAGAACTAGAGAGCAGAACAATCTATCAATGTTAGATTTGAACAAAGAAAATAATGATCTTTTTGGAATTGTCCTCCACAGTGTCAATACAGATATAAAAATGGAGTATAGGAATGGTATAGATTTCTGCATATAAGATATAGAAAGCCTAACGTTCAGGGAAGGTTCATGGGGGCAGGGAGAATACTCCAAACTCATTGACTGTAATAGCTGTTCTTTGGAATTGTATCTAATTATTTTTCTTCATGAGTTATTTCTGTGGTTGGCTTTCCTTTTCTAGTTTTTAAAAAATATAAATATTATTCGAAGACTTCTGGAAACAGAATAGTTGTCCTATTTTAGATGAGGTCTTTCTAAAAAGAGAAGGATGTGTTTGGTCATCTTGCTAGAATTTGGAAATGCATATTTTGTTTGACATTGTTTGCAAATTTGATTTTTTCCTCCTCAAACTAAGTGTAGAAATGCTTCCATATGGTTGAAGTTGATCTCATCATTTTGTTAGGAAGGAAAAAGGAAAAAATGTAGCTTACAGCAATTTTTACATGAGCACATACTTAATAATGGTGTTTCCTCAAAGTCAGGTAAAACAACTTTTCTACTGCTTCAATATACCACTACGGTTAAAAAATAATATAATTTGTCTAAAAATATTAAATTGGGATTGAATTTTTTTTTTTTTTTTTGAGACGTAGTCTCACTCTGTCGCCCAGGCTGGAGTGCAGTGGTGTGATCTCGGCTCACTGCAAGCTCTGCCTCCTGGGTTCAGGCCATTCTTCTGCCTCAGCCTCTCAAGTAGCTGGGACTACGGGTGCCCACCACCACGCCCAGCTAATTTTTTGTATTTTTAGTAGAGACAGGGTTTCACATTGTTAGTGAGGATAGTCTTGATCTCCTGACCTCGTGATCCGCCCACCTCAGCCTCCCAAAGTACTGGGATTACAGGCGTGAGCCACCGTGCCCGGCCTGAAATTTTTTAAATATAATGAAACTAAACTACATTTTAATATTTTGATTTCTTATACAGAATATTAGGTGAGGATCTGTGACTTTAATTTTTTTCCCAAGTAGACAACAAATCACATAGCACATTTCAAAATGCTTCAGTTTTTCACATACTGAATTCCTTTTTATGTAATAAATTCTTATATAGTTTTTTAAATTTTATTCCATAGATCTCCTTACTAAATCTTGAATGTTTTAATCATTACAAATTTCATGATAATATATGGTAGATCCAATAAATGCCCCTTCATTATTCCAGTTTTTCAAAATTTTCTTGGCTTCTTCCAGATGAATGTTAGAATGGTTTTGTAAAGCTTGAAAAATATCTGCTGGGACTTTTTATTCGAATTTCATTAAGCCTATAAATTGGTTTAAGAAGAATAATTGATTTTCCTCTGTAGGATCATGGTAGCTCTTTTCCTATATCTGATTTTAAACTATTTTTCTGTAAACTATATACTATTCTACTTATGGGCTCAGGATATTTCCTATTTAATTATAGATATTATGGATTTTCTTTGAGATATAGGGTGCAGATGTGGAGAGAATACAATAACAGTACTTTAAATATCACTAACATTTAAATAATAGTTTTCTCATTTTTTATATAATGTTCCTTTAGTTAATAGAACATTATATGAGGACTTAATTCTCACATATAGCAGAGAAAACTATTCAGTGCATATGAGGATCTCCTGATTATAGTGTCATGAAGGACCAGTTTCCAATTTTCAACATGCCAAATTAGAAATGTTCTGAATTGCCTGTCCAGAGACTTTTAGCCAAGTAGGGCATTAATGATTTATTTGGTCTTAATTTTCTTATGAATATAGGGCTGTTAATATCAATGACTAGTACTTCAAGTTATTTGAGGCATATTCAGAAGGACTGGAATATATTTACCAGCAGTGGCATTGAAAGTCCTCTCCTGGGTCTCATCTTGGATAATAGCATTCATTATTGCAATTAACATTTTGGCATTCCCTTCTTTCTCTTGAGCACACCAACAGTGTTTCTAAAGTGGGCCTTTTTTTTTTCATTCCTACATTTCAAAGCCTCCCATGTCTCTGTAGTAATCTCTTGCCAGCTTATCTTCACCAGTATCTTTCATTTCAGTGTTTAGCCAGATCCTGAAATGCAAATCTGATCCTGAGAATCCCTTGTGTGTGTTTAAAGATGGAATAAATTCAACAAACATACGTGGAAGACGAGCTGGCTATATTTTACAATATTATGTTGGGTGCTAATCATACAAAGGTAAATAGGACCTGGACTTGTACCTTGTTGTTAAGGGTAAAGGCCAGACTTATAAAGGCAACACAGGGTAGCTCCTAGTGATCTGACCAACCTGACCTCCTGCCATTCCCTTACTTGTTCCCTGACATCTAGCCATACTGGACTTCTGTGAACAGCTCATTTTGACTCTTCCTTGTTTTGCTCATGCTGTTCTTTGCCTGGGCTGCTCCTCCTGGCAAAATCCTACCCTTCTTTCAATCTCATATTCAACATTGTAGACAATATGAAGGTTTTCTTAATCTGTATTCCTTCTGACACCATAAGGCAGACCTAACTGCTCCTCTTACTGAGGTCCTCTTACTGTACTACTGGTACAAACTAATAATCTGTTACAGCACACAGAAATTTTGGTATGTCCTTGTCCACATTTCTGTCTCCTGGGCTTCATTGTGGTTGTCTTGTAGCAGAGGCCCTGAGCCAGTCGTCTTCTGATACCTGCATCCAGCACATTGTCTTACAATAAGCATTGAAGGGCTCAAGTCTGTGAGAGGAAGCTAACAAGCAAAGAAGGTGCTCCAGCTTTTTCCTTTTTCTAATCAATATGGTAGCGTTTTCTCCAAGCAAAAATTCAGCTAATTTTTTGTATCTTAGAGTTTACTATACTTCCTAGCCTCAGTGAAAACAGCTTGGAGGCAGCATAAGATACTGGAAAGATGGTCGGATTTGGAATCAGAACCTGAGTTTAGCCTGCACTAACTACATGAATTTGAGCAAGTCTCATAATCTCACAACTCCTCCACTGAAATACAGAAATATCTACCTTACTGGATTGTTTTGAGGACTATGGGAAGCTATACATATAAGAAACTGAAAAGCATTTTATGACAAAGCTCTATTAATGTCAGTATTGTTTTCATTATGGTTATTTGTATATGATTATAAAACAGTTTCACATAAAATATTTCTTTTGTTTTGAATTTTACTTTAAGTTCCAGGATACAAGTGCAGGACATGTAGGTTTGTTACATAGGTCTACATGTGTCATGGTGGCATCCTGCACCTATCAAACCCGTCATCTAGGTTTTAAGCCCGGCATGCATTAGCTATTTATGCTAATGCTCTCCCTCTCCTCGCTCCCCCACCCCGCGACTGGACCCAGTGTGTGTTGCTCCCCTCCCTGTGTCCATGTGTTCTCATTGTTCAGCTCCCACTTATGAGTGAGAACATGCAGTGTTTGGTTTTCTGTTCCTGTGTTAGTTTGCTGAGGATAATGGCTTCCGGCTTCAACCATGTCACTGCAAAGGACATGATTTCATTCCTTTTAAGGCTGCGTATTATTCCATGGTGTGTCTGTACCACATTTTCTTTATTTAGTCTATCATTAAAGGGCATTTGGGTTGGTTCCATGTCTTTGCTATTGTAAATAGTGCTACAATAAACATACATGTGCATATGTCTTCATAGTAGAATTATTTATATTCCTTTGGGTGCGTACCCAGTAATGGGATGGCTAGGTCAAATGGTATTTCTGGTTCTAGATCCTTGAGGAATTGCCACGCCATCTTCCACAATGGTTGAACTAATTTACTTTCCCACCAACAGTGTAAAAGCATTCCTATTTCTCCGCAGCTTCGCCAGCATCTATTGTTTCTTGACTTTTGAAATAACTGCCATTCTGACTGATGTGAGATGGTATCTCATTGTGGTTTTGATTTGCATTTCTCTAATGATCAATGCTGTTGAGCTTTTTTTCATATATTTGTTCACCACATTAATATCTTCTTTTGAGAAGTGTCTGTTCATATCCTTTGCCCAGTTTTTATGGGGTTGTTTTTTTCTTGTAAATTTGTTTAAGTTCCTTGTAGATTCTGGATATTAGACCTTTGTTAGATGGGCAGATTGCAAAACTTTTCTCCCATTCTGTATGTTGCCTATTTACTCTGATTGTAGTTTCTTTTGCTGGGCAGAAGCTCTTAGTTTAATTAGATCCCATTTGTCAATTTTGTCTTTGGTTGCAGTTGCTTTTGGCATTTTCGTCATGAAGCCTTTGCCCATGCCTATGTCCTGAATGATATTGCCTAGGTTTTCTTCTAGGGTTCTTATGGTTTGGGGTTTTACATTTAAGTCTTTAATCCATCTTGAGTTAATGTTTGTATAAGGTGTAAGGAAGAGGTCAAGTTTCAGTTTTCCGCATATGGCTAGCCAGTTTTCCCAGCACAATATATTAAATAGGGAATCCTTTCTCCATTGTTTGTTTTGTCCAGTTTGTCGAAGATCAGATGATTGTAGATGTGTGGTGTTATATCTGAGGTCTCTGTTCTGTTCCATTGGTCTTTATGTCTGTTTTGGGACAAGTACCATGCTGTTTTAAATACTGTAGCCTTGTAGTATAGTTTGAAGTCAGGTAGCATGATGCCTCTAGCTTCCTTCTTTTTGCTTAGGATTGTCTTGGCTATCTGGGCTTTTTTTTTTTTGTTCCATATGAAATTTAAAGTAGTTTTTTCTAACTCTGTGAAAAATGTCAATGGTAGTTTGATGGGAATAGCATTGAATCTGTAAATTACTTTGGGCAGTGTGGCCATTTTCACGGTATTGATTCTTCCTATCCATGAGGATGGAATGTTTTTCCATTTGTTTGTGTCCTCTGATTTTCTTGAGCAGTGGTTTGTAGTTCTCCTTGAAGAGTCCTTCACATCCCTTGTTAGCTGTATCCCTAGGTATTTTATTCTCTTTGTAGCAATTGCGAATAGGAGTTCATTCATGATTTGGCTGTTTGTCTATTGGTGTATAGGAATGCTTGTGATTTTTGCACTTTGATTTTGTCTCCTGAGACTTTGCTGAAGTTGTTTATCAGCTTAAGGAGTTTTTGGGCTGAGATGATGGGGTTTTCTAAATACAGAATCATGTCTTCTGCAAACAGAGACTACTTGACTTCCTCTCTTCCTATTTGAATACTCTTTATTTCTTTCTCTTGTCTGATTGTCTGTCCAGAATTTCCAATACTATGTTGAATAGGAGTGGTGAGAGACGGCATCCTTGTCTTGGCCAGTTTTCAAAGGCAATGCTTCCAGCTTTTGCCCATTCAGTATGATATTGGCTGTAGGTTTGTCACACATAGCTCATTATTTTGAGATATGTTCCATGAATACCTATTTTATTGAGAGTTTCTAACATGAAGAGATGTTGATTTTTATCAAAGGGGTTTTCTGCATCTATTGAGATTATCATGTGATTTTTGTCAGTGGTTCTGTTTATGTGATGGATTATGTTTATTGACTTGCATATGTTGAACCAGCCCTGCATCCCAGGGATGAAGCCGACTTGATCACGGTGGATAAGTTTCTTGATGTGCTGCTGGATTTAGTTTGCCAGCATTTTATTGAGGATTTTTGCTTCGATATTGGCCTGAAGTTTTCTTTTTTTTGTTGTGTCTCTGCCAGGTTCTGGTATCAGGATGATGCTGGCCTCATAAAATGAGCTAGGGAGGAGTCCCTCCTTTTCAATTGTTTGGAATAGTTTCAGAAGGACTGGTACCAGCTCTTCTTTGTACCTCTGGTAGAATTCAGCTGTGATCTGTCTGGTCCTAGACCTTTTTTGGTTGGTAGGCTATTAATTACTGCCTAAATTTCAGTACTTGCTATTGGTTTATTCAGGGATTCAACTTCTTCCTGGTTTAGTCTTGGGAGGGTATATGTTTCCAGGAATGTATCCACTTCTAGATTTTCAAGTTTGTTTGTGTAGAGGTGTTTATAGCATTTTCTGATGGTAGTTTGTATTTCTGTGGGGTAAGTGGTGATATCTCCTTTATCATTTTTTATTGTGTCTGTTTGATTCTTCTCTCTTTTCTTCTTTATTAGTCTAGTTAGCAGTCTATCTATTTTGTTAATTTTTACTAAAAACCAGCTCCTGGATTCATTGTTTTTTTTCTTGAAGGGTTTTTCATGCATCTATCTCCTTCAATTCTGCTCTGATCTTAGTTATTTCTTCTCTTCTGCTAGCTTTTGGATTTGTTGGCTCTTGCTTCTCTAGCTCTTTTAACTGTGATGTTAGGGTGTTGATTTGACATCTTTCCAGCTTTCTGATGTTGGCATTTAGTGCTGTAAATTTCCCTCTGCTCTAGCTGTGTCCCAGAGATTCTGGTACGTTGTCTCGTCTCTGTTTTCATTGGTTTAAAAGAACTTCTTTATTTCTTCCTTAGTTTAATTATTTACTCAGGAGTCATTCAGGAGCAGGTTGTTCAAATTCCAAGTGGTTGTGTGATTTCTGAGTGAGTTTCTTAATCCTGAGTTCTAATTTGATTGCACTGTGGTCTGAGAGACTGTTATGATTTCCATTCTTTTGCATTTGCTGAGAAGTGTTTTACTTCCAATTGTGTGGTTGATTTTAGAATAAGTGCCATGTGGTTGACTTGTGGTGGAGAGTTCTGTAGATGTCTATTAGGGCCACTTGATCCAGAGCTGAGTTTAAGTCCTGAATATCCTTGTTAATTTTCTGTCTCGTTGATCTGTCTAATATTGACAGTGGGGTGTTAAAGTCTCCCACTATTATTATGTGGGAGTCTAAGTCTCTTTATAGGTCTCTAAGAACTTGTATTATGAATCTGGGTGCTTCTGTATTGGGTGCATTTATATTTAGGATAGTTGGCTCTTCTTGTTGAATCGATTCCTTTAACATTATGTAATGCCCTTCTTTGTCTTTTTTGATCTCTGTTGGTTTAAAGTCTGTTTCATTAGAGACTAGGATTGCAACCCCTGCTTTTTGTGTGAGTGTTCCATTTGCTTGGTAAATATTCCTCCATCCCTTTATTTTGAGCCTGTGTGTGTCTTTGCACATGAGATGGGCCTCCTGAATACAGCACACCAATGGGTCTTGACTCTTTATCCAATTTGACAGCCTGTGTCTTTTATTGGGGCATTTAGCCCATTTACATTTAAGGTTAATATTGTTATGTGTAAATTTGATCCTGCCATCATGATGCTATCTGGTTATTTTGCACACTTGTTGATGCAGCTTCTTCATAGTGTCATTGGTCTTTATATTTTGGTATGTTTTTGCAGTGGCTGGTACTGGTTTTTTCCTTTACATATTTAGTGCTTCCTTTAGGAGCTCTTGCAAGGCAGGCTGGTGGTGACAAAATCCCTCAGCATTTGCTTGTCTGGAAATGATTTTATTTCTCCTTCATTTATGAAGCTTAGTTTGGCTGGATTTGAAATTCTGGGTTTAAAACTATTTTCATTTTATTTTATTTTATTTTATTATTATTATACTTTAAGTTTTAGGGTACATGTGCACAATGTGCAGGTTAGTTACATATGTATACATGTGCCATGCTGGTGTGCTGCACCCATTGACTCATCATTTAGCATTAGGTATATCTCCTAAAGCTATCCCTCCCCCCTCCCCCCACCCCACAACAGTCCCCAGAGTGTGATGTTCCCCTTCCTGTGTCCATGTGTTCTCATTGTTCAGTTCCCACCTATGAGTGAGAATATTTGGTGTTTGGTTTTTTGTTCTTGCGATAGTTTACTGAGAATGATGATTTCCAATTTCATCCATGTCCCTACGAAGGACATGAACTCATCGTGTTTTATGGCTGCATAGTATTCCATGGTGTATATGTGCCACATTTTCTTAATCCAGTCTATCATTGTTGGACATTTGGGTTGGTTCCAAGTCTTTGCTATTGTGAATAGTGCCGCAGTAAACATACGTGTGCATGTGTCTTTATAGCAGCATGATTTATAGTCCTTTGGGTATATACCCAGTAATGGGATGGCTGGGTCAAATGGTATTTCTAGTTCTAGATCCCTGAGGAATCGCCACACTGACTTCCACAATGGTTGAACTAGTTGACAGTCCCACCAACAGTGTAAAAGTGTTCCTATTTCTCCACATCCTCTCCAGCACCTGTTGTTTCCGGACTTTTTAATGATCGCCATTCTAACTGGTGTGAGATGGTATCTCATTGTGGTTTTGATTTGCATTTCTCTGATGGCCAGTGATGGTGAGCATTTTTTCATGTGTTTTTTGGCTGCATGAATGTCTTGAGAAGTGTCTGTTCATGTCCTTCGCCCACTTGTTGATGGGGTTGTTTGTTTTTTTCTTGTAAATTTGTTTGAGTTCATTGTAGATTCTGGATATTAGCCCTTTGTCAGATGAGTAGGTTGCAAAAATTTTCTCCCATTTTGTAGGTTGCCTGTTCACTCTGATAGTAGTTTCTTTTGCTGTGCAGAAGCTCTTTAGTTTAATTAGATCCCATTTGTCAATTTTGGCTTTTGTTGCCATTGCTTTTGGTGTTTTAGACATGAAGTCCTTGCCCATGCCTATGTCCTGGATAGTAATGCCTAGGTTTTCTTCCAGGGTTTTTATGGTTTTAGGTCTAATGTTTAAGTCTTTAATCCATCTTGAATTAATTTTTGTATAAGGTGTAAGGAAGGGATCCAGTTTCAGCTTTCTCCATATGGCTAGCCAGTTTTCCCAGCACCATTTATTAAATAGGGAATCCTTTCCCCATTGCTTGTTTTTCTCAGGTTTGTCAAAGATCAGATAGTTGTAGATATGCGGCGTTATTTCTGAGGGCTCTGTTCTGTTCCATTGATCTATGTCTCTGTTTTGGTACCAGTACCATGCTGTTTTGGTTACTGTAGCCTTGTAGTATAGTTTGAAGTCAGGTAGCATGATGCCTCCAGCTTTATTCTTTTGGCTTAGGATTGACTTGGTGATGCAGGCTCTTTTTTGGTTCCATATGAACTTTAAAGTAGTTTTTTTCCAATTCTGTGAAGAAAGTCATTGGTAGCTTGATGGGGATGGCATTGAATCTATAAATTACCTTGGGCAGTATGGCCATTTTCATGATATCGATTCTTCCTACCCATGAGCATGGAATGTTCTTCCATTCGTTTGCATCCTCTTTTATTTCACTGAGCAGTGGTTTGTAGTTCTCCTTGAAGAGGTCCTTCACATCCCTTGTAAGTTGGATTCCTAGGTATTTTATTCTCTTTGAAGCAATTGTGAATGGGAGTTCACTGATGATTTGGCTCTCTGTTTGTCTGTTATTGGTGTATAAGAATGCTTGTGATTTTTGTACATTGATTTTGTATCCTGAGACTTTGCTGAAGTTGCTTATCAGCTTAAGGAGATTTTGGGCTGAGACAACGGGATTTTCTAGATATACAATCATGTCATCTGCAAACAGGGACAATTTGACTTCCCCTTTTCCTAATTGAATACCCTTTATTTCCTTCTCCTGCCTAATTGCCCTGGCCAGAACTTCCAACACTATGTTGAATAGGAGTGGTGAGAGAGGGCATCTCTGTCTTGTGCCAGTTTTCAAAGGGAATGCTTCCAGTTTTTGCCCATTCAGTATGATATTGGCTGTGGGTTTGTCATAGATAGCTCTTATTATTTTGAGATATGTCCCATCAATACCTAATTTATTGAGAGTTTTTAGCATGAAGGGTTGTTGAATTTTGTCAAAGGCCTTTTCTGCATCTATTGAGAAAATCATGTGGTTTTTGTCTTTGGTTCTGTTTATATGCTGGATTACATTTATTGATTTGCGTATATTGAACCAGCCTTGCATCCCAGGGATGAAGCCCACTTGATTATGGTGGATAAGCTTTTTGATGTGCTGCTGGATTCGGTTTGCCAGTATTTTATTGAGGATTTTTACATCGATGTTCATCAAGGATATTGGTCTAAAATTCTCTTTTTTTGTTGTGTCTCTGCCAGGCTTTGGTATCAGGATGATGCTGGCCTCATAAAATGAGTTAGGGAGGATTCCCTCTTTTTCTATTGATTGGAATAGTTTCAGAAGGAATGGTACCAGTTCCTCCTTGTACCTCTGGTAGAATTCGGCTGTGAATCCATCTGGTCCTGGACTCTTTTTGTTTGGTAAGCTATTGATTATTGCCACAATTTCAGAGCCTGTTATTGGTCTATTCAGAGAGTCAACTTCTTCCTGGTTTAGTCTTGGGAGGGTGTATGTGTGGAGGAATTTATCCATTTCTTCTAGATTTTCTAGTTTATTTGTGTAGAGGTGTTTGTAGTAGTCTCTGATGGTAGTTTGTATTTCTGTGGGATTGGTGGTGATATCCCCTTTATCATTTTTTATTGCATCTATTTGATTCTTCTCTCTTTTCTTCTTTATTAGTCTTGCTAGCAGTCTATCAGTTTTGTTGATCCTTTCAGAAAACCAGCTCCTGGATTCATTAATTTTTTGAAGGGTTTTTTGTGTCTCTATTTCCTTCAGTTCTGCTCTGATTTTAGTTATTTCTTGCCTTCTGCTAGCTTTTGAATGTGTTTGCTCTTGCTTTTCTAGTTCTTTTAATTGGGATGTTAGGGTGTCAATTTTGGATCTTTCCCGCTTTCTCTTGTGGGCATTTAGTGCTATAAATTTCCCTCTTCACACTGCTTTGAATGTGTCCCAGAGATTCTGGTATGTTGTGTCTTTGTTCTCGTTGGTTTCAAAGAACATCTTTATTTCTGCCTTCATTTCGTTATGTACCCAGTAGTCATTCAGGAGCAGGTTGTTCAGTTTCCATGTAATTGAGTGGTTTTGAGTGAGTTTCTTAATCCTGAGTTCTAGTTTGATTGCACTGTGGTCTGAGAGACAGTTTGTTATAATTTCTGATCTTTTACATTTGCTGAGGAGAGCTTTACTTCCAACTATGTGGTCAATTTTGGAATAGGTGTGGTGTGGTGCTGAAAAAAATGTATATTCTGTTGATTTGGGGTGGAGAGTTCTGTAGATGTCTATTAGGTCTGCTTGGTGCAGAGCTGAGTTCAATTCCTGGGTATCCTTGTTAACTTTCTGTCTCGTTGATCTGTCTAATGTTGACAGTGGGGTGTTAAAGTCTCCCATTATTATTGTGTGGGAGTCTAAGTCTCTTTGTAGGTCACTCAGGACTTGCTTTATGAATCTGGGTGCTCCTGTATTGGGTGCATATATATTTAGGATAGTTAGCTCTTCTTGTTGAATTGATCCCTTTACCATTATGTAATGGCCTTCTTTGTCTCTTTTGATCTTTGTTGGTTTAAGAATGTTGAATATTGGCCCCCACTCTCTTCTGGCTTGCAGGGTTTCTGCTGAGAGGACCACTGTTAGTCTGATTGTAGTCCCTTTGTAGGTGACCTGGCCTTTCTCTCTGGCTGCCCTTAACATTTTTTCCTTCATTTTGACCTTGAGGAATCTGATCATTACGTGTCTTGGGGTTGATCTTCTTGTAGATTATCTTAGTGCGGTTCTCTGTATTTCCTGAATTTGAATGTTGGCCTATCTTGCTAGGTTGAGGAAGTTTTTCTGGATAATATCCTGAAGTGTGTTTTCCAACTTGGTTTCATTTTCCCCGTCTCTTTCAGGTACTCCAGTCAGTCATATGTTTGGTCTTTTTACATAGTCCCATATTTCCCAGAGGGTTTGTTCATTCCTTTTCATTCTTTTTTCTCTATTCTTGTCTGCATGCCTTATTTCAGCAAGATGGTCTTCAAACTCTGATATTCTTTCTTCCACTTGGTTGATTTGGCTGTTGATGCTTGTGTATACTTCACAACGTTCTCATGCTGTGTTTTTCAGCTCCTTCAAGTTATTTATGTTCCTCTCGAAACTGCTTATGGTAGTTAGCAGCTCCTGTACCCTTTAATCAAGATTCTTAGCTTCTTTGCACTGGGTTAGAACATGCTCCTTGAGCTCAGCGGAGTTTGTTGTTACCCACCTTCTGAATGAAGCCTACTTCTGTCAATTCATCCATCGCATCCTCTGTCCAGTTCTGTGCCCTTGCTGGAGAGGCACTGTGATCATTTAGAGGAGAAGAGGCACTCTGGCCTTTTGGGTTTCCAGTGTTTTTTTTTCACTGCTTCTTTCTCATCTTCATGAGTTTGTCTACTATCAATCTTTGAGGCTGCTGACCCTTGGATGGGGTTTTTGTGGGACATTTTTTTGTTGATGCTGTTGTTTTTGCTTCTGTTTGTTTGTTTTTCTTGCAGTGGTCAGGTCCCTGTTCTATAGGGCTGCTGCGGTTCACTGGGGGTTCAGTTCAGGCCCTATTCATGGCTCCAGCAGGGGAAAAGCACAGCCTGGAGTTGTAGAGATGGCTGCCGGCCTTCCCCCACCCTGGGAGCTTAGTGTGTTAGGCAGCTATGGGTCCCAGAGTTGGCTGTCGCCCCTCCCCTAAGGAGCTCAAAGGCTTAGACAGCAGGGAGCCACAGCTGTGGTGCTGGTCACCCCTCCTCCTGGGAGGTCAGCAGGCTTAAGCAGACTCTAGCTTAGTGGCTGTTGAGAATCTACGCATTCCATGGTTGGGACCCTCGCCCCAGTGGTGTGGGCTTATAAATGGGATCTTCCAATCCATGGGTTTACACAGTTCCATGGAAAAAGCACATTTTCCCAGGCTGGGTAGCACACTCACTGACTGCCTTTCCTGACTGAGGATCGGGGCTTCCCTGCCCTGTGTGGCTCTCAGGTGGGCTGCAGCACCACACTGCTCTTCCTTCCTCTCTGTGGGTCACGCCAGCTGCCTAGTCAGTTCTGATGACAGAAACTGAATACCTTGGTTGTTGGTGCAGGATTGGCTCGCTATTATGGTTTTTTTTTTTTTTTTTTTTTTTTTTATGGGAGCCTCTGATCATCTCTGCTTCTAGTTGGCTATCTTGGCCCTGTCCCTACATAAAATATTTCTATTTCAGAGATTTTAGAAATTATTTTGGAGAAGTAAATTCCATGTAAACATTTGTTTTTACATTTCTTTCTTTGAAATGACATTTGTGTCTAAGATTGTCTAGGTTTTTTAATTTTTGGAATATCTGAGAAGGAGGTACAAAATTTCATCTCTTCCTCTTTATTCTTGGGCCATCCTACTTCTAAGATTATTATCAGATCTTCCCTGCTTAGAGTGGCATAGATGGCAGGGATAATATTTTGAATATTAATCTGTTTTCTTTCTCCTTGTATTTTTCAATTTTCCTTCTATTCATTTAAGAGCTGGTTGTGTGCCTATGACAGGATAGCACGTGACAGGAGGAAAAGGCAAATACTGCATGAGTCTTTCTGGCTTTAGAATTCCAGAAGAGGAATTTTAGAGGCATAGGGCCAGAAATAGTGAGGAGATTGGAGCTACTCTCCCAAACCCAAAAGAGATTGTCCTGGGCTGGGGAAAGGAGATGAGATAAAGAGGAAGAGAAATCCATGGGCTTCAAAAGCAGAGGATATCTGTGCCATGCTTCCCAATGACTGCTGCTAGGGGGGGTGGCATGACTCCATCAAAAATTGGCTATTTGGAGTGTTAGGAGATGTACTTCTCTAGGCAATAGGGAAGCTGGTAATCTATATAATGGAACTGACAATATCCACCTTACCAAGCAAGGCATTTTTAAGAATTATAAGAAATAACATGTGAATGGCTGGCACTCAGTAGGTACGTAGTAAATGTTACATTCCCTCCAGCCCACGTTGACATTTTGGCCCTGCCCATCAAACCAGTTCTATTCCTCGATCATTCCCATGTGTCATTTTCTACTTTCTTGCTTGAGGACTGCTGAATCGTACTGGAGAAAGAAAGGCAAAACCGTTCAGCCAAAGGCCAAGCCAGGGCTTCTGTGGCCTTCTCATCCTCCGTCCTCGTCCTCCTTCTCCTCCTCCTCCTCTTCCTTCTCTCTTTCTTCCCCCTTTCTCAGACCCATCCTGTCCTTCCCCTTCTTCTTTTCCTCTCCTTTTATAAACTTCACTTTAATGCTAACCAACAGTCCTGGCATCCAGCCCTATGTTTCTCTTATGTACTCCTCCAGAGAAACTCAATTCTCTTCTGCTGTCACAGCAAATCAGAGCCTCTGTTTAGGCAATACACAGCAACCCACACAGCATGAGCAACATGCATCTGCCTTGCAAGATTATGCTGGGGTAAAGTAGAGATAGGGCCTTCTAGACAAAACACCATCCTTCTCCCTGGAGGAAGAATTCTTCAGTTAAGAAGTACCATTAAAGATTGCTTCTCCCTCTGAAGAAAAGTTCCCCACCAGGGTGTCCGGACTGAAAGGAATGTCTTAAAGAGCTGAGATACTCCTTTTGGTTTCCTGTGCCTGGGTAATGACTCCCTCAACTAGTAGTTATAACCATGATAGCACATGGCCTCAGAACATGTGGATAGGGAGAAGGAGATAGGTAATTGAGTTATTCACAAACATGCAATTTATGAGAGACCCTGTGTCATCTTTGGGCCCCCAGATGCATCTTCTTGGCCTATTGATTTTCCTGAAGCCTCCAGAAACACAGAAGCTGGGGAACTGCTGGCAAGGCTTTGATGTGTGCTTAACTGCACGGAACCAAGTCTGGTTTACCTTTTGAGCTGAGCATGATTGTCAGATAACACTCAGTACTCTATTTAGCTGCTCCAAAAGTAGATGATAGATTTCTCTTTGTGCTGCTCAACTTTCTACACTGAGACAGATGTGGCAGCCTCTCACTGGGGCATATTTGATGGTACTTTTTACTTGTATAAATAAACTGGGTTTTCCCATGCTCGCTCTAGGAAAGCCTGAAGTTTTTCAAAGGCATCTTTTGTGCTGTCATCCTTGGGAAATATTACTGTTTGTTTCCTAGCAGAGATTGGAGTCCTTAGAGAATAGGAAATGGGACAGACAAGTTTTGGTTATGAGGAAATTGATGTGGGAGTCATCAGGCGTGGGCTTGGGAAGACAGATGTAGATAGAATGCCTTATTGGGATTTTGATTTCCAGATGGTGAGGGATGTGTGGGGAGCTGGAAGTATGGTTACTTTCACTTTCTGTATAGTTTGACCTCCAATAGCTGTGTCTAGGCCATGATTGTGGCTATGGAGGATCCTCTCAGAAAGCATACCTGCTTAAGGATTGGTCTAATCTGTCTCAGTTTATTTCCTTTTGATTTAGGGGATGTGGTTTAATCTAAGTTGTAATATCTTTTTTCTTTCTATTCCTTACAGATTCATGAAGGTGGCAGGAAGTACAGTAGATGCAGTTACCTGGCAACAGTAGGTATTCACCATTTTTGCTCTTACTTATTATCAGCTGCTGTGAAATGAAAGATAATTAGTTGTCACTAAGTTCATAACTGACATTTAATAAGCTATCCTTCATCCTCCAGGAAAAAATTTGAAAGTAACTCCAAAGTTGTTTTTATGGCACATACTGTCTCATAGTACTATAATTTTGTTTGGTTGTTTTCAGAAAAATTTAAGAAAACAACTAACGCATTTTGGAGATTTCAGCTATTATGTACCCTTTTAAATTAATCTGTCATCAGTGAACAGGTAATGGGGATCTGAGCATGCCACTGTTTTCCCATAGGCTTTTCCTTTGGGAATAAATTTCCTTGTATAAGACAGGCAATAATTTTAATTGCTCAATATATCATGGGAAAATAGAAACATTTTGTTATATTAATGTCAGTGGTCTTAATTATTGCCAAGTGAGTCTCTAAAATGAAGCAGCTTTTTTTTAAAAAAAGAGTATCAAGATGAAGCAGCTTCAAGAAAGGGAATAAACTCCAACATTGCAGGAAGAATCTTACAATGGAAAAGACCTGTTACTGCAGGATAATGAAAAATACAATTATCTGATAAATAAATTTAAATATTCTATAAGTTCCCTTAGGGCATTTGTACCAGAAGGTCCAGCCCTTAACAGTCAATGTCTCACTAATTGTATACTGGAATCCTGTTCTTCTTTTCTCTGAGAAATCTATTTCACAATATCTTCCAAATCATCTCTTGTCTAATGTGGTGCTCTCAACTCAGACTGTGCTTTTACTCAGGGCCCTCATAGGCCTTGGCAATGGCCCTCTTTCTCAATTACTCTAACCCTTCCTGCCTAGCGTATGTACTCCTTCTGTCTATCCTCTGTTTGAAGTGGGTCACACTATCCACTGTGGATTCATTACAGATGTGAAAGAAAATGAAGTGGATTAAATCTTTATTAAGATTGCTTCTCCCTCTGAAGAAAAGTTCCCCACCTAAAGTGTTTTTGTTTGCTGGCAATCAATAACTTCAATCATAATGGGAAATATTTCAGTCTACATTTATACTAAGTTCCCTAAAAAACAAGTTCCAAATATTTTCAGAAATTCTTATTCTTCTTCAGTTTGTTTGTTTGTTTGTTTGTTTGAGACAGAGTCTCGCTCTGTCGCCCAGGCTGGAGTGCAGTGGCGCGATCTCGGCTCACTGCAAGCTCCACCTCCTGGGTTCACGCCAATCTCCTGTCTCAGCCTCCCGAGTAGCTGGGACTACAGGCGCCCGCCCCCATGCCCGGCTAATTTTTTGTATTTTTTAGTAGAGACGGGGTTTCACCATGTTAGCCAGGATGGTCTTGATCTCCTGACCTCGTGATCCACCCACCTCGGCCTCCCAAAGTGCTGGGATTACAGGCGTGAGCCACCGCGCCCGGCCTTAAGTTTGTTTGTGTGAGTCATGGATTGAGTAAGCTAGAGGATCTTGTCATTCCCTTGCTTGAAAACCCACAATGTCTCTCCTTTGCACTTGGAGCAAAAGCCAAACTCTCCACACTGGCCTTTTGTGTTTGGCCTCTGCTACTTTCTGATTTCATCTGGTGCCACTCTGCCCTTATTCTGTCCCAGCTAACTAGTGGTCTTTCAGTTCTTTCAGGTCCATGTGCATATCTGCCTCTGGATCTCTGTATATGCTAGTCCTTCTGCCTGAAATGCTGTTCTCCCTACTCTTCGTGTGGCCAGCTCCTTTTCATCTTTTAAGTCTCACCTTACATGTCATTTCCTGGAGAGGCCTTCCCTGATGATTCTATCCAAAAACAGGTCCCCCATTTCATTCTTTTTCTTAGTTCTTTTTTAATAGCACTTATAATAATTTATAATTACTTTTTTCCTTATGACTTGTTTTTGTAATTTGTTTGTTTTTCTCTTCTACCATAATGGCACTTATTCAATTCACCAAGTACTTATTTAGACAATAGTTTATTAGGCATTTACTATGTGGAAAAAATAACAATGACAATAAAAATAACAATGTACCAGGAACTGTTCTTAAACTTTATATGCCTTATTGTATCTGATCCTCACAACAACCAAATGAGTTAGGGACTATTTTTATCTCTATTTTACTTTAACTTAGAGGAAATTGTAGAAAATCCAAAGATTACACAGAAAGTGGAAAATGTTGGACTTAAAGTTGTGTCTGTCTCACTCCAAGGGTTATTGTCTTAACTACTACTGCTTTGATAACAAGATAATGTCCCTTTACTGAAACTCTGTTCAGTGTCCTCACCAAAAAGGCTATCTGGATAACGTAGTATAAAGGCTGAACCTTTAAGAATTTATAGGATTTGTGGAGAAAGATAATGATATCAGCATAAAAATATTATTGGCTAAGAATGTATGGCTTTAATTATTATGGCTGACAGAGAGGGATAAGAGAAAGCTTTTCTTTTCTATTCAAGTACTCTTCCTGGCACAAATGGAATGAAATGAGCACAGTATTATTTTTATGATGCAAAAATACATTTTTAATAAATACATTTTGTTTATTGACTACTTAAAAAATATTGGCCATATCTCCAGATAAATATCACTGTTTGCAACTACTCCAAAAATACCCTAAAAAGCAAGCAGGGGGTTGTATTTCTTTTGGCTCCAGGATCAGCATTCATTAGAGGACAAATAGCACCTGGAATCTACAATTTATCCTTTCCAGCCATAGTTTTCAGTGAAGACTTGGAAAAGTCATGGAAGAATCCCAGGCAATTCTGGCCAGGAGGACTTCATGAAAATTAAAGCCAAATGCCACGTTTCTTCAATCCTGAGAAATACTGAGGTGAAGATGTCCTAATAATGTAAAGAAATTGAGGGACATTGTTAGTAAAAAAAGGCTGGGGGAGACTAACATAGAATTTGTCATTTGTCACTACATATGGATGGCCAGAAGAATCAATTCAGTATTGGGATGTTGAGCTTGGAGCTTGAACAGCCCAAATTCTAAGTCTGAAGTCATGAATAAACAGATCTCTGTAGTTTGACTATTTTGATTTGGAAGCATATTCTTGGGTTTGCTATATTTTGTGGACCAAAATATATGACTTAATAATTGGTCCTGCCCACCAACCCATTTAGAAAACCCAGAAAAAGTTATTAAGATGAAAGTATAATTACAAGTATAGTGGAGTAGCTTGTATCATAATAACCCTTATATAGAGAGCAATGATAAAATATAAAGTATTAAAAAAAAAACCACTGGCTTATGACCAAAAAAGGCAGAAACCAAAGGAAAGTATTCAACCTTTGAAAGAAGTGAACAGTACTGCATGAGATCTACTTTTATTTGACTTTTTCACTGCAGTTATTATTATTATTTTTATTTATTTATTTTGAGATGGAGTCTCGCTCTGTCACCCAGGCTGGAGTGCAATGGCACGATCTTGGCTCACTGCAAGCTCCACCTCCCAGTTCATGCCATTCTCCTGCCTCAGCCTCCCGAGTAGCTGGGACTACAGGTACCCACCACCACGCCAGGCTAATTTTTTTGCATGTTTATTAGAGATGGGGTTTCACCATGTTAGCCAGGATGGTCTTGATCTCCTGACCTCGTGATCCACCCGCCTTGGCCTCCCAAAGTGCTGGGATTACAGGCATGAGCCACCACACCCGGCCTTCTCTGTAGTTATTTAACAATTCATGCATCGGGAGGTAACTAGAACTCAAACAGAAATGCATGCTCATATTGGCTTGAAGTGTCAAGGAGAAGGAGTCAAAGGCTGGAAATTGAGGGTAGAAATCTCAAAAAGAAGGAACTCCAAGGTAAAAATACAAAATATGCATATAAACTTCCCTCACATCTTTGTCTGATCCCTGAAATGTATATATTCATGAGACATTCCAAGGAGCCTAGTGAAAAGAAACAGCTGGAAGTCTGAAAAAGTTGAACAGAGATTTCAGCTGCCATTTGTCACATGAGAGACAGAGGTTGGAATTTGAATGTCACAAATTTAGAAGGACTTGATAAACACCTTGTTTTTATCCAGTGAAATCTAAAAGAGTTATGCCTTAGGTGTAAAGTCTGTCTCAAGACTAAGGATTTGCTCTAAGACTCAAATATAACCAAAACAGACTTGTCCAAAAAAATCATAAACTGATGCCTTCACAAGAACAAGAAGATCAGTCATTCATTTAACTTCCTGCTAGATTCAAAATCAGCATTCTTCTATCTCTGTAGTATATCATCCACACTATGCTACATACAATAAAAAAAATTACCAGACATGCAAAGAAACAGGAAAATATGACCATGATGAAGAGGATAAGCAATAAATAGAAACCTTGAGATGACCCAGGTATTAGAATTAGCTGACAAGGATTTTAAAGAAGCTATTATAACTCATATTATATATTCATAGAGTTATGGGGAAAATATCCATATTGAGAAATATTAGCCTGGAGAAATATCAGCAGTGAAATGGAAACTATAAAAAAGAACCAAATGGAATTCTTGAAGTGAAAAGAAGAGTATCTGAAATGGAAACTCATTGGATGGGCTTGTCAAGAGATTGGAAACCACAGAAGAAAGAGTAAACTTGCATACTGAGCAACAGAAATTATACAACTTAAAGAAGAGAAAGGAAAAAGTAGCGGAAAAAAATGAACAAAGTGTCAGTGACCTCATTGCTAATACCAAATAGCCTAACATATGCACAATTAGAGTTCAGACGAACAGGAAAAAGAAAATGTGGCAGAAATTTTTTTTTTAAATCAAAGCTGAACTTCTCCCAATTTTGGTGGAAAATATTAATTTACAGATTCAGGAAGCTAGGTAAACCCTAAGATGGAGAAATACAAAGAAAATTTTATCTGGGCACATTATACTCAAACTGCTGAGAACAAAAATAACGTAAAAATCTTTAAAGCATTCAGACAAAAATAACACTTCATATATAGGGAAAAGGATGACTTATTTGACATCAGAAACAATGGAGGACAGAATACAACAGAACAATATTCTTAAAATGATAAAGAAAAAAAAAATGTAAAGCCAGAATTCTATATCCAGCAAAAATATTCTTCAAAAATGAAAATTAAATAAAGACTTTTTTTTATCAATGAAAGCCAGTAGATCTGTGTCGCAAGAAATACTAAAGGAGACCAGGCACGGTGACTCATGCCTGTAATCCCAACACTTTGGGAGGCTGAGACAGGTGGATCACCTGAGGTCAGGAGTTCAAGACCAGCCTGATAAACATGGTGAAACCCTGTCTCTACTAAAAAATCCAAATATCAGCCGGGCTGGTGGCAAGTACCTGTAATCCCAGCTACTCAGGAGGCTGAGACAGGAGAATCACTTGAACCCGAGAGGCGGAGGTTGCAGTTAGCCGAGATAGTATCATTGCACTCCAGCCTGGGCAACAGAGCAAGATTCTGCCTCAAAAAAAAAAAAAAAAGAAAAAAAAAAAGAAATGCTAAAGGAAATTCTTCAGACAGAAAGACAGTAGCACCAGAAGGAAACTTGGATCTCAAAAAATAATGAAGAGCATTGGAAATGGTACATTTGTGGCTAAATATAAAAGGCTACTTTTTCCCCAATTTATTTACAAAATAATGATTCATGCAAAAATATAAATTGTATTATGGGGTTGATAACATATGTAGATGTAAAAATACATGGCAATAATACCACAAAGGATGAGAAAAAGAGGAGTCAGTAAATGGAATTATAGTGTTACAACATTCTTTTATATAAGTAGTACAATACTTACTCTGAGAAGACTGATAAGCAAGGGTGAAAATTATATTACTACAGCAGTCCCTTTAAAAATAATGACAAAAAGTATAGCCGAAAAGCCATATTAGGATTAAAATAAGAAATACTGAATTAACCTCAAAAAAGCAAGGAGAAAGAGAGGAACAAAAAATAAATGGGAAAAAAATCAAATAGCAAAATGATAGACTGAACCATGATTATATCAATAATTATACTAAGTGTAAATGTCCTAAACAGTGTAATTAAAAGGCAAAGATTGTCAGACTGGATGCTATAGAAGACTCAATTATATTCTGCCTACAAGAGACACACTTTAAATATAAAGACACAGATTGAAAATAAAAGGATGAGAATAATATGTCATGCAAGCAGTTATCATAAAAAGCTGGTGAGGCTATATTAATTTCAGGCAAAGTAGGCTTCAAAAAAAGGAGGATTACCAGAGAAAAGGAGATTATTCATAGCAATACAAGGATCAATTCATCAGGAAGACATAATAATCGTAAATGTATTGTCCTGTGATAGGCAGAATAATGAACCTCCCCCAACCTCCCCCAAAGATATCTGCATTCTAATCTCTAGAACCTGTAAATATGTTACATTATATGGCAAAGGGGAATTAAGGTTGCAGATGGAATTAGTTGCTAATCATCTGACTTTAAAGTAAGGAGCTTATTCTGGAATATCCAGAGGGACCCAATATAACCACAAGAGTAGAAGAGGAAGGCATAAAGAGGAGGCATAGGGAGTTTTAATAGAGAGGAGGTTGGAGAAATGCAGTGTTAGCAGGACTTGACCTACAATTGCTGGATTTGAAGATAGAGGAAGAGGAACAAGAGCCAATGATTGCAGGTATCCCATAGAAGCCAGAAAAGGCAAGAATATGAATTTTCCCTTAGCATCTCCAAAAGAAAGATAGCCTTCCACATACTTTGATTTTAGGCCAGTGAGACCCATATTGATTTCTAACCTGTGGAACTATAAGAGAATAAATTTGGATTGCTTTAAGCTACTGTTTGTGATGATTTGTTTAGAGCAGCAATCAAATACAGTACTGAAGAACAGAGATTCAAAATATACAAAGAAAAAAAATAACAACAAAAGGAGAAAAAAATAGAAAAATCCACTATCATAGTTGGAAATTTAGAAACACTTCTTTCAGTAATTAACAGGACTAGATTAAAATAAATACAGTAAGGATATAGCAGATTTTAATAACACTGTCAAACAGACTGACAATTCACATTTACAGAATGCAGTTGAACCACATTTTTTTCAAGTGTACATAGAACATTAACCAAGTTGGACCATATGCTCAACTGTAAAACAAGTCTCAATAAATTTGAAACAATTGAAATAATGCAGAGTATGGTTTGGGATGACAAAGAAACTAAGTTAGGTATTAGTAACAAAAATATCTATAAAATGCCTAAATATTTGGAAATAAATAACACACTTCAAAATAATATATGTGCCTGTAATCCCAGCTACTTGGGAGGCTGCAATGGGAGGATCACTTGAGGCAAGGAGTTTGAGGCCAACCTGAGCAACATAGCGAGACTTCCATCTCTAAGGAGAATTTTAAAAAATTTGCTGGGCATGGTGGCTTGTGCCTGTAGTCCCAGGTACTTAGAAGGCTGAGGTAGGAGGGTCCCTTGAATCCAGGAGTTTGAGGCTACAGTGAGCTATGATCATGCCACTGCAACCTAGCCTTGGTGACAGAGCAAGATCCCATCTCTAAATAAATAAATAACCTATGAATCAAAGAAGAAATCATGAGAAAAGGTAGAAAACTATTTTGAAATGATTATGAAAATACAATATATCAAAATTTGTGGAATCCAGCAAAAGCAGAACTTGGAGAGAAATTTATAGTCTAATATGCTTATGTGAGAAAAGAAACACTTACAAGCAATGATCTCCATTTCTATCTGAAGAAGCTATTAAAAGAACAAACTAAGCACAAACTAAGTAAAATGAAGGAAATAAAGATATAAGCAGAAATCAATAAAGCAGAAGTTAGACAAGTGGTAGAGAAAATTTACAAAACCAGAATGTTTCTATGAGTAGATTAACAAATGTGAAAAACCCTAGACAGAGAAACAGAGAAAGAATGAGAAGTAAAGTACAAAATTGCAAGTATCAAGAATGAAAGAGGGATTCTTACTACAGATTGCACAGACATTAAAAATACTCAAGGGATTACTATGAACAGCTTTATACCAACAAATTTGACAAAGTAGATAAATTCTTTGAAAAATACAACTTACAAAAGTGATATAAGATTTAAAATTCTTAAAATCCTGCAATATCTGGTTCATTTTGGAAAATCTGGCAGTTTCTTATATAACTAAGTATATGCCTGTCCTATGACAAAGCAGTTCCACTTCTAGTTATTTACCCAAAGGAAATGAAAACATATGCCACCAAAAAAAACTTTTACAAGATGTTTATAGCAGTTTTATTCTTAATAGGCAAAAATTTGTAAAAGCCCAGGTGTTCATCAGAAGGAGAATGGATAAACAAATCATTGTATAGTCATACAAAGGGATACTACTCAGCAAGATAAAGAAATAAACTAATGATATGTGCCACAACATGGATGAATCTCAATATGCTGAGTGAAAAAGCCTTATAAAAAAGCACATTTCTATTATTTCAGTTATGTGAGGTTTTGGAATAAATTTTTAAAATCAGTGCATTGCTTTAGTGAGTGTCGGGGTAGGGATACAAATTGAGAAGGAAAGGGCATGAGGGAATTTTCTGGAGTGATTGCAATGTCCCGCATTTTGATAGGGTTTTGTGTTATGCAGGAGTATGCATTTAATCAAAATTTATCAAATGATATGCTTAAGATTCATGTATCTCATCATATGTAAAATTGCATAAGAAAAAGAACCATAAATAGATATTAAACTCTGATTAGTGGTTTGCCTGATGACGTGTTCAGGATGAAGTGTACCAAAGTCAGCAACTTATTTTGAAATGCCTCAAAACATACAATGGATCAATGGATGTATAGAAGGATAGACAGACTGATATATTTATGAAAAACAAGTACAGTAAACTGTTAAATGCAGAACCTAGTAGAGGATAGATGATGTTCCCTATACAATTCTTCCCACTTTGAAATTTTTTCTAATAAAATATGGGTAAAGAACCTAACCTATTACACCTAAACAAATATACTTATCTATTATGAAATAATATATTGCTTTGAAATATATATGACAAACATAAATGGGAAATAATTTTGTTAGGAGTGTTAATCCTTGGATGTAGGAAGTATAGGGAATCTTTTTTCTTATTTTTACTTTTCTGTAGCTTCCTTTTTTTTGGTAATGAGCTTCTAATACATTTTTGTTTATAATTTTAAAATCATCAGTGCCCAGCTCCTCCCTTCCCACTCCAAATTTCCCCACTCCAGAAGCAACCTTCACAGTGTTAGGCACTTCTGACATCTGCTTTCATGTTTCTAAGTAACAGTCTGATGCTCCTATGGAAGATGAGAATTTAGCTCTCATACCTCCTAACCATTCATATACCCAAACTTACTTATTTACATACTTTTCTCATCCTCCAAGAGTTTATATCTTAAATATTGGTCAGAATTTATGGTTTACATTTTTGTTACTATGTAAATATTATTCACAGCAGGGACATGTGGTATGCTATGATGACATTTTCTTTCTTTCACAACTTTTGTTTACCCTGGAGTTATTTATTAACTATCTCTATTTTTATTTGCTTAGCTTCCTATTAATCTATTCTAAATTCATCCCTAAACTGTACCAGAGTAGTAAATCTCCTGTTTCTATATGCAGACACCTCAGGTAACCATCAGTTTCATCTTCTCCTTGGAGATATCTGCTCCTGGAGCCATCCCTCCTTCTGTTCCCATCTGGACGGGTTGATTGCCGTGTTTCCTGAACAGCTGTTGTCCTGGGAGTGCCCTTCACCATTATCCTGGGGATTCTTTTTGACTCTTATTTGTTGGATTTGTGCCCTTTTTGAGGTTTACTCCCTCATTTTGGTGAAGCATTTCTTCCAAGAACTTCCTGAGAAAAGATAAATGAGAGGTCAACACGTTGAGACCCTGTAGTAGAGTTTGATTTATATTTTGGATGCACATAGATTTCCCTCAGATTTTGATCCTTTTGTTCCATTTCATCTTAGTTTTCCTTTAACTATTGAGAAATCCAGTACCTTTTAAAATTTCCAATCCTTTTCTTGGTCCTGCTTTTTTTCTGTCTTGATACTTTTAAGATCTTCTCCCTGTTCCTAGTGATCTTTTATTTGGCTCTCTTTTTATTCTGTTCGCTAGGTATGTGGTTAGACCCTGTCAATCTGAAATTAGTGCCCTTCAGTTTAGGGAAATTTTCATGTTAATTTTTTCTTTGATAATGTCATTCTTTCCTTTTTTGTGCATTCCTTCTGAAATTTTTATTAGTCAGATATTGGAATTCCTCAAACAGTACTCTAATTTTTATATATTTTCTCTTCTTTACTTTTCCTCTCTTTTCTGATAAACCTCCTTAATCATCTAAATTTTCTGTTGAAACTTACATGTTGCTATCATATTCTAATTTCCAAAAGCTCTTTTTTATTCCTCAAAATGTCCCTTTTATAGCTTGTTTTCTTGTTTTTGGATGCAATGCCTTCTATTTTCTCTCTGAAGATATCAATTTTAGTTTTATTTATCTTCTTTTCCTATTTTTTCTTTTTTCTTTCTTTCCTCTTTTTTTCTTTTCTCCACTCAGTTGCTTTCTTTGCTTTTCCAGTAGGTAGTTTGTTTTTTTTTCATGGTCCCTGAATTACTGTTATTTCCTCTATGTCCTTCCCTCTTCTCCCTATTTGTCTTACTCCCTGGCTTTGACTTTAAACCTTTTCCTCAAATATCTGATGGTCCCTGAATCTCTACTCTTATTTAGGAGAGAGACATAAAAAGGTGATTGGATGATTTTGTTTATAGACATTTCTTTTTAACTAGTAACAGTCTACATAAGGTGATTTGATTAGGTCATTAGGGGATTCTTAACTGTCCATATCTGTTCATCTTTTCTCTTGGGATATTTAGTTGTTCCAGAGAAGAATTCTCTATTCTACCATTTTGGAAGTATAAATCTTCTAGCATACTGACATCTGAGAGAAAGGGCTGGATGTCTTATTGCTTAGAATATAGCCTTTCACATAATCCTCTAGGTTTCATTGTGATTACCCTCTGCCTTCACTGTGCTTGATGGTCCTGACTGTAGTTCAGTCTCTAGCACTCTGCTTTCTTGGAAATGAGGCAGTTTGTTAACTACATAGGGAAGTGGTTTCCCAACTTTTTTGTCTCAGGACCCTTTTCACTCTTTAAAAATATTAAGGACTCCAAATCACTTTTGTTTATGTGGATCATGTTTATAGACTATATAAATGGGTCCCAACTTACAACGGCTTGACACAGCTTTGTGACTTTACCATGGTGTGAAAGTGATATGCATTCAGTAGAAAATATACTTCAAATTTCAAATTTTGATCTTTTCCTGGCCTAATGATATGTAGTATGATATCCTCTCACTATGGTGGGAAGGGGCAGTGAGCCACAGCTGCCAGTCAGCCACCTGATCATGAGGGTAAGCAACCAATACTCTGTATTGTGTTACCAGATGATTTTGCCCAACTCTAGGCTAACATAGGTGTCACAAGCACATTTAAGGTAGGTTAAGGTATGGTATGATGTTTGGTTGTGTGTTTGGCTGTTCTTATATTGCCATAAACACCTGAGACAGAGTAACTTATAAAGAAAAGAGGTTTAATTGGCTAACAGTTCTGCAGGTTGTACAAGCATTGTGCTGGCATCTGCTCACTTCTGGGAGGACTCAGGGAACTTTCACTCATGGTGGAAAGCAAAGTGGGAGCACACACATCACATGATGACAGCAGAAACAAGAGACAGAGAAGGGGAGAGTGCCACACACTTTTCAACAACCAGATCTTGGGAGAAATCCCTAACCATCACAAGGATAGCACCAAGGAGATGGTGCTAAACCATTCATGAGAAATCCGCCCCCATGATCCAGTCACCTCCCACCAGGCCCCAACTCCAACACTGAGTATTACATTTCAAGAGGAGATTTGAAGGGGACATCCAAACTATGTCAGGTAGATTAGGTGCATTAAATGCACGTGGTATTTTGAATTTACAATAGGTTTATTATGACATAACCCCACAGTAAGTCAAGGAGCATCTGTATTACAATTAAAACACATTTTAAAATATTTATTTACTTAAAAATAATAAGCCCATTACATTTTAACATAAATATTCTTGTGGAAAGTATATTTTCCAAAACCAGAACAATTAGTTACAAGAGTGACATTATTTTATATTCTCACAAATCTATTCAATATCTGACTTAATTGAAGACACGTGGATTCCCATATCTTTTGCATTCTGTAGAAATGTGTCATTTTGGTTGGTTTAAGAATATGAAGAAAATTTGACCTCATAGAGAGAGGTAGCTGGAAAAAAGAGGTGTATTTGAATATCCTTTTCAGGTAATTGTAGCTGTTCTCATATACTATAACAAAATTCAACAAGTGATAGTTTCTTAAAAGTTAGTTACAATGTGGACTATTAAACCATGTGCATGAACTTTTCATGTTGTAATGTATCAAATTCCATTGGTCTTGTACTTGGAATAGACCTTTTACCCATGCATGATTTTATAACATCATGAATTGGTCATTTGGAAAATATTACAAAACCAGTTATGAGTTATAAAGATGTTCCAAATGTTGATGCATTTCATTATAAAATATTTTTTTAAATCACATTCACTGGTATCACCACTTATCTAGTCAGAAGTCTTGAAGTTTTGAAAAGCTGACAAGTTCACGGTGGCAGATACAAATTTTTGAAAATTTTAATTTTCACTTAACAGCTCAAATTTTATAATCAGCCACAGGTTTTATCAGATGTTTTTCTCGACAAGCTCACTTTGTTCATTTTTGAGAAAGTATCTTTCAAAAGCCTAACTCTAAATAATTTGTCTTTAATTGTTTCAAGTGAAAAAGTTATTCCATTAAAAAAAAAATGACCAATTCAGGGACAGGCATGGTGGCTCACACCTGTAACCCCAGCACTTTGGAAGGCTGAGGTGGGTGGATCACTTGAGCCCAGGTGTTTGAGACCAGCCTGGCCAACATCTCTTAGTAGAGAAACCCTGTCTCTACTAAAAATACAAAAAATAGCTGGGCGTGGTGGCATGCACCTGTAGTCCCAGTTATTCTGGGGGCTGAGATAGGAGGATTGCTTGAGCCCAGGAGGCGGAGGTTACAGTGAGCCGAGATCATGCCTCTGATCTCCAACCTGGATGACAGAGTGAGATCCTGTCTCAAAAAAATAAAAATAACAAATGACCAATTCAGTTTGCAGCTCAATCATACAAGTGCTTTTCCTCAAGACAACAACCATATTTTGCTAATGGAGCAAAGTATGTGTATTTCCCATTTAGTTACACAGAATTTTTTTATATGTGTACTCAATAAAATTAACTTTAATTACTTTATCAAGGACATTCTTAAGTGAAAGTGACATTTTTGTTTTATTCCAAGTATGTGACAATGACCACCAGTACAGTTTGATGTTCCTGACTTGATTTGTGCTAAGGTACCTGCAGTTTTACCCACTGTTGCTTTAAACAGTCAGTCCAAATGTTAACATAGTTTTTCCAATACAAACCATGAGAGTCAAATAAATGATTTAACACTTTATATATTTCATCATCACTTGTATTTATTTCCAAGCATTCACATAAATGATCTTGATCAATGATAGTGCTGATACTGGATAGATACAAGAAAAAAAAACTATGTCTATAGATTTATCCATTTGTAAGGAAAAGTACACTTTTACTAACAAGATAGTAACTTTGTCTTCATGTTTGCAACTAAATATTTCATTTAACAAGTTATTGAATTGTTGGGAAGTGCCACTGGGTATGATTTATTTTAATAACTTTTCATCCAATGGGCATTCAGCAATATCAACTGTACAAAGCTCTTTTAATCTCTGAGCTACTGTGTGTATTTTTCCAGTCAATGCAGCACAATAACTTACCCTCTAAGATGCTTTTCTAAATTTAAAAATCAGTTTTCAAAAAATGTTTCAATGTTATTGGAAAACAGAATAACATGGCTGGGCCCAGTGGCTCATGCCTGTAATTCCAGCACTTTAGGAGGCTGTGGCAGGAGAATTTCTTGAGTCAAGGGGTTTGAGAGTAGCCCATCTTTACAAAAACAATAAAAAAAAAATTAGCCGGGTGTGGTGGCGTGCATGTAGTTCTAGCTACACAGGACACTGAGGCAAGAGGACCTCTTGAGCCCAGAAGTTGGAGGTTATATAGTGAGCTATGATCACACCACTGCACTCCATCCTGGGCAACAGAGCAAGACCCTATTTCTCAGAAAACGAAAACTAAAATAATCCCACAAAGTGTTCTTATTTCCATGTAGGCACAAGAAAAACATTAGGACTTCAAAATAATAACTTATTGGATGTTTATGAGCTTATACTGGTTATAGCAGGTATAAAAATAGCTTATTTTAAAAAAAACACAGTAGAAAGTATTGAGAGCAAACTGAGTCGACCTTTGAAAACATATATACATATACTCCAAAACCATACCTTAAAAAAGCCTAGAAAACAAGGATATACAAGCATACATTCCATTAATTGTCAGAGCAATGACATTGTCACATGTCATATGGACTCTGGAAAATGCCGCTGTGCACTCATGAGAGGTGAGAATGAAAAAGGCAAATAATGTCTTGGTATTGTTATGAAAATAGTTTTGATCTCAAGGACTACTGAAGGGGTCTTAGAGACCTCCAAAAGTCCCTGGACCATTCCCTGGAGAACTGCTGATGTAGAGTGAGGATGGGAATCTGCAGGTCTAATTGCCTTTCATTTCTCCTGTTTCACTCCATGCATCCCCTCATTCTCAAAGACACATGGTATTTCCAGCTCCTGAGATTTTGTGGGGTTCTGTCACAAGAATCAGCAACTTTTAGACTTCCCTCACCACAGGTATATAATTCAACTTTCTCTGGTCAGCTAAGATAGTTACCACTCTTCCTTCTGTTTTCTAATACCAACATTTTTATTGCTGTTTTTCTTGCCCAATTCTTTTAGACCTTGTGAGCTAATGCCCTGGGTTTTTTGTTTGTTTGTTTGTTTTGGTTCTGTTACTATTGTTTTGGTGGTGTTTAGGGAGACAGCTTTAGTAAATGCCTGTACTTAAACCACCATTTTAACCTGAAATCCTACTTTCTGCATTTTTTTCTCTCTCTAGGATTATTTTTAATAAGGCAAATTACAATTTTATCTCCAAAAAATATGAAATTAATTTTTAATATTTATCGAGTTAGCCAAACTCAGATGTTCCCAGTGCCTAGCTCCCACCAGAGACCAAAAAAATTTTTAAGAACCTCCACCAGAGACCAAAAGAAGTAAAAAACAAAACAAAATTTCTGGCTGTGTGATCCAGACATCAGTATTTTTAAGAAGTTCATTAGGTGAGTCTGAACTACTACTGCCCTGGAGCCACCTGACTCAGCACAATAACCCCTGGGTGCTTAAACTCCATGGAGCACACTCTAAGTGTAGTTTCTAGATCAGCATCACCTGAGAACCTGTGAGAAATGCAGATTTTCAGGCCCCATAAACTTCGGGAATGGGACCCTGCAGTCTATTTTAATCACCCTCCAGGTGATTCTGATGTGCATTAAAGCTTGAGCACCAGTACCATAGAAGATGGCTGCCTGGATCTGATTTCTCAGAATACATCCATCATCACATTTTTTGGCATTAAACTTTCTTCAGTAGCTTCTTCTCTGACATGTGGATGGGGGAAAAATGTAAGAAAAATTGTCCTGGGGAATTGGCCTTTAGAAAATTCCTGCCCTTTATACTGAAAGTCATAGTTTCAAGTCATCTAATTTTCAATACATTTTTCTCTTATATAAAAGTCAGCACTTTTTCTCTCTTTGGTCTTAGTCCACACTTACATTCATCATTCTTCACTTCTGCTGTTGCAGAAAAACAAAATATGGTGGGTATACTGCAGCTGTAGGCTTAAAGAGATCGATTTGATAATTCAGATTTTTAGCTATGTTTAAAGCCTAAAAATGAACACTTTCAAAAGTCATTGAAAGAGCAGCTATGAATTATCCCACAATATAAGTAAATGTGAGCAAAATGACTCTAATAATAGCATCTATTGGAAATTCATGAATATTTCCAAGGGTAATGGGACATTAGAATGACTTGTTAAGCAAAAATTCTGCTTAAAAAGAAAAGCTAAAGAAATCCATCACAATTTTTTGTCAAAAATCCACCACTATTTTTAGAGGTTATCTGTCTCTAGCATAGATTATCTATCTCTTGTATAGTATGGTTTGGTAGAAACAACAAGGTCTTTCAAGTCAAATAGGCCTGGTCAGAATCCCTCTGACCTTTAGTAGATTTGTGGCCTTGAGAAAAAAATAAATCCTTCAGAGCTCAGTTTCCCCATCTGTTAAGTGGGGTTAATGTCCATTTCACAAAACTATCATGAAGACTAAATAAGGTAACATATGAAAAGCGTTTGGCTCAGTACATACAATACATTGAGCCCTCATAAAATGTGAGTTTCCTTCTTTTTTTCTAGATCCCTCACAATTTGTCTCTATTTATGAAAGTGTCTCACTGTAGAATATACAGATGTTTAGCCCATATTTCTGAGCATTTTTATACATTCTACAGATATTGCAAGGCTTTTGCCTATGGCCATTTCAGCCAAAGGAGGAAACTAGATGGTTCTGTGGGGTAACCCTGTTACATTTTATTTATTAATTCATTCAAAAGATAGTTACTGAGCACCTACTATGTGCAGGCACTGTGATAGATGTTATGAATAGACAAGGGAATAGAAAGAAACAAAATCCCTCACCCCAGGAAGCTTAGTTAGCAAGGAGTTTCTCCCTCTAGTGACCACTTCTACAAGTATAGCTTATTTTCTTTCTTCTGAAAGAGATGGTAGAAAGGGAGAGGTGCTCCTGGTGGAGGAAGTAAGGACTCCATAGGGAGAAAATTCTCATGGGCCCCAGACAGAACTATGACTAGACAAATATCTGCTGCAGATGATTTAAAAGGGAAAGGGAGGAAAGAGAACCATTAATGACATATGGAACTTAGCTGAAAAAAAAAAAGAGAGAAAATGGAACAGAAAGAAAAAGACAACTTTCTAAAAGCAGGTTAAAGAAGCAAAAAGAGTGATTTGTTTTAAGAAAGAGAATACTATGCACGCACAATAAAATCCAAAACACAGTCAGGAGAGCAAAAAAGTGAACTTTATACTCTCTGTCTAACTCCCTTGGACCTAAGCTCTATATCTAAATGTAGAGTCTCATGGCCTAGATCTCTAGGGGTCCCCTCATAGTGACCCCCTAGTCAGTGAACAGTGTTCTACATGAATCCTCTCCTCTACACTCCCTGCCAAATATCTCAGTCCTTTTACCTCCTTTTCTTTCTCCAGATTCTTGCCCAGTTAGTTCACTGCAGGTCATCAGTTAGCCAAAGGAGAAAGATCCTGCCTCATGAGCTAATTGATTTCTTCTGGCTCACTGACTAAGGTAGTGGCCTTAAGAAATTGTAATGATTCTTTCTAGAAGGGCCTGGGGCTGTACTCTCCAAAAGGGAACAGTATTTCATGGAGACCTAGATGTAGGTCCAGCAAGTATTCAAAGCCATGGGATAAACAAAGTTGCATCTTTCTGGATTTTACTTGAAGAGTAAGGCTGGAGGGCTATACAGTATTTAAAACTCTGAACAACAGTCTGAGCAAACTCCAGCTCTGTTCACAGGTATCTCCCTGCCTAAGGAGGGAAAGTTTGAGAAACTGGTTTAGGACCTTGCACATAGTTAATAACACTGGCCACTCATTAACGCTTCCCAAGCACATCGCATACATTATATCGGGGCATGTGTTAAATGTATGGATGTTAAAAGGGCTATTGTTAAAGACTTACTAGGCATGAAATCCCCAATCTACCCTTCAAAGGGTTTAGCCCTCACTTCCTTTTTTTTTTTTCTTTGAGGCAGCGTTTTACTCTGTCACCCAGGCAGTGGCACAATCAAAGCTCACTGCAGCCTCTATCTCCTGGGCTCAAGCAAACCTCCCCCCTCAGCCTCTAAAGTAGCTGGAACTACAGTTGTGCACCACTGCACCAGCTAATTTTTTAAAAAATGTTTGTAGAGATGGGTCTTGATATCTCTACAAAAAAATTTCCCAGGCTGTTCTCAAACTCCTGGGCTCACGCAATCCTCCCACCTCAGCAAAGTTCTAGAATTACAGGACAACCCTCTCTTTCTTTTTTCTGTCTCACTTTCTTTCTTAGATAGGGGTCTTATGCTGTCACCCATGCGGGAGTGTAGTGGCAGTAGCATAATCATAGTTCACTGTAGCTCCAACCTCCTGAGCTTAAGTTATCCTCCCACCTCAGCCTCCCAAGTAGCTGGGATGACAGGTGTGTGCCACCATGGCTGGTTATTGTGTGTGTGTGTGTGTGTGTGTGTGTGTGTGTGTGTGTAGACAGGGATCTCACTGTGTTGCTTAGGCTGGTCTCAAACTGCTGGGTTCAAGCAGTCTTCCCGCCTTGGCCTCCCTCCTGTGCTGGGATTACAGGTGTGAGCCACTGTGTCCAGCCCCTTGCTTTCTTTATTCATCTGTTACACAAGTATTGCACTAGTCTGGAGTCAGACTATCTGGTTTTGAATTCTGGCTCCAATACATATTTATCTTGGACAAGTCATTTATTGCACTGAATTTCAGCTTTTACATTTGTAAAATAGAGTGATCTTTTAGAAGGTGAGATCTGAACACAGATGTAAAAGAAGTGAGGGAGGTAGCTAAGCAGACACCTTAGGGAAGTATGTTCCAGGCAGAGGGAGCAGCTAGATAGAAGGCTTCAAGGTGAGAGAGGTTTTTAGGTGTCATAACAGTTCCCACTACACAGTGTTATTGTGAAGAGAAATGAGATGATGCATGTAAAGCATCTAGCATCATATGTGCAATCCCAAGTGTTTAATACGTTTTTTATAATTATTAATTATCATTGTTATGAAAGTCACATTTCTAAATGTTTAGTATGTTGTAGAATCTTTAAAATGATCCATAGAACACATTCATGTAGTGGTGCCTCTTTGAATTTGCTATTTTCTTCTCTGTCGCCCAGGGTGGAGTGCACTGGTGTGATCTCAGCTCACTGCAGCCTCCACTTCCCAGGTTCAAGTGGTTCTCCTGCCTCAGCCTCCCAAGTAGCTGAGATTACAGGCCCACACCACCACACCTGGCTATTTTTTTGTGTGTGTGTTTTTAGTAAAGACAGGGTTTCACCATGTTGGCCAGGCTGGTCTCGAACTCCTGACCTCAGGTGATCTGCCCACCTCAGCCTCCCAAAGTGCTGGGATTACAGACCTGAATCATTGCGCCTGGCTATTTTCTTCTCTATATATTTTTGACTTTTATACACAATCTTGAGATGAAAACATTTATTATTTCTGAATTATTTTCTTCCTTGGCAAGAGCCATGCCAATGGTGTAAACTATGTTATATTAAGAATTTTCCAAAAGCTAAATGGAAGATGTGATTACTGTTCTCATGTCTTCAGTTGCTTTTATCAAGTTCTCAGTGCTTTTTATCTGGAAGGCTGCTACCGTCAAAAGCACAGCCACTTTCTAGGGAGGACTTTCCATTATTCCCAACCAATCTAGCCATCTTTCTTTTCCATTTCTCTCTTCATTTTAGAATAAAAGAGTGGGGAGATTTTATGTAATTGGAATTCTATTTTGCTGTCTCAAAATGCATATCCTCAGAGAAATAGAAGTTCTTGCATGCACATTAGTGTTTTGTGTAGTATACTGTATGGGAGTGAGGATGATGAAAATAAAAGGTAAGAAATAACATTAATTGAAAGCCTTCCATGTGCCAAATATTGTTGTAGCTTCTTTATATAAAGTTAAATCCTTGAAAGAACTTCCTACCTTGGTATTAAAGTGTGGTCCAGACCAACAGCATCCGCATGACCTGGGAGTTTCTAAAAAGGGGGACTCTTGAGCCCCAATCTGGACCTACTGAGTAGAAATCTGTATTTTAATAAGATTTCCCAGGTGTTTCATATGTACATGAAGTTGAGAAGTACTTCTCTAGCAAGACAAATATCATTAACACCATCTTCCTCCATGGGGTAAGTATGCTTTAGAGAGAGAGGATAACTTGTCTAAGTACTCACAGGTAGTAAATGGTGGTCCAGGATTTAACTGAGGTCTATTTATGGAGTGGAGTTCATGCTTTTTCCCCTGCACCTTCCCTCACTACTTCTTTTTAATAGGTATATTTCATAATCTGTTTTACAGAAAAAAAAAATACAAGAAATCAGTCAGCTCCCACTTGAATGCACTTTGAAAGCATTTACCCAGACAGACAGGCTGAGTATAAACACCTGGTCCAAAGAAGAAGGATGGGAAGATGATAATTGAGTTTGTGTGTGGCTGTGGGTGGATGAGTCACATGCTCCCCTGCTCTCTTGAGGTAATCTGCCTTTCTGTTGAATTAGGGAACCCAAGGGTAATTGTTGGCAGGATTCTCCTAAAATTCTGCTCTGATGAGCAGAAGACAAGAGCAAATGGGGAAAGGCAGACCATGGCCTGAGGAGATGAACAATCTGGCGTATGAGACAGGGAATGTCTTTTTTTATGAGCAAAGAGGTATTTTTATGGTTTGCCTTGAGTGAGTAGCCTCTGATGCTGGGAAAACAGACTGGTAACAGCTGGACCACACTTTGGATCAGTTGCCACAGCAACTTGATACATTTGTCTCTAGTGTCATTTGATCCCTTTGAGAGCTGTATTATCTCAATGTAGATGTTTGACTTTTGGGCCTACTCTGTGAGTGAACACGTCTGTTTGATTGTATTCCTCAGATTACAGACAGTTATTCATTTGGGAGCTTGCATTCTAGGATTACAGATGCTGGCAACCTCATAGGTGACTGGAACCCAGGATCTTTTGGAACCATCTTTATATTTACCACCCTCAGAACGCTGATTTCAGGAGCAAATTATACCTTATAGCATCTGGGAAAATCATGCAGATATTCAAAGTCATCCCCAATTTCTGATAATATATTCCACTTCCTCATCTTAGGTGATCTTTGCAAGCAACACTTTTCAAACTTGATCTCAATACGAGTTATCATTAGTAGTTATCTTTTTTTTTCTGGAAAAATTAAGCAAGAGACACTCACCTTTTAAAGGTTTACAAAACAAAATTGAATGCACCTGTGTGATTTCAAGAGCTGTTTACATTTTTCCTCTTAAGAAGCTTAGAAATGATTGAGGTCTTGATGACAAATTGAGAGTGAGCCCAGCTACTGTCATTAGAGAAAGGGCTGAGTGCTTTGCATGAATCATTTACTCTGATAGACGTTTGTTCTCCTTAGGAAAAGTGTCCACTTTCTCCTCTCTTTGATGAGAATTGGCCAAGCACTCTTATCCCATCTCCCAAATTTATGGCACTGAAACTGGAAGTCCTGATAAATTATATTACATGTCTGTGCCCACCATCACCACCGCCATCATCATCTTTGAAACTCATAGCTTGTTTCAGAAGAACAACCCATGGGAAAGCATAAAAGCAAACATAAACAAATGTCATTAGAAGCTATGGAAGAGGGTTTTGAGCTTGTGTAAGATGTAATTTCGTTATTGTCTAGAGTTGCATGGCTGTTTCTGGGATCAGGGAGTTTCCTAAACAGAATATACCATTGTTAGATGGCAGCATAACTGTGGTTTTCTGCTCGTATTTTGGTATGAAGGTGGATAGCTGTTTCCTGTCATTTTTTTCCCCTTTTTCTCTTCCTTGCCACTTCATTTCATCTAAATAAAAAGAAGCAAAGTTAAGGGTAACATGAAAGAACTACCAACAGCAACCACTTCTGTTAAAGTTCTGTACTTGGCCTATAGAAGTCAAGGAATTCAAAATTTATGTAATTTTTTATTCATGTACATTGTATGTAATTAGTATAGTTTTTCCAGTGCTTTAATGTGAATCACATGAAAAATGTCGTCAAACATTATGAGCACTTCAATATTTGCATTTCCTGTTCTGTGTAGGTAATTTTGTTAATTTGAGGTTAGCCTCACAAGCTTTGAGGGGAGCAGGAAGGGATATGGCCAGGTGGGTTATTTTTCCACACTGTGCTCCTCCAAGCTAATGCAATTTTTTCTCCCTGGGGTGCCTTTCATTCCCTTTGTCATCTTACAGATTCTTACCTTTCCTGTAAAGTTGCACTTCAATGCCAAACTTTCATCTTCTTTACTAAGCCTTTCTTAATGAATCTACATCTCAACATAGGAACTATCGAATTGGAATTTCCTTCTTTCCCTTCCCTTTATCACCCTTTGAAACTGGGGCCTGTTCTTTAGCACTAAATTTAAAGACCCACAAGGGGCGGGGGTGAAGAATTACAAAGTGTATTAGCAAACTGAATGCAACACTATTATTCACCTAGAGTTATTATTTGAGGATTGATTGTTCTTAGTTGATAAGTGAACGCTGAATGACATAGAGAAGTATTAGACAAGGTCTGTTAGATTATCCTCCTTTATAGTGTGGTGGGGAAGCTATAATTTTTACATGAAACTATGTGAGTAATACAAAACAGTAGGTAATAGAGTGCTAATTTTCAGGCATGGACTAAATCAAATTTATAGATCTTAGTACCGAAGGCACATAAAGAGACCATTTGACTTGGCTCTCTAACTCCAAGCAAGAAGATGAGGTGACCCCATTTTACAGTGGGGTAAGTCCCCAAATCAATGACCAAGTAGTAGCAGGAGAGACCATAACTCAGGATTTTATGTTCCTCGTGTAGAACCCTTTCTTCTACACTACCACCAGGCAATTCATTAGCAAATCTTGTTAGTTCTGCCTTCAAAATAGATCCAGATTTTAAACTCTAGTTATTTTTACTACTACAGTTGAGTATCCCTAATTCAAAAATCCAAAATCTGAAATGCACCAAAATCCAAAATTTTTTTAACACCAACACGATTCTCAGAGGAAATGCTTACTGTGTAGCAGGACGAGCTGCAGACAAAACCTCTCAGACACCAAGTTGTAGAAGGAAGGGCTTTATTCAGCTGGGAGCATTGGCAAGCTAATGCCTTAAAATCCGAGCTCCCCAAGTGCACCATTTCTGTCCCTTTTAAGGGCTCACAACACTAAAGATTTCACATGAAAGGGTCGTGATTGATTGAGCAATCTAGGGGATATGTAACAGGGGTTTCATGCACTGGTAGAGAGAAACAGAACAGGGCAGGGAGTTTCACAATGTTCTTCTATACAATGTCTGGAATCTATGAATAACATCGGTTTCTAAGTTATGAGTTGATTTTTAACTACTGGGTTTAGGCCAGGCAGGCCCAGGCCTGGTTTTGGGCCTGGCGCCGGGCTGCCTGTCTTTGATTCCACTTCCTTGTTTTTTCTTAAAACAGGTACTGAGTATAAAACAATATAAAACAATATGAGAGGGTCTCTCTCTTCCCTCAACTGGAGCATTTCAGATCTTGAATTTTCAGATTATGGATGCTCAATTAGTAACAATATAAATGCAAATATTCCCAAATATGAAAAAATCCCAAACCTGAAACACTTCTGGTCTTGAACATTTCTAAGGGATACTAAACCTGGATCAGCAAAATTCAAAGACAGTTTTTATTTCTTCCCCAGACTATTGCAATAGATTCCTATCTGCTTGCTTCCACCTATACCCTATTCCAATAAGCAACTATGTTGATCCTACCATTCCTCTGCTCAAAATCCTTAATGTCTCTTCATCTGACTTGGAATAAGAACCAAAGCCCTTAGAGTGGCCTGCATGGCCCTACTTAACTGGCTGCCTGAACTCATCTCCTGCACCACTGTCCTACACTCTGCCACTCTCTACTCTGGCATACCTCGTGTTCCTTGAAACATGACAATGACGCTCCCACTTTAGATCTTTGCATTTGCTTCCCCTTTACCTAGAATAGTCTTCCTCTAGAAATCTGCATGACTCCTTCATTTCTTTCAGGACTCTGCCCCAATGTCAAAGTGGCCTTTCCTGGCCTCCTTTTGTAAAAGAGCAATCTTTTCTCCCCATCTCAACCCTCTTTGTAACCCCTTCTTTACTTTTTCTTTTTTAAAATTTTAGATTCAGGGGGCACCTGTGCACATTTGTTACATGGGTGTATTATGTGATGGTGAAGTTTGGGGTACAAATGGTCCTGTCACCCAGGTAGTGAGCATAGTACCCAACAGATGGTTTTTCATCCCACACCCCCTTCATTCCCTCCTCTGTTCTAGCAGTCCCCAGTGTCTATTGTTCCCATGTTTATGTCCATGTGTATTCAAAGTTTAGCTCTCACTTGTAGGTGAGAACATGCTGTAATTTGGTTTTCTCTTCCTGTGTTAATTCACTTAGGATAATGACCTCAAACTACATCCATGTTGCTGCAAAGGACACAATATTTTTATGGCTGCATAGTATTTCATGCTGTATATGTACCAAATTTTCTTTATCCAGTCCACCATTGATGGGCATGTAGGTTGATTTCCTGTCTTTGCTGTTGTGAATAATGCAGCCATGAACATAGAAGTGCATGTGTCTTTTTGGTAGAACGATTTATTTTCCTTTGGGTATATACCCAGTAATGGGATTGCTGGAATGAATGATAGTTCAGTTTTAAGTTCCTTGAGAAATCTCCAAACTGCTTTCCACAATGACTGAACTGATTTGCGTTCCCACAAACAGTATATAAGCATTCCCTTGTCTCTGCAGCCTCAACAGCATCTGTTACTTTTCACTTTTTAATAATCACCATTCTGACTGATATGAGATGGCATCTTATTGTGGTTTTGATTTGCATTTCTCTAATGATTAGTGATTTGAGTATTTTTTAATATGTTTGTGAGCCACTTGTACATCTTCTTTTGATAAGCATCTCTTCATCTCCTTTGCCTATTTTTAATTGGATTATTTGGGTTTGCTTGTTTATTTAAGTTCCTTATAGATTCTGGATAGTAGACCTTTATTGAATACATACTTTGTGAATATTTTCTCTAGGCTATTTACTCCATTGTTAATTTATTTTGCTGTGCAGAAGCTCTTTCGTTTAATGAAGTCCCACTTGTCAATTTTTGTTTTTGTCGCAATTGGTTTTGGTGACTTAGCCACAAATTCTTTACCAAAACCATATGGAGAAGGGTATTTCCTACATTTTCTTTAGGACTTTTATAGTTTGAGGTATTACATTTAAATCTTTAATCCATCTTGAGTTGAGTTTTGTATATGGTGAAATGTAGTCCAGATTCATTATTTTGCATATGGTTAGCCAGTTATTCCAGCACCGTTGATTGAATAGGAAGTCGTTTCTACATTGCTTATTTTTGTCAAGTTCATTGAAGATCAGATGGTTATAGCTGTGTGGCTTTATTTCCAGGTTCTCTATTCTGTTACAATGGTCTATAAGTCTGTTTTTGTACCCATACCATGCTGTTTTGGTTACTGTAGCCTTTTAGTGAAGTTGGGTAACATTATGTCTCTGGCGTTGTTCTTTTTGCTTAGGATTGCTTTGGCTAATCGGGCTCCTTTTTGGTTCCATGTGAATTTTAGAATAGTCTTTTCTACTTCCTTGAAAAATGACATTGGTGTTTTGATAGGGATAACACTGAATCTGTAAATTACTTTGGAAAGTGTGGCCATTTTAACAATATTGATTCTTCCAATCAATGAGCATGGAATATTTTTCTATTTATTTGTGTAATTTCATTACTTTCAGCAGTATTTTGTAATTCCTCTTATAGATGTATTTTACCCTCCTTGGTTAGATATATTCCTAGGTATTTATTTTTTATGGCTATTATAAATGTGATTGTGTTCTTGATTTGGCTTTCAGCTAGAATGTTATTGGTGTATTGAAATGCCACCGATTTCTGTATATTGATTTTGTATCCTGAAACTTTACTGAGATCAATTATCAGTTCCAGGAGCCTTTTGGGTTTTCTATGCATAAAATTATATCATCAGCAAAGAGAAATAGGTTGATTTCTTCTTCTCTTATTTGGATGCCTTTTATTTCTTTGTCTTGCCTGATTGCTCTAGCTGGGACTTCCAATACCATGTTGAATAGAAATGCTAAGAGTGGGCATCCTCGTCTTGTTCCAGTTCTCAAGGGGAATGGTTGTAGCTTTTCCGCATTCAATATGATGTTGGCCGTGGATTTGTCATAGATGGCTTTTATTATTTTGATGTATGTGCCTTTGATGCCTAGCCCCTGTTGAGGGTTTTTGCAATTAAACAATGTTGAAATTTATTGAAGGCTTGTTCTGCATCTATTGAGATAATCATATGGTTTTTGTTTTTGATTCTGTTTATGTGGTTAATCACAATTATTGATTTGCATATGTTGAACCAACCTTGCATATCAGGAATAATGCCTACTTGATTGTGGTGAATTAACTTTTTGATGTGCTGCTAAATTTGGTTTGCTAATATTTATTAAAGATTTTTGTGTCTGTGTTCATCAGGGATATTGGCCTGAAGTTTTCTTTTTTCATTGTGTCTCTGCCAGATTTTGGTATCAGGATGGATACTGGCTTCATAAAATGAGTTAGGGAGGAGATCCTCCGCCTTTATTTTTTGGAATAGTTTCAGTATGATTGATACCAGTTCTTCTTTGTACATCTGGTAGAATTTGGCTGTGAATTCATCTGTGTGAGGGCTCCTTTTAGTTGGCAGGCTTTTTATTACTGACTCAACTTCTGAGTTTATTATTGTTCTGTTCAGGCTTTCACTTTCCTCCTGGTTCAATCTTGAGAGGTTGTGTGCTTCTAGGAATTTATCCATTTCCTCTAGATTGTCTACTTTGTGTACATAGAGGTGTTCATAATAGTCCCTGAGGATCTTTTCTATTCTATTCTATTTCTGTGGGATTGGTTTTAATGTCATCTTTGTCTTTCTGATTGTGCTTATTTGAATCTTTTTTTTTCCTTTGTTAATCTAGCTAGATGTTTAACAATCTTTTTTATTCCTTTGAAGAACCAACTCTTGGTTTTATTGATCTTTTGTATGGACTTTTGGGTCTCAGTTTTGTTCAGTTCTTCTCTGACTTAATTATTACTCTTTTTCTTCTAGAAATAATTATTTTTTGTCTTATTTCTCTAGGTGCAATGTTAGCTTATTAATTTGAAATTTTTTAACTACTTAATGAAGGTGTTTAGTGCTACAAACTTTTCTCTTACCACCACTTTAGTGGCATCCCAAGGATTTTGGTAAGTTGTGTTTCCATTTTCATTAGTTTCAAGGAATTTTTTATTTCTGCTTTAATTTCATTGTTCGCTCAAGAGTTATTCAGGAGCAAGTTGTTTAATTTCCATGTTTTTGTGTAGTTCTGAGAGATCTTCTTGGTATTAATTTCTATTTTTATTGTACTGCAGTTCAAGAGTATGCCTGGTATTATTTTGATTTTTTTAAATTTATTGAGACTTGCTCTATGACTCAGCATGTAGTCAATCTTAGAATATGTTCCATGAGCAGATGAGAAAAATGTATATGCTGTGGTTGTTGGGTGGAATGTTCTGCAGATGTCTATTAGGTCCAATTGGTCAAGAATTGCATGTAAGTCTAGACTTTCCTTGTTAGTTAGTTTCCTGCCTCAATGATCTAACACTGTCAGTGGAGTGTTAAAGTCCCCTGCTATTACTGTGTGGCTGTCTAAGTCTTTTCATAGGTCAAGAAGAACTTGTTTTATAAATCTGGGTGGGTGCTCCAATTTGGCTGCATATATATTAGGATAGTTAGGGCTTCTTGTTGAATTGAATCCTTTATCATTATGCAATACTCCTTTTTGTCCTTTCTGATTGTTGACTTAAAGTCTGTTTTATCTGATACAAGAATAGCTACTCCTGTTCTTTTTTGCTTTCTGTTTGCATGTTAGATCTTTATTCATCCCTTTACTTTGAGCCTGTGGATGTTATTACATGTGAGATTGGTTTCTTGAAGACAGCAGACAGTTGGGTCTAGTCATTTTATCCAGCTTGTCACTCTATGCCTTTTAAGTGGGGCATTTAGACCATTCACATTCAGGGTTAGTATTTATATGTGAGATTTTGATCCTGTCATCATGTTATTAGCTTTTTGTTTTGTAAATTTGATCGTGTAATTGCTTTATATTGTCTGTGGGCTATGTGCTTGAGTGACTTTTGTGGTAGCAGGTATCAACCTTTTGTTCCCATGTTTAGCACTCCCTTAAGGACTTCTTATAAGGCTGGTCTGGTAATAACCAATTCCCTTACTGTTTGGTTGTCTGAGAAGGATTGTATCCTCCTTTGCTTATGAAGCTGAGTTTGGTGGGATATGAAATTGTTGGTTGGAATTTCTTTTCTTTGAGGATGCTGAAAAAAGGCTGCAATCTCTTCTGGCTTGTAAGTTTTCTGCTGAAAGGTCTGCTGCTAGCCTGATGGGGTTCCCTTTGTAAATGACCTGACCTTTCTCTCTAGCTGCATTTAAGATTTTTTCTTTTTCATTTACCATGGTGAATCTGATGACTGTGTGCCTTGAGGATGGTTGTCTTACATGGTCTCTCACAGGGGCTCCCTGTATTTCTTGAATTTGCATGTCCACATCCCTAGAGAGATTGGGGAAATTTTCATGGACTCTTTCTTCAAATATGTTTTCCAAGTTGCTTACTCTCTTATCTTCTCTCTCTGGAATGTCAGTGAGTCATAGATTTTGTCTCTTTACATTATCCTGTATGTTTCAGAGGTTTTGTTCATTTAAATTTTTTTTCCTTTAGTTTTGTCTGAGTTGATTTGAAGAGTCAGTCTTCAAACTGAGAGTTTCCTCAGCTTGGTTTACTCTGCTGTTAGTGGTTCTGATTATATTATGAAATTCTTCTGGTGAATTCTTCAATTCTAGAAGTTAAGTTTGGTTCTTTCATAAAATGGCTACTTTATCTTTCAGTTCTTGGATCATTTTACTGGATTCCTTGGATTGGGTTTCAACTTTCTCCTGGATCTCAATGAGTTTCCTTGCCATCAAGATTCTGAATTCTGTGTCTGTCATTTCAGTCATTTCAATCTGATTAAGAACCATTTGGGGGTTGGGGTGGCTATTATATTCTTTTGGAGGTAAGGAGACACTCTGGCTTTTTGAATTGCCAGAATTCTTGTGCTGATTCTTTCTCATCTGAGAGGGCTTGTCTTTCTTTGTTTGTGACGTAAGATGAGTATAGTCAGTTGGCTTCATTTCTGGGTGCTTTCAGAGGGCAAAGGCTCTTAACAAGATCTTTATTTGTGTCTAGATTTTTGCCTTAGGTTTCACAGGCGCTATATACGGGCGAAATATTTTTAGTGTTGTAATTTGGATTACCATCCAGTAGATGGCGCCTGAGAGCGATGGCCGATAGATAAGCCCTTAGCCACCGGGCTCTTTTGTATTTCAGCGCATTGTCGATAGTGCTCTGTGATAGAGGGTGAGAGAGGTGATCCCTTTACCAGGTCCATTCCTGGGCCTTGGAAGAGCCCCTTCTGATCGGTGGTACTGTGCCCACGTTTCCTTTGCCAGGTGTTCTGAGCCATGGCGCTGCCTCAAGCAGATTCCCTGGCTGGCAAACAGGCTACACCCTTCTTGGACTGGCCCTGCAGAAGAAGGTAGGCCCTGCTTCCCTGCCAGCCCACAAACCCAGGCATCTCACCCCATTCAGTGTTCTGAGAGTGGGGGCTCTTCTCCTGCTTGGGCAGTGGGGGTGGGTGGAATCACCCGGTCCACCATCTGGGTGTTTACCAGGGTAACACAGTTGTGCCCACTGGCAGAGTTTAATCAGGGTCCCAGCCACTGTACTGAAAGCCCAAGCAAGTTTTGCCTGGCTAGGAGCAGCTGAGATGGGTAGAGTCATCTGGTCTGCCATCTGGGTGCCTACCAGGGTAACAAAGAGCTGTACCCACCAGCAGAGTTCAAGCAGTGGCAGAGTTGCTGCCCTGGAAGCCCGAGCCAGCGAGTCCCACTCTACTAGAAGCAGCAGGGGTGGGTGGAGTCAGCCATCTCACCTTTTCCCCAGCCAACATAGAGCTGAGCCTACCCACAGTGTTCAGACAAGGGCAAGGTCACCGTGCTGGAAGTGGGAGCCGAGCTTTGTCTGACAAAGAGGAATGGATCAGTCTGACTGTTCCCTGGCACCATGACTGTGACCACTACTGGCGTTATGGTAGCTGGTGCCAGGCTGCTCAAGGATCCAAGGCCTGTGGGGCTCCCCGTGGTCTTGAGTGGTACCTCTACAAAAATCTGGGTGGCTCTCTGTATCAGTCTAGAGGCCCATGGGGTTCAGGAAAGTTCTCCTGTTCCCAAGATTGCACAGGTCCTTGTGGGAACTGTGATCACCTGGTGGTTGTTACGTTCTCATTCTTTCCCCATATTAGGGAGCATCTCCTGGCTCTGCACTAGTCCAGGGCAGGCGGCTCCTCAGCTTCAGTCTTCTCTGTTCTTCCTGTGTCCCCTTGCTCCCTTGTTGGATCCCAACATGTTTTCTTAAAAGAGCCACTTGAAGAGTCACTATTTACCACTTTGTTTCCTCTCTGTGAGAGTGGCACATACTAGCCACTTCTAGTCAGCCCTAGAACCCTCTAGCCCTATTTTTTTTCTTATAGCACTTATCCTCAATATGAGTCCCTTATTAGGTTTTTTTCACCCTTCTAGAATATAAGTTCCATGAGAGCAGAGTTCCCTTCTAGAATCTAAGTTCCTTCTAGAATATAAGTTCCATGTCTCTTATTCACTGCTCTATCCCAAGTACCTAGAACAGTGCCTGGTACATAGCAGATACTTGGTAGTGATTGTTGAATGAGGGAACTAAAGGAAGATTGGTGAAGACTGGGGGCCTAATCAAACTGATTTTCGTTATGCCCAGAACATGTTTTGTGTTTTCGTGGAATGGCTAACCCTCATACCCCTGCCCTTATGTGTGTTCATCCTTTGTGACCCATATTAAGTCTTACTTCCCCTATAAATATTAAATGACCTTCATCTATTTCTAAACTCTTGTGGTCCTATCATGTCCTATCTTGGTCTCATCAAGTTGTTCTTTATTGTTTTTTAAATCTTTCTAAATTTATTATATAGGCTTGTATTATTTCCCTAAATAGATCTCTGTTTGTTTAATGCAAGTCAAACAGTATTTTTTGAGCTATACTGTTCAAGCATGTATTAGATGCTGATTATCCAAAACTTCTATGAGTTCCTAGCTGTAAAATAAGAGGAGGTTGGACTAGACTAGACATTGTTTTCTCAAAGTGCATTCTAAGGAAAATTCCACAGCATGACAATTGTTCATTTTAGGTTCAGTGGTACATGTGCAGGTTTGTTATTAGGTAAACTCATGTCACAGGGGTTTGTTGTACAGATTATTTCATCACCCAGGTACTAAGCCCAGTACTCAATGGTTATTTTTCTGATCCTCTGCCTCCTCCCATCCTTCACTCTCAACTATATCCCAGTGTCTGTTCCCCTCTTTGTGTCCATGTGGTCTCATCATTTAGCTCCCACTTATAAGTGAGAACATGCAGTATTTGGTTTTCTGTTCCTGTGTTTGTTTGCTAAGGATGATGGCCTTCAGCTCCATCCATGTTCCTGTAAAGGACATAATCTCATTCTTTTTTATGGCTTCATAGTATTATTAAATATATTTGTGAAACCCTAGATTAATTCATGTATGTTCACTGTGGTCTTCTCAGTCTAATGTGTACTGTCAGTTTCCGGGGGGGCACCCTTTGGGATGAGTGTTCCATGAACATACTTTGGAAAAATGCTACAACAAATGGTCGTTAAGATTCCTTCCATTTTGGCCAGGCACAGTGGCTCATGCCTGTAATCCTGGCACTCTGGGAAGCCGAGGCGGGCAGATCATGAGGTCAGGAGATCGAGACCATCCTGGCCAACATGGTGAAACCCTGTCTCTACTAAAATACAAAAAATTAGCCGGGCATGGTGGCACGCGCCTGTAGTCCCAGCTACTCAGGAGGCTGAGGCAGGGGAATCGCTTGAACCCAAAAGGCAGAGGTTGCAGTGAGCCAAGACCACTGCACTCCAGCCTGGCGACATAGCAAGACTCCATCTCAATAAAACAAATAAACAAAAAGAAGATTCCTTCCATTTTGAAAAGGCTGAAGTCCTAACTGACTTGCCCAAGGCCACACAGCTGCATAGTGTAAGAGTTTAGACTTAAATTGAGTTCTCTTGGACATTCATTGCACAAGGTCATTTATTTCACCTTTGTCTGTAATAGCAACAAATTAAAAACAACTTAATGTTTAGTAATAGGGAATTGACTAGATAAAAATTATGGTACAGGCTTGTAATGGAATACTAATTCAGATTAAAAAGGGAAAGAGGAAGCTCTTTGTGGACTGATATGAAACAAAGATATATTGTTTAGGTGAAAAAAGGAAAGTTAAGAACAATGTGCATAGAATATTATATAAAAATATGTTTTGGGGAAATATATACTCTGCTTATATGTGCTTAAAGTCACTTATATAAAAGAAACTGATAGCATTTGTTGCTTGCCTCCAAGGAGGGAAATAAAGTCACTAGGACATAGAGATGGGAGGAGACTTTTTACCATATGCTTTTTGTTCCTTTTGATTTCTGAGCCTTGTACATATATTAGCTACTCAGGAACTAAAATTAAATAAACTAAAAGCAATCCTAAGTGATTCTGATGCAACAGAGATTTGGAAACCAGTAAACTATATTTTCTTCTCCAAGACCAGAATCCTTTGGGACTTCATTAGTCCAAGTTTTATCATGCTGCTTCCAGTGACTTTTCTTATGTATCCTTTGAAGGAGATAATTATTTCCCATTACCTTCATCAGCCTCTCTGTCTTCTCAGCCTGCATCGGGCTTGTGATTCCCAGGGGAGCATTAGTGCAGGTTATCCTATGCCAAACAGGCTCATACACCCTGGGAGGAAGGCTGTGTCAGGGCAAGGAGGAGCTAAAGAATGGCTAGCAGTCCAGATTCAAGGTGGGTGTCCTGAGATGTGTCCTGGCCTCTGGTGCCAATTCAGCCTACTCCCTCTTTACATTTTAAATTTCTCCTCTTGAAAATTAGGATAATGGAACCTAACTAGGAAGGTTTTGAGGTTCACTGAGAGTGTAGATGAAAAGGTACTTGGCAAATATAGTGGGTTCCATATAGATGAAAGACAGGGATTCATTGTGAAGAGAAAATTGCTCAAGGGACACCAAATGCCATGACCATATGGTAGCATTGTTGCAAGGTCCCTGGTTCTACCCCCATCCCTCATAAAGGAAACAGAAGGAAAGGAAAGATGAAGGTCATCTTCAAACTCTGAAACTTCATCCTGAGTGTATAAGGGCCATTATGGGAAAGCCAAAGTGCAGAGACACAGCTGATGCCAAGAATTGCCTCCCTGTTCAAATGGGCTCCCTTGCCAGCCCTTTGCCAAAATTTTTCCTATGGCCAGGAGAGGCTATGGCATGCCAGGGGCACCTTTTAAAATCTACGTTTTTAATAGTGGCTAATTTTAAAAGTAGAACTTATAACTATTTTCAGAGGTATGGAAAGGAGCCCCAATAATAAGTTGTATGACCTTGGACCACAATTTCACCTCTCTGGGTTTCTACATCTATAAGTGAGAAGACCTTTATGATCATGTAGTCCCTTCCAGTTCTAAAGTAATAAAACCACCCAACACAACAGGAAAAGGGAAAAAAGAAATCCCAGGCATTTGTATAATTCTGCACTCATAGTGCTAACAAATTTAGAAAATAAATTTGCAATGAGAAGATTGTGCTGAGAATCCCTCAGGGATCAGCTGCCTCTTACTCATTAACACATGACCATTCTTTTCCCCTCATGTGTACTTCTGTTTGATCTGCCCCCCAGCAGCACTTTCTCTCTTCATTCAGACAACAAACAAATAACCAGCCTGGTAGCCAAGAATGAAATCAGTAGCATGCAGAACAGCTTAGTTTTAATGATGCTGCAACCAAAGTTTAATTGAAAAAATAGTTTAACTTTTCCCATCCTTAGCTTATTAATGCCTCACAAGTACTCAGTGAAGTTAGCAATACCAAGTCTCCTAGGGAGAAAAATGCTAATACTCTTGGCATCTATTATCAGCTTTCCTTTCCTCTTCTCTAAGTGAACCCATTGTCCTGTGTAATTTCAATTTCACTCTAACCCAGATTGTCTTTGTTTTCTTTATCTTTCTAATTTTTCATGTGGAAATTTGTTCAAAGAGACTCTTTACTGACTCTTCTGAGGTGAGAGTGATTTCCATCCATAGGACCTTCCTACTGTTACTGTTACCCAGTGGTTTCACTCATAGGTGTGTATGCTCCAAAGAATTGAAAACAGGCATTCAAACAAATATATGTTCATGAATATTCATACAGCAGTACTCACAATAGCTTAAAGGTAGAATCATCCCAAATGTCCATCAACAGATGAATGAATAAATAAAATATATCAATACCATCGAATGTTATTCTGCCATAAAAAGAAATGAAATACTGATACATGGTACAATGTGAACGAACTTCAAAAACATTAAGTGAAGGAAGCCAGTCATAAAGGACAACATACTGTAGGATTCCATTTATAGTTGACTCTTAAACAATGTAGTTTGAAATGTTCAGGTTCATTTATACGTGGATTTTTTTTCAACCAAATGTGGATGGAAAATTACTGGGATGCAGAACCTGAGTGTACAGAGGCCTGACTTTTTTGTTTACACAGGGTCAACAGGGCAGACTGCAAGACCTGACTATGTGTGGATTTTGGTAACATGGAGGTCCTGGAACCAATCCCCCACATATACTGAGGGATGAATGTATATTAAATATCAAGAATAGGTAAATCCATAGAGACAAAAAAAATGATTAGTAGTTTCCAGGTTCTATAGGGAGGTGGGAAATGGTGAGTGACTGCTTAATGGATATAGGATTTCCTTTTAGGGTAATGAAAATATTTTGGAACTAGATAATGATGATGGTTGTACAACTTTGTGAATGTACTAAACGTCACTAAATTGCACTTTAAAATGGTTAATTTTATGTTATGTGGGTTTTATCTCAATTAAAAAAAAAAAAAAAACTCTGCCAGTATCAATCAAGATACATACAAAAGAAACCACAACGATGTAAATCATAGTCAAATTGCTGAAGTCCAAATTTGGCTGTCTAAAAATGTCATTTCATTATCTTCTGGCCCAATAATTTTTGTTGATAAATCAAATATAAGTAATATGGTCACTCTTTTGAAAGTAATGTCTTTTTTCTTTGGCTGTTTTTAGGATTTTTGCTTAATCCATACCTTACATCATATATAAAAGTATTGTGTGAAAGGGAAAACACTGAAGCTTCGGAAGAAAGCATAAAATACTCTTATGACCTTAGGGTAGGCAAAGATTTCTTAAATAGGACATAAAGCTCACCAACCCTAAAAAAAAAAAAGATTGATTAATTGGATTTTATTTCAATCAATGATAGTGATAAATCAAGTCACGAACTGAGAGAAGATATTTACCAATCCTGCCCATCATGGGTTTTTGTATGGCCAGTGGGCCTAACAACATGCTTTATGTCTTTGCAAATGGTTGAAACAAAAACAAAAATAACACCTTGTGATGTGAAAATTATTAATATATGAAATTCAAATTCTAGTATTCACAAATAAAATTTTCTTAGAACACAGCTATGCTCATTCATTTATGAATTATAAATTGCTTTGATATAGCCATAGCAGAGTTGAGTACAGGGAACATCTAGCTCCCAAGGCCTAAATTACTTGTTATCTAGCCCTTTCCAGAAAAAGTCTGTGTACCCCGGGCATGGCGATAGTCCTTCATCGTATCGTTTAGGCCCATACTTTACCCTATAACCCCAAAACTGCCTCCACTTTTCTGATCCTCCCCACCCTCAAACCATATACACTCTGATGGAATGTGCCCTGCAGTGAAGTCCCAGACTTTCTTCTTCATTATGAAGGAAGAGAAAAAACAAAACTTCGTCTGTTCTCATTCCAAAAAATCCCTTAAGTTTGTTATCTGCGAAGTACTCTGTGATCTTTGAGAAAATATGTCCTAAAAATACCAGGTAGTCCTGATTATATTAATTTTTCAACCTTACCAACTATTGGTGCCACTTAAGATGGTCAATTCCAGCCCCAGGAAAACATAAACATATCTAAGAATTATCAGAAAGGGAAATCTATTTACAGCAGACTAAAGTTAATGTCTTTGTGATTCAACCTTAAACTGTATTATACCAAATACAGTATTTTATCTGACAAAGAGTGTTTTTAAACTTAATAAGAGAACAGAGCTTACTGAATCTTTCCCAATATCTTATAATATAAAAAATGGATTTGGGGCCGGGCATGGTGGCTCACGCCTGTAATCCCAGCACTCTGGGAGAGCAAGGCAAGCAGATTGTTTGAGGTCAAGAGTTCGAGACCAGCCCAGTCAACATGGTAAAACCCCATCTCTACTAAAAATACAAAAATTATCTGGGCGTGGTGGCGTGCACCTATAATCCCAGCTACTGGGGCGGGGGGTGTTGAAGCACAAGAATTGCATGAACCAGGAGGTAGAGTTTGCAGTGAGCCGAGATCACACCACTGCACTCCAGCCTGGGTAACAGAGTGGTAACAAAACAAAACAAACAAAAAAAAAGGATTTTGGAGGAAAGAGGGAAGGAACATAAGCAGGATACGAAACTGAAGGTCTTTGCATTGCTTTGTATAAATAAGGGCTAAGTATATAGTTTGGGAATTATTGAATGCTTTTTTTTTTTGCACAGCTTCTCTCAACCTCTCTTCTGGTTACTTTGCTGTCCAATAGCAACATTATTTTTTAAAAACTGAGGAAGGAAGAGTAAATGGAAAATAGGGTTAGAGTAGCAATAAAGTGATGAGAAAATTAGTACTCTAAAAAATGCCCATCAGGCCAGGCATGGTGGCTCATGCCTGTAATCTCAGCACTTTAGGAAGCCAAGATGGGTGGATCAGCTGAGGTCAGGAGTTCAAGACCAGCCTGGCCAATATGGTGAAACCATGTCTCTACCAAAAATACCAAAAATTAGCCGGATGTGGTGGCGGGTGCCTATAATCCCAGCTACTCAGGAGGCTGAGGCAGGAGAATCACTTGAATCCGGGAGACGGAGGTTGCAGTGAGCCAAAATCAGGCCACTGCACTCCAGGCTGGGCAACAGGAGCGAAACTCCATCCCAAAAAAAAAAAAAAAAACCTATCAGCTGATTCTATTCTCTTGTGAGAGATGGGGTATAAGTTTGACTCTATGTTTCATAATGGCCAAAGCAAAGTGGAAAACAAAATCTAGTGTCTATAAGTAAGAAATTAAAGTAAGTTTTCATGAGAAGCATCATTTTCCTGATACTAAGCCTTGATATAAATTCTTATGGTGGGTCCTCATAAAAAAGTCAATTATGTGATGACATGGATGCTGATATCTGGTATAATAGAAATGCTCTTTGTCTGTCTTATTCTCTCAAAGGCATAGAAGCACAACCCACATTAAGGAAGAGGCATGCATAGGGACAGTGCAAAACAGCAATGATTTATCAATCTCATGTATAAATGAAAGTGTAGAAAATCAAACTCAAGGCTGGGCATGGTGGCTCACACCTGTAATCCCAGCACTTTGGGAGGCTGAGGCAAGTGGATCACGAGGTCAGGAGATTGAGACCATCCTGGCTAACACAGTGAAACCCCATCTGTACTAAAATTACAAAGCATTAGCCGGGTGTGGTGGGATGCGCCTGTAGTCCCAGCTACTCAGGAGGTGAGGAAGGAAAATCGCTTAAACCTGGGAGGTAGCAGTTGCAGTGAGCTGAGATTGCGCCATTGCGCTCCAGCCTGGGCAACAGAGCAAGACTCTGTCTCAATTAAAAAAAAAAAAAAAAAACTCAAATAGGAAACTAATGTGAAACCTTTAGGAAAGTCATTTTGTTTTGCTTTTCTCACATGTTGGATTTTATCCTGTTCACATCTGTTGGACAACATTCTACACAATGCAGTTTCACTGACTGAAATATAGTACCTTCATATGTGTTGAGGGGACACCCTATGGTATCATTTCACTGTGTCAAAGAGGAGACCTTGAGTCTTGGATCTGGAAAGGGCCTTAGAAAGCATCTTGATCAAAATGACACATGTGTATCACATGTGCCTTTATTCCTTACTCTCATAACCATGGCAGACCAAAGTAATTGATCATATTAACCTACTAATTGACAATACAAAGTGGAGATTAAGGGTATTTCCCAGCACAACTGCAAAAGGTCAGTGTTGACATGCATGATGAGAATTCCATCAGTGGACTTCTGGTTTCACCTCAAACATGAAAATAGGAAGTTGTTACTTCCTATTTATACAAGAAAAAGCTGAAATTTCATACAAGCAAAAGCTAAACAAACTGACAATCAATGACTTTTCTTGAATGCATCAGAGAATTGATGTTGCAGAGCAAACACCACCCTGAAATCTGGAGAGACAGGTGAATCCACAGTTACCACCAAAATTTGCTTAATAAGAGCAGAAACTGCTGAAGCCATAAGCTGGTATCAGCACTTAAGTGGTAATTCCCATGAATTGCTGGAGAATTCGTATGAACTAATTTGAGCTTAAAAACCTGGGAGCTGCAGTCTTTGGCTCCACACTTTTGTGGGATCCAAAAAAGGTTTCCTAGTAACTGTGTCAGAGAGAGAGAGTAAATCATTGTGAAATATGACCATAGCATTTTCCATAAAAAAAAAAAGCCAACTCTCCAAGCCTTATCCCAGATGAGAAAGGGCATTCCCCACACTCTAGCCCCCTCTAGCCTTTCCGTCTTACATACAGGGGGAAAGCTATGCTACTGGGAAAAAAAGGTGAAGATCATAGCCCAGGGACACAGGTCCACTAAAAGACTGAGATTTAACCATAAAGTTACAGAACACTTCCCTTCTCCCACAACTTACTGCCACACCAGCAGCACAGTAACAGTGAATACAACTGATAGAGTTCACCAGACACAAATTCTCTCTGAAGAGGAGTAACTAGGAAAGCCTAAAGTGAAGAAAAGAGGCATAAACAAGGATACTAGGGGGCTTTGAAGCCTCTGGCATCTACTGATATAGCAAACACAGTCCAACTCCTCGCCCAAAACCTCACGCCAAAGGTCTTTTTCCTCAGTTCCTATTACCTAATTCAGCATGTCAGTTTTCAACAAAAAAAATTAGAAAGTAAGCCAAAAGCAAGAAAAAACACAGTCTGAACAAAGTATCAGAACCAGTCTTATATATGACATAGTTATTAGAATTACTAGATGGAGAATTTAACTATGATTAATACATTAAGTGCTCTAATGGAAGTAGACAACATGCAAAAATACATGGTTAATATAAGTAGAGAGATAGAAACTACAATGGAATCAAAAGGAAATGATAGAAATAAAAAACATTGTCACAAAAATGAAGAATGCCTTTAGTAGGCTCATCAGTAGACTGGATACAGCTGATGAAAGAATTGGTGAGCTTGAGGATAGGTCAATAGAAATTGCCCAAACTGAAATTCAGAAAGGTAAAAGAATGAAAACAACAGAATAGCCAAGAAATGTGCGACAATTTCAAAATGTGTAATGTACACATAATTAGAATAGCAGAAGGAGAAGAAGGAGAAAACAGAGCAGAAGAATAATGGAAAATAATGGCTTGAAGTAATTCAAGTGTTGAAGTAATAATAGCAGAGAACTTTCTGAAATTAATGACAGCTGTAAGACCACAGATCCAGGAAGCTCAGGGAACACTGAGCAGGATAAATTCCAAGAAAACTACAACCAGGCATATTATAGAACTAAAGAAAAAAGAGAAAATCTTGAAAAACAATAGGAAAACAATACCTTACCTAAAGAGGAACAAGGCAATGAAGTGCATTGATATGAAGCAATGTGAACAAGGATCTGAAGTATCATAAGAAACAATGCAAGCATGAAAATAGTGGAGTGAAATCATTAAAATGTTGAAAAAAAAAAAACTAGAGTTCTTTATCCATGAAAAGTGAAAGAGAAATAAAGACTTTCTCAGACAAACAAAAACTGAGGGAATTTATCACCAGCAGACTTTCCCTGCATGAGAGATTGATAGAAGCTTTTCAGGTAGAAAGAATGTGATATAGATCAGAAATGCAAGTCTACAAAAGGAAAGGAAGAGTGTCAGGGAAGGAATAAATGAAGGTAAAATAAAAATTTTATTTTCCTTATTTTAATTTGTCTAAAAGATAACTGTTTAAAGTAATAATAGCCACAATGTACTGGGTTATTATAGCATATATATAAGGGAAATGAATGATAGAAATGAAGGGTGGGATAAATTTAGGATACTCTATTATTACCTGTACTGCATATGAAGCAGTATGGGGTTATTTGAAGATACACCGAGATTCATTAAAAATGTATATTGGAAATTCTAGGGCAACCACATAAAATGTTTTAGAAAGAAATATAATAGTATACTAAGAGAGGAGATAAAATGTAATTATATAAAATGCTCAATTAAAACCAGAGAAAACAAAAAAAGAAGAGATTAAAAAAAAAACAGATACAAGGAATAGAAAACACTTAGAGCATAATAGATATTAATCCTAACTATATCAATCATCATTCTAAATGTGAATAGCCTAAATATACCAATTAAAAGACAAAGATTGTCAGGGAGGATATAAAAACAAACTTAACCATATGTTGCCTACAATAAACCCAATTTAAACATAAAGACTCAGATAGGTTAAAAGTAAAGAGAGAAGTACACCATGCACACACAAATCAAAGGATGGCTGAAGCAGCTATGTTTCAGACAAAGCAGACCTCAGAACAAGGACAATTAACAGGGATAAAGAGCACCATTACATAATGATATATAGATTAATTCTCCAAGAATTATCCTAAACATGTATGCATCTAACAACAGAGTGTCAAAATATGTGAGGCAAAAACTGGTAGAATCCAATTAGTTATTAGCCATCCTTGATCTAGGCTTAAAAACCTAGGTAGATGAAAGAAGACAAAAGAAGCTAAGTGACTTGCTTAAGGTGACAAGACTAATGATTGGAAAACCAGCTCTCCTAGCTCCTTGTCCAGATTGCTATCTAGTAGGTAAAAATTTTGTTTGAATAATTATTATCTTAGTTAATGCAAATTCAGACAGGATTAATAACCACTGGGTAAGAGAGAAAGAGTCCATGTCACATTTTAGCCAAGATACCATTTAATTAAGCCTAGGCTTTGTGTGGAGAAGGCTGAACAGATGAAGGTCTCCAAAGACCAGTCATGTAGACCTTGTAGTTTTGCCAAGAAGGGTTGCACTGCCTGGAGAATGGAAGTGGAGGTTAAGCCTTGGTTTGCCACTCAAGTGACAGAACTCAGGGGATTTGGAGTAGGTGCTAGATAGTGGGAGATTGGGAATGGGCAGGGGGTAAAAACTGCTCTGTTGTGTTTCACTGACCAAGGTAGGATTGGACAAGTGGTGGTATAAAGCTAGTGAATCATGGGAGGTCACTTTAGGGACTTGGTGATTGAAAAAAGCAGATGGCTGAAAGGGTATATGTGGGACTGGTTGTTGAATCATGAGGCTTAGTAGGATACACAGATGTAAAGAACAGAGGCAGAGACGATGAGTTGGCTTGGGGGAACCAAAAGATCCCCAATGCACTATGTTGGTGTTTCCTTCCTCATCTGGCTCTTACCTTCCTATTCCCTATTTTCCTTTTGTTCTGTGTATATACTTGCTTCTACTTTAATTGTCTAAAATATGTGATGAGAATATATTAAATGAAATTTTACCTTTTTTGATCTTAATTTAGAAAGTGAACTATCATTGTTTCTTTCAAGGAGCAGTTGCTTTTTATTTCTGTCTTTAACTTTTAAAAATGGAACTATTTCTGGCCGAGCGTGGTGGCTCACACATGTAATCCCAGCACTTTGGGAAGCCGAGGCAGGTGGATCACCTGAGGTCAGGAGTTTGAGACCAGCCTGACCAACATGGTGAAACCTGTCTCTACCAAAAATACAAAAATCGGCCAGGCATGGTTGCAGGTGCCTGTAATCCCAGCCACTCGGGAGGCTGAGGCAGAGAATTGCTTGAACCCAGTAGGCGGAGGTTGCAGTGAGCCAAAATCACACCACTGCACTCCAGCCTGGGTGACAGAGCGAGACTCCATCTCAAGAAAAAAAAAAAAAAGGAACTAGTTCTTTAAAGGGGATCTACCCTTCTACTTAACATGACTTCAAAATGATAGCAGTCATCTTTCTTTCTCTTTGTGTTCAAACCAAATCTTTCCTCAATCACAGAGAAGAAGATAACATGCTGATATTTCCCTAATTCTCAGACTCTTTTTGGTTAGATAACCAAAGTGAATTTGTAGGAGATTGGAGGGAAAAAAAATACGATATTTTAGGGTACCGTTTCTTAAAATTCCTTGAAATTTTTTAAAAGAAAGGATGGTAAAGAAACATTTTGTTACGGAGGGACATGTGAAATTTTACCTTAGAATTATGACATTAGAATTCCTATTAGCTGAATAAATTTAACTGAGTCATCTATCAGTTTCAAATATTATATATTCTGAGCACTAGTTCAAGGAACTTAAATTTTATTTCCTGGTCCTGATGTGATTTGCATCATATAGAACTGACTGTCTCTCCCTCTCAATCTCTTTCTGTTTCTTTTAACACACATCTACACACATGCTTGTATGCACACACATATATCATGGTAAATAATGCCTTTAAAGGCTTTATATGGTGAGAGCTAACTTTTCTTTTTAAACAGAGAAGTGACAATTGTCATAAAAAGAATCATAGTGAGGTAAGATTTCCTTTCAGTGCAATATTCTCCACAGTGAGCATCCTTTAAGAAGGTATAGCTCTATGACATTGAATTTGCTGACTGTAAAAGTTAGGTACAGGAACTAAAATATACAGGGTGTTGGTGAGTGTAGGTAGAAAAGCAGTTTGATGTGTGTGTTGGGTTGTCTGGACATAAGAAACATCATGCAGGCTAGAGTTGAACCTCTAGCTTTTGTGATGCATGCAAGTTAGGACATGTGATTTCATATCCTCAGTGAGATACCAAATAATGAGAATGTCTCAATAAATCTACCTCAAACTATTGGCTGTCCCTGAGTGAAAACTAAGGTAGCTAGAAGCCTAATGGAGAATATTCTATGTCATCAAAATGCTGCCTCCTACTGATATGTGACCTTTATTAACTGGCCTCCCTTCCAACATTCTAGATTCCATGTCCTTTTTGGTCATTAGTAATCACCTTGGTCACTGTGTTTTTACACCAGGCTCAGTATGTCTAAATATAGAAAAATAAGAATAATATCTCCCCTCATCAACTGTTCTTGCATGGGATTAGAATGAAAGTTATTATTCAACCAATCACTGGTAGACACTCAATCAATTCAAACTAGAATTGTAAGTAAGTTCTCCAGGCTAATCTTTTTAATTTTCATACAAGGACAGTTTCTTCTCAAAGGAAAACCTCTTCTATTATGAACTGTTGGTCAAACAGATTGATTGGTATAAAGGTGTTTTGTTGTAATGAATGCCCATATATTAGTTAATATAACACAAATTGTTTTAACAATTAAATCCCCACATTTCAGTGGCCTGGCAATAGAAGTTTGCTTCTCACTAACGTGACAGTCCAATGCTGATGTACCTTGGGGATGGCCTCACATGTGGCCATTCCAGGACCCAGGTATTTACCATTTTGTGGCTTTTCCTCAGAGACTTTTCCATTCAGCTGGCAATGGGGACAGACACTACTAAGAAGACATGGCTTCTTAATTTCTGCTCAAAAGTGAAAAACACCTACATCTACTTTAGCCCTGAAGTGTCACATTATTTCTGCTCACATCGTTTTGGCATTCCCCTGCCTCTACCATGTAAGAGGGGCAAAGAAATGTAGGTTCTGCCTGGGCAGCTGCTTCTTGGCAACAGCTCAGCACTATGGAAGGGAAGCTCAAATTTTGGTAGTCAGTAAACTATCTTTACCCTGTCCCCAGGAGCAAGCTCAGGTGAATGGGATCTGAAGTTCACCTCAGGTGCCCTACCATCTCTCAAGAATCGCAGCCTGAATTGGTTGCTGTTCAGTTCTATCATGGCTGAAACAGGAAGTACTACTGAATTTGGTTTTAACCCAGCATTTCCTAAACTTATTTGACCATGGAGCCCCTTTTTCTTTATATAACAATTACTAAAACACTTTGAAAAACTTTTTTGCAAAGAAAAGAATAGAGTTTTACCACCTCCATGCTTTTACTTATCTACCCCGGTTTTTGCTTTTGTTACTGTTTTGGGTTGGTTTTGTGGTAATTGTTTTGTTTTCTTGAGAAATTTGCACTTAGTTCAATATTGTTTAGATTTGGTTGAAGTAAGCAAGACTAAAGGCAGTTGAAAAACAATTTTACTTGATTACAGGACCAATGAAATAAGCATGGTGCTGTATTGTTGGGACACTTGGCAGATCAAAGTACAAAGGGAAAAGGTTTTGGTGTCTGTTACTTAGTACCTATATGATCTCTGGTTTCCTACTTACTAATACCGTGTGAGCTGTAGTTTCTAATCTGCAAAATAGAGAGTGTTCATGAAGATTAAATGACACTATATGTAAAATAGCTAGCAAATAAGAAGGAACTTAATATATGTAAGACTCCTCCCTTCCTCTTTCTCCTTTCTATTTTCTCCTAGTTAGTAATATACTAACTTAATTATAGTTCAGTTGTGCTATTCTGCCACGAACAATGACAATTACATGAAAAGAGGCCAGGGGAAGGATGTGGCAACAGTATAAGCAACCCCCAATTTACAAACACTGAGTTTTTTAAAATACTGCACATAGATGGTTGGGTTCTGGCAACTTAGATAGACCCTATCATTCCTGTTATTAATGCCTCACAATTTAGATTTACCATGAAGCTAATGAATTAAGCTTCAGACCCCTCTCTTGCATTGATTCCTATGAGTGCTGAGAGTTGTAGGATGTTCTAGGTGGTAAGGGGTAAGGGAATGGGGGCAGGTTGCTATGAGGAAGCATTATGTAAACATTTCTAGTAAATTGCTTGAAGAGCTCTCAGAAGAAAGGAACTTGATTCTCTAAGTTTCTGGGAGTTTGTTGTGATTTATTTTGTCATTTGATATAAATACTTACTTTTGTATCTATTATGTGTTTTGTAGTTTAAAAAATGCTTTCTAATTTTTTTTTTAGAGAGTCTCGTTCTGTCACCCAGGCTGAGTACTGGTGCCATAATAGCTCACTGTAACCTCGAATTCTGTGGCTCAAGTGATCCTCCTGTACCACTACACCCAGCTAATTTTTTTATTTTTTGTAGAGACGAGGGTCTCGCTATGTTGCCCAAGCTGGTCTCAAACTCTTGGCCTCAGGAGATCCTTCCACTTTGGTCTCCCAAAGTGCTGAGACCACAGGCATGAGCCACTGTGCCCAGCCTTGTTTTGTACTTTTGATTTCCTCCTCTTAAAGAGGGCCCCACAACTTGTGTTAAGTTTCAGACCAAAAGCACATGGATCCACTTCTGCCCACAATTCTGGTGCCATCACCTGCTACTATTCTGAAAATTTTTAGAGGTCCCTCCCTAGAGCCTGCTCCAATGGCTGAAGCTGCATATGATTTCCCTACCTCTTTCCTTTCCCAGCTTCCTGTACACCTCTCCTTAACACCGCTAGGATCAAGATGATTTGAGCCTCTGCCCACACTCAGTGCCTCTCCACATACAACTCTGGATATATGGGGAAAAGGGTCTGGGCTTGAGGCGCAGGACCCAAAGTGTGCAAAGAGTTAGGAGAGCAAGAAGATGCAGAAAATGGAGCCCTTGGCATGGCACTTGAGCCTCGGTTGGCTCATTATGGGTTAAGTCATACAGGCACTCATTCTTTCATTAAAGACATTATTTGCCTTTAGTATTGCTCACAACTCTGACCTTTACCTGTACTATTTTTCTATAACATTTTTCCACAGTACAAACTCTTTCTTACTGAACTATGTCCCTTTAGTAGGTTAGATGATTCCTGAATGGAATTATTTGAACTGGTTTAAGAAAGCCAAAGAAACATCTGTATTCTGTAGAACCTTTTTTTGTAACAGTGTTCATTTCATCTAAGCGTTCCTGCCCAAAGCAGTTCTGAAACACAAGATAAGAAGGTTGACCCATTGCAAAGAAGATGAAAACTAATGTAGCCTCAGAAGAAAAGCTTAATGGCAAGTGCTCAGCAGGAGCCCAGGCTGAGGGCCTTTGGAGGAGGGGCAAGTGCAATTTATAAAGCCTAAATACTCAAATCAGCCTTTCTCCAGTGTTTGCTTCGAGGCGGCAGAATAGGTTTTATAGGTGAACAGGGTTTTTCTAATGATTATCCAAGCTTCTCCCCCTTCAGTAGGGAAGGCTCCAATTTTCTGGAATTACCTGCCCAGTCAGCAGGCTGGGTGTTAGAATTCTGAGCAGGCTGCCCCTCCTCCTTGAAACTAGCAGGGAGCAAAATAAGTCCGGAAATTCCTGAGCACTGGGAAGCCCGCACTAATGCAATTACCTGAAATAAAAGAAGGGGTCAGATAATAAAGGGCAAAGGTTTTTCTTTTTAAAGTAAAGGGCCAGGTAAACAAAACCAGCTGCCCCTGGAGCCAACAAACTCTCCTCATTAAATGTTTTAAAAGCCTAATGGGCATAAGTGGCTAATTGTAGTACAATCCTGAAGACTGAATCTAGGGGCCTGATGAAGGGGGTCAGTGGGACGGGAATGGGGTTAAAACTTGGCTGACAGAGACAGGAAGGAGGTGAGCTCTGCTCCTGGCAGAGGACCTCTAAATGGCCAGAATGAAATTAAAATAAGAGTAAGATGCTTTGACTGGGAGTCTGTAATCTTGCTAACAGTATCCCTGTGAGATGGGCTTGGATGTCTCATTTGGAGCAATTTTAAGTTTAAATGCTAGTTGAATAGGATCTGGAGTACAGGTTTATTAAAAAACTAATTAGGGGAAATTTTATGTTTATTTACTATGAAAAACTGGAAGAGTATGCAGCAAAATGTTGCAATGAGCTTCTCTAGGTGTTGTGCTTATTATACTGTAGGTGATTTTCCATTTTCCTATTTCTATTTTGTTCATGTTCATTCTCTAATTCGTCTACAATGAGCATTTAGTTCTTTTGTAATAAAAATAAAGGGCAACACCAAATAAAATAAGATGAAGATTATTGTACTGGAACTAAAATGTAAAATTAAGGGGGACAGGAGAGTTGGTGAATACATTGATAAGTGGTTCCTTTTACTTTGTATAGTCTGCTATCTTTGCCACTTCCCCAGAGATATGCTTGATATGACCTGCCAATCTAGAGGTAGGAATGAATTGCTGGCATTGGGTGAGACAGACCTTTTGATGATGTATTAATACAAAAGTTTCAACTTCATTACCTTTGTGATAGTTCCCAGAAAGGTTATTTCTACACAGCCTTTCTTGGCTTTGGTTTTTAGTGGAACAGCTCGACGACTTGTGGTATGATCTTAAGTGATGCTGAATTTCAAGAGAGCTTGGAGGATGACCATGATATACCTAAAAGTGTCAGTCTAGGTAATTCTAGACCATTCAGCCAGGGTTTTTTTAAAAAAAAAAAAAGAAAAAAGAAAAAAAGAAATCACCATTATCATCATTTTTAGCAATTTATTCTTATAAAATGGTCACCACAGACTACTCCATCTCCTTCATGCCCAAATATAAATGATATATTTATATTGGACCTATCACCACATGCAACTACCATCAGTGAACCAAAGCTCTGTAACTGGGAAGAAGCTTTCAAATAGCCACGGATTGTTGATGCTGAATGTTTTCTTAGAAGCTTCACATTTACAATGGGTAAGTACAGTAAGTTAGTTGTCCAAGCATATCTAAGAAAAAGGTTTAGGCATTGATAAATTCATACCCTATGGGTTTTTCTTTGTTTGTTTGTTTTTGTTTTGTTTTGAGACCTAGTCTTGCTCTGTTGCCCAGGCTGGGGTACAGTGGCACAATCTCGGCTCACTGCAAGCTCCGCCTCCCGGGTTCACGCCATTCTCCTGACTCAGCCTCCGGAGTAGCTGGGACTACAGGCGCCCCCCACCACGCCCCGGCTAATTGTATTTTTAGTAGAGACGGGGTTTCACCATGTTAGCCAGGATGGTCTTGATCTCCTGACCTCATGATCCGCCCGCCTCAGCCTCCCAAAGTGCTGGGATTACAGGCTTGAGCCACCACGCCTGGCCATACCCTATGGTTAAATGATCCCCTCTCTTAAAAGTGATACTGAATTCTGGATGACCAAAGTTCATATTTCCATAGTACAATATAAATGTGGGTTTAAGTTTGCAAATGAAAGTTGCTGAAACTTCTCAGTATAATGTGAGGATTCCTTTGACATTCAAATGTGAATTGGACTCAGACTGAAGTTATTAAAAAGATGCTGTGATCATCAGGCTAGAGGAGGAAGGGGTCCTTAGCTGGGTCAAAGGTAGAGGCAATGCCCAGGGCCATATTTTAGAAGCATTTTGAAGGGTCTCTGACATCTCTGTTAATTTCCCTTATTCTCTTGAAGAGTTCATCTGCAGCCATGGCTTTGGCCATTACTTACAACCTGAAAAAGACCCCCACGTCAACATTTCTTGTCTCAACTTTTCTCTGTACCTCTTTCTTATATCCCCAGCTACGTGGTATATAGTTCTTTCTTGATATTCTGTATATTTTTGATATGTCAGACAGTATCTTTCATCTCTCTAAACAAATTGTATTCCTGTATGACTAACCTACATCTCTTTGGCAACAGTGTTCTCCAAGGCAATCTCTCTTATATGTTGATGGTCATCAGTGACTCCCTTCCTCTCTTTTACCCTCTACAGAAGCTTTATTTGTTCTTCCTTCATCTCTGCTTGCTTTCACTTTTCTTGTTCCCTCCCTTATTTAGACCCAGATCATTTCTTGCCAGCACTATTGAGATAAAATAACTTTATTTATTGGTTTCCATGCCTGTATCTCCTCCCGCTCCAATCCAATTCACAGCCCACGGAAATAGCCCAAGATTACCTGAGAATGATTGGATACAGCTTGTAAGGGTAAAACTGGGGACAAGAATAGGCTAAACTGCTTAAGCCAAGGTTGCTGGATTTCATCTCCCATGTATCACATGAAGGAGCAATTGGACCATTTCTGGGTTCAAGAAGATATAATGCTAGCCATTGAGAGGAAGTAACAGGGATCAGATTTCAGCACCATGTCAGAAGAGCTTTTCGTCAATTAGAGCTGTGATGCAGTGAAGCAGTCCTAGTAGTGTATGACAGTGAATTCTTGTCCCTGGATATGTTCAAGCAAAGCCAGAAAATCACTTCTAAGGGATATTGTAGCAAGCTTACATGCTTTAGGCCAGCTGACCAGTAAGGTCTTTTCAAACTCCAAATTTTTACAACATAATCACAGCCATCTCCATCCCTGCCTCTGCCTCACACCTGCTGGGAATCCAGCATCTGTTCTTGCTGCTCTACACTTTCCTCACTCCAAGTTCTACAGCGGATAGCATGCTCTCCTCCAGAGGGATGCTCCCCTGCCCATCCCATCCCATGGCCTTTCAGTGTAAGTTTCTGCTGCCTTGGGCCCTTAAGTAATCTGAACAGAGTAGATCTGGTTATTGAATAGCTTTTATATGACAGGTCCCGTGCCCAGCATTTTTGCTTATGTGATCAGTACACCAACCCTGTGAAAATATTGTAGATTTGGGTTTTTTAAAACCCACTTTAAAGAAGGGATTGAACCAAGGTTTTCTAACTCCAGATTCTGGGTACTTGAGAAAAGGAAGGAGGAAAAGAATGAAGGGACCCTCAACCATGGGCCACAGATTGGGGTAGGCTAGGGAGGTTCTTCACAGGAAATCCTACCTACTGAAAAATTACATCTGGAATTTTTATCTCAATAGGTATTAAACTATGTGTGTTGCTAACAAAAATTATAAATACTGATGTGTAATGTAGTTACTGGGAACTAATTGAGAAAAGAGGAAAGTGTAATATATTTGATTAAATAATAAAAGAATAATTACAATGCATTACTTGTCAAATTCCTGGTCACCATATAATATAGTAGCAAGTATTCATGTCCTCAAATGTGTGTTAGATTAGCATTGCATAAATTATTTTTAATTTTAACACTACTCTGTCTCAACATGCCTGGCTTTCATGTAGTATGCCATGTATCTGATCTTTTTTTCAAAAATCAGAGGTGCTAATTAAGTATCTGATCTTTTTCCAAAAATCAGAGGTGCTAATGAAGAAGTACTACTATGAACAGGTTATGAGATAGGATAATGGACATGGATATGCCCAGCACTATGTGTTGCACATAATAAATGTTTATTGGATCTGAGTCTGGCATCTATACAAGGGATGAGGCAAAGGACATGTTATTATTTTATTTCCTGATATAAGTAACCATCAAAAATTTTCAAATACATGTACCCCCAGCACAGAAATTCCACTGTTATAGTGTTCTATATTTACACATAACTTAATTAATCAGTCTCCTATTGTTTATAATCCCATCTTTGTGAGGTGACAATTAGGAAGAACTAAAAGTTGTTCAGTCCCTACTGTATGCCAGGAACTTTACATCTGTTAGCTCATTAATTCTCAAGCCTGAGGAGAAGATATATTATCCCCCATTTAAGAATAAAAAAACTGAGGCCCATAGAGACTACGTAACTTGCCCAAGATCATATAGTTATTAATACCAGATCTGGAATTTGAAGTCAGATATTTCTGGCTAAAAGCCAAATTTGCTCCAACATTCCAATGGTTTAAGCACTGGATTCTGTGGAAATGTTGTAAAGTCATAAGTGAGGCCAAAAGGAAAGCTGAGTAGGTAGATCATCTACCACCCTTACCTCAACTAAAGTACCTGCCTTACAATAAAACAAAAATTTAAAAATTAACCATTCCAATACATCACATGTTGGTATGGCAAGTTGACATTGAAAATAATTTTCACATAGTTCTATAATATGTAGTGATGGGTGGCTGCTTCTTAAAAATGAAATAATTTATCATTAGCCAACAACCAAGGATAACTTAGTGGATTGGAAAAGGCACCCAGGAATCACAAGCATTTAGAAATTGATTGAATTCAGAACTTTGCCAAGATGGGGGTAAGGGAAGGTCTGAGGTAACGAAGATCACCTAACCCTGTGTCAGCCTTAGCTTAATCTTCAGCAAAGAGTCTCACAAAGGATATCTCCACAAAGCTGGATGGGCCTGTTTTGGTCAAATATTTACAACATAGTGTCAACAACTTAATATTTCATTTAAGCTAAGAAAAACCAAATCAAAACAAAAACCAATGAGTATCAAGTTGTTACTATTTTAGGAGAGGGCCCTTCCACCTTTGTACATTCATCATTAGTTTGTTCATTCATTCTGGAGGTAGTAGGCAACCACAGCATATTTTGGTAGTAGGTTGACTACAGAGTGTTCGCCCACAGGAATGAGCTGGAGACTCACTCACTACACTAAGTCAGATTTTTGCTTTCGTGTTTATTTTCTTATTTAAAGATATGGAAAAATTTATTAAAATGATTGAGTATTCTTTCAAACCTCTCACATACCTTTATTACTTTAAGGTGGGATTAGTGATGGGCATGGGATGGGTGTTAAATTACTTTCTCAAGGGGAAAAAAAAGTATTCCTCATTATCCAATTTGTATTATGGAATTTCCATCAATTCCAGCAAGTAAGCAATGGGGTTTCACGTGACAAAAGCTGAAAAAAATAACAGTATTAGCCCACAAATAGTGGTGGAAATGGAGAAGATAAAAAGGTTATTATTTGTTTGAAAAGTACCCAGGTTCAAAACCTTTTAGAATATGAGAGCCCGAGTGGAACCCTGGTTTGTTTCCTCGGGCAACAGAGACCTTGGGCTAGAGAAGTGTATTTATAATCCCTTGCTTGAGATTTTATCTGATTCTTATTTTATTTTTATTCCAGTTGCTACATTGATGGCCGGGTGGTCAAGGTGATGGACTTCCTGAAAACTCGCCTGTTAGACACACTCTCTGACCAGATTAGGAAAATTCAGAAAGTGAGTAAAAGTATCCTGGGAAGAAAAGGAGCGATTCTGGGGGTAAGACAAGGAAAAAGACACAAAGTCCCAGCTGGGCATCAGCACTGTGGGAACCAGAGTAGAAAAATAGGAAAATAGTGCAGTCTAGATGGGCATGGTCACAAGCTCCCCATCACAGTTGTTGCCTGTCATTTATTGTTTTTCAAATTGAAAAGGGTCTGTGTGTGCCATATCAAGGTTTAAAGCGTCTCTATTTTTTTTTTAATTAATTTTTTTTTGAGATGGAGGCTTGCTTTGTTGCCCAGGCTGGAGTGCAGTGGCATGATCTCAGCTCACTGCAACCTCTGCCTCCTGGGTTCAAGCGATTTACCTGCCTCAGCTTCCCGAGTAGCTGAGATTACAGGTACAAGCTGCCATGCCCAGCCAATTTTTATATTTTTAGCAGAGATGGCGTTTCACCATGCTGGCCAAGCTGGTCTTGAATTCCTGACCTCGAGTGATCCACCCACCTCAGCCTCTCAAAATGCTGGGATTACCGGTGTGAGCCGCTGTGCCTGACCTAAAGCATGTCTATTTTAATATGAAGTATTTGTTTATAGTTTGCTTCTTGTGAGTTTCATAAGGGAAGAATAGATTTACTTGATATTTTCTTTTTTGGAGGGGTTTATTTTAGGTTACTTTAAGGAGAAAATGATTATATTCATTCAGTGAAATTCCAGTCTGGGCACTGGCAATTCTGAGCCATATTTACACTGTTCCTAGGTGTCTTAGAATTAGCCAAGTAAGATCTTAATTTTGTAAAATTGAGAGGAAAGCTATATTATATTAAGCAATTGCATGTAAGTGCTATCAGCACACCTTTGGTCAGTGATTCTCAGACTTGAGTACTATCAAAATCACCAGTGGTGCTCACTAAAGTTTCTAATTTCACTCCTGTTGTTCTGATTTAATATGGCTGGAGTGGCTCCCAGAGGTCTCTATTTTTAATCATCTGTCAAGTGATTTTCCATAATGCCAATTATGGATCACATTTTGAACTACTGGATTAGTTAATTCTAAATTGTGAGGATCTTACATCTACAATTGCCATGGGCCTCTAAAATATATTATTATCTTTTGTTGCCCAGTTAAGGTTCTTTTCCAGGGAATGGGGACCCTTTGAATAGTTGGCTATTTCTCGAGCGGATTAAACAAATCTTTGCAGAAAAATTATAACAGGTAGGCCCTCAATAAATATGAGATGAATTAATAAATAGACAAATGAATAGCTCATTTATAGCTCTGAAAGGAAATCCTATTTGAATAAATCATAGAACATCAATTTTGAGAGCTAAAGTGGAGGTCTTGACCTTTTTTGTATTCATCCCAATGTCATACTCAGATTATAAACAGCCTCTGGAATTCTCTTGTTCTCAAGAGTTTGATAGGCTGAGAAGCCTCAGAGCTTCTGAACTACTACATCCCAATCTGATCCCTCCAGGGATCAGGTGCATTGGCCAGCACCCTTATCTGTCACTGCCTTCCACTAGGCAAAGCCTAGGAGAACTAAATGATTTGAAATATTTCTACCAGTCCCTGTTTGATATTCATTTGGTGAAAAATATTCACTGAGCATTTAGCAAGTACCTAAGGCAAAGTGTCAGATGCTGGGGATACAAAGTGGTATAAGACATGGTCTCTGCCCTCAAGGTAAAGTAAGTTTTAACACTTACTTTCAGCAGATTGAAAACATATTACCTAATGTAATAGAATGTTAACCTATTGAATACTCTAGCTTTCTAAGCACATTATGCTAATCTGATATTACATATTGCCCTCTAGAAGGAGGGAAGAATTTTCTGTCATTAATTCATTTGTTTATTGCTTCATTCAATAAATATTTATTGAGTGCTTAGTATATTTAGAAACTGTTCTAAGTGTTTATATTACAATAGTGTACAAGATAGTCAAGTTCCTATAGTTTTGGCTTTTCCAGTCTTGAGTTTGATCAAAGGGCTGTTGTTGGAAGTAAAATGATTCAGTTCTATCAAGGCACTGAGAGTGAAGGTTCTAACTGTGCTCATGTTATTATTTAAGTATAGCAAGTGGCTGTAGGTTAGAACTAAGACAAAGGTGTTGGAAGTTAGGTTCTTTCCTTTATCCCCACTTCCCATTACCGTCCCGCACTGCATATGCCTTAACCATATAAACCAGTTTGAAAACTGAAATAACTTACTTCCTGATTTATCCAGGGCCCAAGAAACTTAAGGAAAAGAGCTAAAACTCTGCGTGCAATTGGTATTCAGATCTTTAAAAACAAACCTAATGGACTTAGAAGGGGAAGGGGAAGTGCTGTCACTGGGAGGAACAGTAGAGCCCCTGAGAGATGACCTATATGCAGAAAGCAACTGGCAGGGAGGGCTAGGCTTAGCAGCAGGGTCTGAACTTACCTTTTGGCAATTGCAAACAGAACATGCCCAGGGTCCCCTCAAGCCAGGGCTCCTATTCTGATTATCTCTTGCTGTGCAACAAATTACCCCAAAACTTAGTAGCATAAAACAGCCATTTATTAAGCCAATGCATTGTATGGGTCAGGAATTCTCAAAGGGTACAGAGGGAATGGTTTGTCTCTGCTCCATGATATCTGAAGCTTGAGCTAAAAGACCTAAAGGCAGGGATTACTGAAAGGTTAGTATCTGGGACCATCAGAAGGCTTGTTCACTCCCGTCTCTGACACGTGATGCTGTATCACTTTTCCTAACCTACCCTCAGAAGTCACATGGCATCACATTAGCCATATCCTGTTCATTGAAGTAGTCGCCAAGACCCACCAAGCTTCAGGGCGAAAAGAAATAAACTCCTCCTTTCAATGCGGGAGTGGCAAGATTCTGGAAAAGCATGTAAGACCAGAAATGTTTTTGCAGTCATTTTTGGAAAATATGATCTTCCACAGTTTCATCCTCCCTGTTTCATTTAGTAGGCTTTAAGTCATTTCCCTGTTTTTTTCCCCTGATTCTCTTTTACAAAGCTCTTGCCAGATATTACCTTAAGTGAGTATACGCTAGAGGTGTTGCTGGATAACAGATTCCCTGAGATTTGAACCACTGGATAGACTTCTCATTGGCTAAAGCAGTCTGGACCCAGTCGTTAGGGCCTCCAAGAGGAGAGTCTCTCTCACCACAACCCAAGGTGTGCTAAGCACTGGACTTCCCTGGGGACATGAGAGCTAGGAGACTAGACAAGGATCCCCAAACTTTGATTGTTGAAATGTTGCTTTGACTGTTCCTGAAGTCCCTGGTGGGTGGGGAGGAGGGTTCTTGGGAATTAGGGTCCAAAGTGCAAACTAGGGCCCACTAGCCAAATGGCTTTCTTGCAAGTTCCTCAAACCATTTCAGAGATGGGCCAAGTTAGGTTTTATGTTTTTTTAATTTTTAATTTTTTGTGACAGAGTCTCGCTCTGTCACCCAGGTTGGAGTGCAGTGGCGCAATCTCAGCTCACTGCAAGCTCCGCCTCCCGGGTTCACACCTTTCTCCTGCCGCAGCCTCCCGAGTAGCTGGGACTACAGGCGCCCGCCACCACTCCCGGCTGATTTTTTGTATTTTTAGTAGAGATGGGGTTTCACCGTGTTAGCCAGGATGGTCTTAATCTCCTGACCTCGTCATCTGCCCGCCTCAGCCTCCCAAAGTGCTGGGATTACAGGCGTGAGCCACTGCACCCAGCCTTTTTTTTTTTTTTTTTTTTTTTTTTGAGATGGGTCTCACTTTGTCACCCAGGTTGGAGTGCAGTGGCAGGATCTCAGCTCACTGAACCTCAGCCTCCCAGGCTCAAGCAATCCTTCCACCTCAGCTTCCCGGGTAGCTGGGACTACAGGCTCATGCCACCACAACTGGCTGATTTTTGTATTTTTGGCAGAGACAAGGGTTTCACCATGTTGTCCAGGCTTGTCTTGAACTCTTGAGCTCAGGCAATCCACCCGCCTTGGCCTCCCAAAGTGCTGGGATTATAAGTGTGAGCCACCGTGCCTGGCCTTCCAAGTAAGGTTTTACTGTCTATATACCTAGAACCTTCACCCCAAAGCTAGAAATGTACTTTGTTTCTTCTCTCTTTGTAGAAGTGAAGTCCTAAGGACCCCATTAGGCCCACAGTGGTAGAAAAGGGGCAGATTTTTCACCAAAATGACGCCATGTGGGAGTGGCTTGATAAATCACTGGTAAGGCTGTTTGAATAGGGTATTGGGCCCAGGATTTGAAGTCTGATGGCCTGGCTTAAGTATAGCTGTGTGGCTTTGGGCCAGTCACTTACTTGATTTCTCTGATGTTGTCTCTTTGTTTGTAAAATGAAGATGCTAAGGATACTATTCTCCCTCCCTCTTAGGTAGATTAGGAAAGTCATGTGAGAAAGCCCTGTTTTGTTCATTGTTATTGAATGCTAGTTCTTATTGCTATTATTATTGTTGTTATAGTTATTATAGCTATTTTTAATAATTTCTGTGACTAGAGAAGCTTTACATTACCTTTATCCTCAACTTGTTCTTTGCTTTTTCTCCTCTTTCCTCTTTTTTTTGAACTCTGGGGAATATGATAGGTGATATTTTTGGCACCTGAAAGACAATGACTCAATTGCTAAAAACAGCTGTGGTTTGCAAATTTGGATTGCCACTTAGAGAAGAATTCTCAGTTTTCTGAGCAGTGGGTGAATTATCTGGTTATATGAAAATCTACATGATGCATTTGAAAGCCAAATAGAGACATGTTTGAGCAGTGTGTGGACAACTCACCCCTTTGGATGATCCACACACTCTTTCCCTTTCATTAGAATGATGATGATCATGTGTACATTGGGAGATGAGTCAAAGGAAAGAGTTGATAATCTAAAAATACAGGGAAGAGTCAGATGGGAAATTGAGAAAGTTCAGGACACAGTGCAGATGGTATAGTCTGGATAGCTGGGCTGACTCCAAAACAATGACTTAAGAACCCAGAAGAACCACTTTGGCTGAAGTCATTTGGACTCTGTGATTTGTGTCTTCATCTCCTAGAGGAATCAGAAGAGGAAATAACACTTTTTGATATTATTTTCAGTAATTCAATAAGCACAGAAAGGAGTTGGTGAAATCCCAGTCATAAAGGAAGTGTTTCCAAAAGTACTGTCCATATTATTGCATTTTGAATACTAACTAAACTCAACAATTGGCTTCCCCAATATTTGAAAAATTTCTTCCTTTCTTCCTTCCTTTTTCCTAAAATTATTTTTAATTGACATATAATAATTGTACATACTTATGGGGTACAGAATGATATTGCAATACGTGTATACAATGTGTAATGATCAAACTAGGATAACTTGGCTGGGCACAGTGGCTCATGCCTGTAATCCCAGCACTTTGGGAGGCTGAGGCAGGCAGATCACCTGAGGTCAGGAGTTTGAGACCAGCCTGGCCAACATGGTGAAACCCCGTCTCTACTAAAAATACAAAAATCAGCCGGGCATGGTGGCAGGCACATGTAATCCCAGCTACTCAGGTGGCTGAGGCAGGAGAATCACTTGAACCCAGGAGGCGGAGGTTGCAGTGAGCCAAGACCACGCCATTGCACTCCAGTCTGGGCAACAGAGCGAGACTCTGTTTCAAAAAAAAAACAAAAAAAAAAACAGGATAATTCACACATTTATCACTTCAAACATTTATCATTTCTTTGTGTTGGGAACATTCGAAATCTTCTAGCCATTAGAAATTGTACAATAAATTATGTTAATTATAATCACCCTACAGTGCTATCATACACTAGAATGTATTCCTTTTATCTGGCTGTAATTTTGGATTTGTTCACCAGCCTCTTCTATCTCCACTCCCCACCCTTCCTAGCTTTTAGTAACCACTGTTTTACTCTCTACTTTTATGCGATCAAATTTCTTAGCTTCCACATATGAACAAGAACATATGTGGTATTTATCTTTCTATGCCTCACTTATTTCACCTAAACAAATGTCCTCCAGGCTCATTCATGTTGCCTCAAATGACAAGATCCCATTCTTTTTTTATGGCTCAATAGTATTCCGCAAATATATATGCCAGTTTATCCATTCTTTTTTTTTTTTTTTTCATGAGATGGGGTCTTGTTCTTTTGCCTAGGCTGGAGTGCAGTAATGCAATTATAGCTCACTGCAGCCTTAAATTCCTGGGCTCAAGCGCTCCTCCTGCTTCAGCCTCCCAAGTAGCTGAAACTACAAGCCCACGCTACCACACCTGGCTAATTTTTTAATTTTTTTGTAGAGACAAGGTCTTGCTGTGTTGACCAGGGTGGCCTCAAACTTCTGGTCTCAAGTGACTCTCCTGCCCCAGCCACCCAAAGTGCAGGGATTACATACCTAAGCCACCACACCTGGCTCCGTTCATCTGTTGATGGAGACAGGTTGATTTCATAACTTGACTATTGTGAATAGTACTGCAGTGAGCATGAGAGTGCAGGTATCTCTTTGGCATACTTATTTTCTTGTGGATACATACCCTGTACTGGGATTACTGGATCATACAGTAGTTATATTTCTAGCTTTTTGAGGAACTTCCATACTGTTTTCCATAATGGATGTCCAAATTTACATTCCCACCAACAGTATGTAACAGTTCTCTTTTCTCCATACCTCACAGCATTTCTTACTATCTTCTTTATAGTAGTCATTCTATTTGCCTTCATTTCCTTCTTTCTTCCCTTCCTTCCTTCATTTATTGACTATTTGTAACATTCTTAGAATTTTCCAGGTCCCTGAGAATAAAATGGTGAGCAAGACTGACGTGATGCTTGTCTTCATAGACTTTATGGTCCAGTGGGGAAAACTGATAATTAAGCAAGCAACAGTAATAAGATGTTATGATTCCTATTACAGGGTGCTCTAGGAGTCCATGGTGGGAAGTACCCACCTTAGTTTGTGAGGGAAAGGAAATCAGGGAAGTCCTCTCAGAGAAAGTGACATTGAGGCTAACACCTAAAAGTTAGACTCTCTAATTTATACAGTTCTTCTTAGGGTATGATCAGAGAACCACTCGTGGTAGACATGTATGGATAAAGGAATGGTTTGTATGGTTCGTCATATGAGCATGATTATTCATTTGTTATCATTGCTTATGACTGTTTATATTTAATAAAGATCAACTCTTTTGAAGTCTCAATAAATGTAGTGACATTATGCCACTTCTTCCAATATATTGTAGTTGCAGGACCATGGAAGTAAGGAAGAAGGACATGTAATTTCTTTGAAGTAATTAATAGATTTTAAAAGAAATTCTTGCTTTTAACCAGCTTTCCAGTTTACCTGCTTATTTGATCCTCTTAGTAAATAAGAAGAAAAGAGCAAAACAAACAAACAAAAACCCACTTCTTCTTGAGCACCATAGAATAACTCGAGGCACAATTAAAGGAAACATGAGGACAATGATAATATTAGTCTTCTCTAATGGAGAAAACTGGAAAATGAAAACACATTACTAGGGTAAGAACAGTAGTATCACCACAAAAATCAGTATTTGTTTGATTAATTCATTAATTCCCTCATTCATTTGGCAATATTGACTGCTTATTTCAATGTCCCAGTGCCTATCACATAGCAGGTGCTCAATACATGTTGGAGGGAAGGATGCACAAAGCGAGGGGCAGGTGAATGAGCAGAATAAAGCACCTGAAGTATAAAAGAAGTAATGTCTTATCTCATTCACATTTATATGTGCTGTCTTTGCTGTTCACACTGCAGAAGAAACTTATCTGCTGCTAACTTTGTGGTAGTGTTGAATAGATGGAAATCAGTTTAGACAGCCCTATGAGCTATGCCTATGTATAGACATAGTAGGAAAGTATCTTCAGTGTATCTATTTAGGAGTGATGGAAAAGTCTTTTTGTGGCCCCGAATAATATTTCAGTCTGTTTGTTTCAGACATTTCATTTGAGTGAACAATCTTTCATTCTACATTAGGATGATGATGAAGAATGTAAGCAATCTGGGAAGAGGTAGACTACACTGGCTTAAATTCACACTAAGGCTTTAAAGGTAAATAGAAGATCCTTTCCCAAGAGCAGGTTTTGATGGAGGGGAAGAGAAACACGCGCCAAGGAAATACAGTTGGCCCTTGAATAACATGAGGGTTAGAGGCGCTGACTCCCTTGCATAGTCGAAAATTCATTTACAGCTTTTGACTCCCCCAAAACTTAACTGCTAATAGCCTGCTGTTGACCAGAAGCCTTACTGATAACATAACAGAAGACTCACTGATAACATAACATAAGCCTAACTGATAAACATATTTTGTCTGTTACCTGTATCATCTGCTATATTTTTATAATAAAGTAAGCTAGAAGAAAGAAAATGTTATTAAGAAAATCATGGGCTGGGCGTGGCAGCTCACACCTGTAATCTCAGCACTTTGGGAGTCCAAAGCAGGTGAATCATTTGAGCCAGGAGTTCGAGGCCAACCTGGGTAACATTTCAAAACCCCATATCTACACACACACACAAAAAAAGAAAACAAACATTAGCTGGGCATGGTATCACATGCCTGTGATACTAGCTACTTGGGAGGCTGAGGTGGGAGGATTGCTTGAGCCCAGGGAGGTTGAGGCTGCAGTGAGCTGGGATCCTGCCACTGCACTCCAGCCTGGGCAACAAAACAAGACCCTGTTTCCAAAAATAAAAAGGGAATAAAAAGAAAGAAAATAAAATCATAAGAAAGAGAAAATATATTTACTATTTATTAAGTGGAAGCAGATCATCATCATAAAGGTCTTTGTCCTCTTTGTCTTCACATTGAGTAGGATGAGGAGGAGAAAGAGGAGGCGTTGGTCTTGCTGTCTCAGGAATGGCAGAGGCAGAAGAGGTGGGGGAGGTAGAAGGGCAGAAAGGAGAGGCACGTGCACCCAGTGTAACTTCCACTGACGTAAATTAATGTATAAGTGAACTTGCACAGTTCAAACCCATGTCGTTTAAGGGTCACCCGTACTCAGAAGGCACAGGACCCCAGATACAAACTGTACCACATTAATACCTCGGGATAACATCAATGAGTGTTCTGAGTTTTATGGGGCCTGACATTTATACAATGGGGACCTTTATAAGGAAAATAAAACAAGGAAATCTGCAAATTATGTAAATATTTGACCATATGAACACATTAGCAGAGCCCTTCTTAGGATATTGTTAGATGCCTGTGAAAGCAGGGAGCTGGAAATTTAAGCTCCATGAACTTCTCGGTAAATTAGCCTCTGTGACCCCACTTGGCTGTGCATCTGCAAATGGGAGAATATGACCTAAGGGAAACTTTGACTCTTGGCCTTCATATACAAGACATGAAAAATATTATAGTTGGGGAGTCTAACCTGAAAGATATGTTTACCACCAAAGAACACCAAAGTTTTAGTCATTGTCATTCCATGAACCTTAATTTCCTTGATTCTTAGATACAAATATTTCCTTGAATCTTAGAACAAATATTAGAGAATTCACCATTAATTTAATAACAACTGGGAAGGGAGAGGGTAAACAGTAGGCAAGTTTCATTTGATATTGATTTTGAATAATGTCCTGATTTCAAAAGCATTGAATTGTGAAAAATGCATCATTAACTTACAGAAATATAATAATTATATTACCTTTTGGGTTATAAATGCCATTTATTGAGTGCAATATATATTATTAATCTATTAAATAAACCAGTGATTTGCTCAAGCCAACAGAGCTTTTTAAGTAGTAAAATTGGAGTTCAAACTGAGGCTCATCTGACTCTAGAACCAGCACTCTTATCCATTACACTATTCAGTATTGCCCACACTTATCAACTATTTATTTTATAACCCATGTAATATTTATATTCCTAACCACCCAGGATTAGGAAGGCTTTCAAAGGAGAATACTGAATGAATGTTCTTGGTGAAAGAACATCAATTTGACCCCACAGTCAGTTAATAATCTAGGGTGGGTGTCCTGGAAGTGAGGGTTGAATGAACTGAATGGATGAATGAAGTAAGGGTTGAATGAATGAATGAAGTTGAGTATCATGATATTAGGCAAGTGATAGTGGAAGACGACAAGACTTTTTAGAGGGTTATTTGCATTGATCTACTGGATTCCATTCATATGTTTCATATGCACAGGCTCTTGGTCAGTGTTTAGTAAGGTCCTGCTATATGCAAGGCAATGACAATGTGAAGAAGGTATGTGCTACCCATGGACATTTGGAGGAATGGCCCTGGAAGCAAATTGCTGTTTGGGGCAAAAAGCTTCTTCAGGAGGAAGGGGCAACTTAGGATGACCATCCAGTGTTTCAGCATGTAAGTGGGAGGATTATAGGGTTTGTCCTAAGCAAGAGTAAAATTAACAGTGAGGCTGCTGGAACCTATGACTTGTAAGTAGGTAGGGGTTGGTTAGTCACAGAAAAGGACTGGGAAAGAGACGAAGAGTAATTTATGTGCAAGTGGCTACTTTCCAATCTCTCTCTCACTAGCACTTATCCTTGAACGTAGTCATTGCTTTGGGCTCTGTGAAACTTTTCTTTCCCATTTTCTTGCATATGATCATAATGTCCTTGCCTCCCCAGTGACTTTATCTTTTTTGTGTATGTCCTTATTTTAATTTTATGTTTTGTTGCAATTACATTCAACTGCTTTTCTGTGGTTTGAGATAACAAGTGCAGAGAATGGAATTTTAAATCCTAAAAATGTCACAGAAACAGAAGCCGCAAATTAAAAATTGATCTGATACCAAAAGAAAATGGGCAAAGATGGCACTCCAGAACACAATGATAAAAAGAAATTATACAGAAAAAGATTAATGAAACTGACAGGAAGTACATTAGACAGAAGAAATGCATCAAGAGGAATGTGATGAGATACTGGAATGACTGAGCTCAGAATAGCCCAGCTTGTCTAACCTAAGAAGGACATGTTAAATATGGAGGCAGTTTAGCCAACCAGAAGTTGTGGGTCTCCTCAAACAGGAAATTGAATTAGAAAGTGAACAGAGCCCTAAACTGGAACTGTGAGGATTTGGTTTTTGCCCTTGTGATACTGAGATTATTAGTTATCTTCTCTGAAACTTAGCTTTCTCATCAGTAAAATATTATCTCTCTCATTTATTTATAAGTATTTTATAAGCAAAGTAATTGTCAAGCATTCTATAGGGCATGCAAAAAGGAAAAAAAATAGAAAATTACAATTCAGTATAATAAGGTCAAGGTCAGAGGTAGGTCCAAAGAACTTTGGAACCCAGAGGATAAAAGAATTAACTTTCTGAAGTTTTGAGGAAAGTTTCACAGAGGAAATAACATTTGAAATAGGCTTGAAAAAAAAAATCAAAACAATGTGGATGAGAAGTGAGCAGGGGAAAGGTAATCGGTAAAAAAACTATTACGGCCGGGCGTGGTGGCTCACGCCTGTAATCCCAGCACTTTGGGAGGCCAAGGCGGGCGGATCATGAGGTCAGGAGATCGAGACCATCTTGGCTAACATGGTGAAACACCGTCTCTACTAAAAATACAAAAAATTAGTTGGGCGTGGTGGCGGGCGCCTGTAGTCCCAGCTACTGGGGAGGCTGAGGCAGAAGAATGGCGTGAACCTGGGAGGCGGAGCTTGCAGTGAGCCAAGATGGCGCCACTGCACTCCAGCCTGGGTGACAGAGCGAGACTCTGTCTCAAAAACAAAAAAAAAAAAAACAAAAAAAAAAACGATTGCTTCGTGTAGTTGAAAAGTAGGAGTCCTTTCTTTGTAGTGAACCATAGGTCTTCCTCCCACAGGGGAGCAATGGGGGAAGAGGTAGCTAAGGGATGGTTGTGAAAGTCTAAGATAACAAGTTAAATAAAGCAGTTAGCATCTTATCCTGTGGTTCGGTGGTTCTCAACTTTATTTTATCGTGTCTAAAATACTCCCATGGACAAATAGATAAAATAGACTATGGGTTATATGCAATTACTAGCTCCTTAGCTTTTTTTCCCCAGTTAAGGAAACATTTCAGAATTTTGGCGAAATATTGTTATGACAACTTTGAATCCACTCTTTTTGTTTTGAACTAAATTATTCCCAAATCACTGTTTTCAATAGTATCTGAAACAAGTTGCTTGTAGCACATCTCCCAGCTGATCAAACAGACCTCTCTGAGCACAAATAATTGAGTACCACTGCTGGCAGTAGGGAACCACTGAAGGTTCTTAAGCTGAAGAGGGATTTGTCAAGTTAACAAATAGCAGCAGTGTGAAGGATGGACTAGAAGAGGAAAAGATTAGAGGCAGTAAGACCAAGGAACAAATGACAAGATCCAGAACTCAGGGAGGGGCAGTGAGGAAGAAGAGGACAGAGTCAATATCCTCTGCTCTAATGTAGCAAGTAAGTGGAGAGTCAAAAAACACAAAAGAAGGATGGAAAGAAACATGGGAAGGGCACAGAGCTCTCGCCTTGACCACTTATAAATACAATAAGGAACAAAGACTGACAAGAGGCAAGGATGTCCCTAAGAAGAGCTCTGTGTGTAGGTAAGGTTTAAGAAGCTTCCTGTAGCTATTCAGCTCTTTGTAACCAACTCTGTAGAGGACCAGTTTGGGTTACTTAAAGAGCTACTGTTCTTCGTGAAATTCTGGGGAAGGTTGATTTCCAACTAGATGAGATGCTAGAATTAATGGGCTCCAGCTTCATTTGGAGGGTGGGCCTCCTGCCAGGGCTGATTAGCCCAGCTGGCCTGTCCGCTATTCCTGTTTTATTGCTTCCTTTCTCATTAAGGAAGGTGTTGGGTTTGGATAACCATAAACAACATGTCTGCTGCTACAAGGCTACCATTTCTTACACAGCCAGTGGCTGAAGCCAGGCTCTCAAGAGTCTTTTTAAAGGACTTAGATCACAGTTTTAGAGGCAGGATATCAAGGAAACACAGGAAAAGGAAGCCCAAATTTGAAAATGTGCTACATAAATTGCTATTTTCTTATTTTTACTGTTTTTTTTTTCTTTTTTCTTTTTTTAATTCAAAGTGGTAGGGAAAATAAACTAAAAAATCCAGGCTGTTTTCTCTAGTCTCCCCTCTCTTTCTGTCTCCCTATTCCTCCCTCAATATGTCCACATGAAACAGTACTCATAGTCCCCAGCCCTGAAATATGAAGGAATGGAGCTAGAAGGGTTTCCCTTTATACAACTCTGCCTCTAGCAGGCCCAAGGATTCAGAGCAGCCACTGGCCCTTTACTGAGCAATTTTCAGGGTACCTGAAAGCCCCCTTGACCACATGCACCCAAGGATTGAAGTCTATTTGGGAACAGAAGAACAGCTGAAAGGCAGCCAACCACTCAGCTCCCTTTACCTTCACTTAAGTAATTTCAGCATTTGTACGTCTTACTCCCCAGACAGTGTATCCCTTAAAATAACCTTCATTGGCACATCATTTCTCACCAGGAACTGTACCCTTTTTCTTTCCAAAGTACTCCAAGTTTCTCTCTTCTAGCACAGGGAGAATCATGTTTACTACAAAAAACCACAGTGTTGAACTATAGCCCTCAGTTTCTTAGAGTTTTACTTTCTAAGGGAATTTTGCAGCTGGTTCCATCTGTTTCTCCTAATTTTTTTCTCTCCTCTTCTGCCCATGCTGATTTCCTTCCTGGACCCAACCAGCACCCAGCTTCAGTGTCTGTACCTCCACTACATGTCACCATCATGCTCTTCTCTGCTCATGGAAGATACAGAGTTCATAAGCCTCCCACGGTGCCCCAAACAGTAAATACTCAGAAAATATTTGTTGGTTTGTACTGACTACTCCTAGAACCTTTAACATTAATAATTTCTAGAAATATTTCCCCAAAAAACATTTCATATAACTGGTTTAGTTTTTGTATCAAAGTTGTTCCTCACTGTGTATATTTGTTCATGTGGCTTGACAGGAATTACCCCTGTGCTGAGAATGGATAAATGAACTACTCTGAATGATAATTATGTTTGTGTGAGTTATCCATGTGCATTTTAAATTCTAAACTGGCCTTTCCTGCTGCTTAGCATGCATCTGGGCTATTACCTATCACCACAAGTCCTACGTCTGAAGGAAAAACAACCAACTCTGATGTTATTCATTCAAACACAAGCTTATGTGCCTTGGACAAGGAGAGTGGTCTAGGTAATATTTTGGTTTACACCTCTAAGTGCTTACTATATGCCAGACACTACTTCAACTGCTTTATAAATATTATATAATTTAAATATCATAAAATCCTCTAAGGCAGATATGATTCTGATTTTACAGCTGAGAAAATTGAAACACAGACAGGTAATACAACTCATTCAAAGTCATGCAGTAAGTAAATAATAGAACCAGAATTCAAATGCAGGCAATCCATCTCCAGAGTCCATGCCCCTAACTGTTCCTCAATTTTAGATTGTTTCCTTTCAAATCTCCCTGCAAGTCAGAAGAGAATTCTGATTAACTTTTTTATTTTTTATTTTTTAAGAGACTCTCATGCAGGCTGGAGTGCAGTAGTGTGAACAAAACTCACTGCCTCCTGCCTCAGCCTCCTGAGTAGCTGGGACTACAGGCACAAGCCACCATGATTGGCTAATTTTTTGTTTTTCTTTTTTGAGACAAGGAATTTAGCTGTGTTGCCCAGGCTGGTCTCAAACTCCTGGCCTCAAGTGATCCTCCTACCTCAGCCTCCCAAGTAGTAGGGCTACAGGCGTAACTTTTATTTACACAGAGTCTATGTCCTTGAAGGGTCTTGTAGACACAGTATTTTATAAATCCAACCGTTTTCTGGAATCAAGTCCTCACTTAAAGGAGCTAGAGTTTGAACTCCTTTTGAAAAATAATCATCTCGGCCGGGTGCGGTGGCTCATGCCTGTAATCCCAGCACTTTGAGAGGCTGAGGTGGGCGGATCACGACGTCAGGAGATTGAGACCGTCCTGGCTAACACGGTGAAACCCCATCTCTACTAAAAATACAAAAAATTAGCTGGGCGTGGTGGTGGGCACCTGTAGTCTCAGCTACTCAGGAGGCTGAAGCAGGAGAATGGCGTGAACCCAGGAGGGGGAGCTTGCAAGTGAGCCGAGATTGCACCAGTGCACTCCAGCCTGGGCAACAGAGCGAGACTCCGTCTTGAGAAAAAAAAAAAGAAAAATAATATCTCATACAAATCACCCCTCTGAGTTGGGCATGCCACCATCCAACTAAGTACAGTAGGTTCTTGAATAATTTCATTTCATTTAACATCATTTTATTATAATATTGATGGAAAAAAAATCAATTCCCAGCTGGGGCCACTGTCTGTTTGGGTTTTCTCCGGATACTCCTGCAAATATGTAGACTGCATTAGGTTTCTTGGGTGTCTAAATGGTCCCTGTCCAAGTGAGTATGGGCGTGGGTATGAGTGGCCCTGCAATGGAATGGTAACCTGTCCATGGCTGGTTCTCACCTTGCACTCTGAGCCTCTGAGATAGGCTCTGGCTACTCTCAACCCTGAACTGGTATAAGCGGGTTGGAAAATAAATGAATGAATGAATAAAAATTATTGTAAAATAAAAATTTGTAAAGTCTACAATAATTATACAAATGTACAATAAACGATGTGGCACTAAAGCACACAACAAGTCTGTCATATTTGTGATTGTTTTTGAACTTCCTGGTGGTAGGAGGTGCTCCTTTTTGCTTTGCAAACAAATTCCTTGATTTAACCCCCCACCTCCATGACTACCGCCACTCACTGATTCACCAAAAATTGGGTAAGTAATTTTCTTACTTGTTTTTATTCATCTTTTTTCTTTTTTCTTTTTCTTTTTTTTTTTTGAGACGGAGTCTCGCTCTGTCGCCCAGGCTGGAGTGTAGTGGTGCGATCTCGGCTCACTGCAAGCTCCTCCTCCCAGGTTCACGCAGTTCTTCCGCCTCAGGCTCCCAAGTAGCTGGAACTACAGGCACCCGCCACCACACCCAGCTAATTTTGTTTTTGCATTTTTAGTAGAAACGGGGTTTCACCGTGTTAGCCAGGCTGGTCTCTATCTCTTGACCTTGAGATCCGCCCACCTCGGCCTCCCAAAGTGCTGGGATTACAGGTGTGAGCCACCACGCCCGGCCTATTCATGTGTTTTAAATGTGTATATAGATCACACTTATTTCAGTGATTAGTATGAAAAGTTTTGGGGTCTTTATTTAGAAATTCGGTGATGTTTTTGTGACCAGAAATATGTCATAGGAACTTAATTCTTATTAGTATCATTTAGCCTATAGCAACATTGGTTATATTATACGTTCTTTTGCTTAAAGTTGCCGTTTCCAAGGACCTATTGATGACTTTAAGTGAAGACTTATTGTACTTACAGCAAACATCCTCAAGTGATAAATGTGGAAATACATGATTGTTTCTTTTCTTAATATCAGAATATTATAACGAGCTTGATAACACATAAAATCCTTCTGGTATCCAAATCACCTTGTATGGTAATTGACCTTTAACACTTCTGAGGTTATTGGATTCCATACATAAATTACCTGCTAAGCAAAGCACAATTTTCCTTTTCCTTCTCAGATCAAGGAGAAAACCCCAGGCCTGATATCCTGAGATTTGGCAAATAAGCATGTTGCTCTTCTCTAGATCTTTCATGTTGTAATAGGTTTTCATTTTATGTTTTTCCTGATCTCTAAGGTCGTTTTTGCAGTCAGCATATTGCTTCCAATTCTTTGATCAGGTTTTAGTCGCCCTTTATCAGGTCACATGACTTCCTTAAGGAGTAGCAGTTTACTGTAAGCTTGTGCAAGGGCAGGTATGGAATTGCATTAACTTCTTTGTGTTACACACAGTCTCCTGTGAAGCACTTACTCTGTGCCAGGCATTCTGATAGGAAGTAAATACAAAAGTGAATAAAAGTATTCCCTGCCTTCAAAGAGCTAATGGTTCAAGGTTTCTAGGAAATTTCCTGAATTTCTTACTTGGATCGAAAATGGTAGTTCAGAATCCTACCACCAAACCGTAAGAATAATTGGCACTAGTTCCTCTGAATTCATGCATCACCGTAGAAGGACCCACATAAATGTTTATCTGCTAGTTCTGTGCTCCTTTTCACTAACTCTCAGGATCTTCCTGTGATTGGCCTAGTGTATGTGTCTTTGGCCTTTGACAAGGAAAGATCCTTAACACAATCCTATCAGGTATTATTCCAGCTTACATGTGAGGAAATTGAAGCTCGAAGTGGTTATAAAATAATAAAACTTTAATTTGTATATCATTTTACAGTTTTTATCATTTTACAATTAAAATGATATACAAATAACTGTATCATGATACAGTTTCATTATGTATATATGATCTCATAGCAGCTGCAGGGATCTTTACATAAGTCAGATCAGATCACTTTCTTGGTTAAATCCCTCCAATAGCTTTCCATCACACTCAGAATAAAAATACTCCTTTCTTCTCTGACCTCATTTTTAAATATTTCACTCCCTTACTTTCTACACTCCAGATAGTCTTCTTTTGGTTCTAAAAACAGCAGACCTATTTCCACCTGAGGTCCTTTTTCTGTGCGGTTCTTCTAGATCCATTAAGAGGCTGGCTTCTTCACTCAGTTCTCAGTTCAGATACCACCTTCCACATGAGCCCCCTCTGACCGCTATCTAAAGTACTGACCTTACCCTCTTGTCAAATTGCTCTCTACCGTGTTACTCTGTTTTGTTTTCTTCCATCACTTATTATTATCTAAATTTCTTTTATTTGTTTACTTGTTTATTATTATTCTCCTTCCCTTGACTAAAATGTAAGACAACAAGAACAAAAACTTGTTATGCTTCATTGCTATAGACCCACCACTAGAACTCTGCTTGGCATATAGTAGGTGCTCAATAAATATTTGTTGAATGAATTAGTTAATGCCCTTGATAATGCATTAATGTTTTTAGATGGGAAATCCTTAGCCCTTTCTAGCCTCATGTTTATATATTCTCCCTAGGCAATTTCATTTACTCCTGTGGATTTTTCTACCTTTCTCAGCGTTTTCCTCCAGCCCAGATCTTTGTTTCTGAGATGACCAACTCTGAGCTGTGTTTGACTTTTTTTTTCATTTCCCATACTTGTTGTTTTAAATTTCAGAATCAAAGATACTCTAGACCTTTGGGTGATAACCAAGGAAATCTACATTAGCATTATAAAATACTAACACATTTTAACATTTATATTTAAAAAGAACTTAGAGTTCATCTACTACAAATTCATGACTTTAAATGTGGATGAAGATATTGAAGTCCAAGATAATAACTGCTACAAGTGTCACAACTAGCATGTAGCATAACCCAGAATTTCCAGGGTACATTCTTGTTTCCACATTATGGTTATTTGCCTACTTAGACTATACCTCTCCTTTTGTTAATGTGTTCTTTTACACGTATTTATTTACTGAGATATAATTCACATAGCATAAAATTCACCCTTTGAAAGTATGAAATTCAGTGGTTTTTAATATAGTCACAGAATTTTGAAATCATCTCCACAATCTAATTTTAGAACATGTTCATCTCCTCCAAAAGAAACCTCATACTGATTAGCAATCACTCTCCTTTCCCCCTCCCATCTTAAACTTCCTCTTCTTCTTCAACCCTAGGAAACCATTAGTCTACTTATTGTCTCTATGAATTTGCCTATTCCGAACATTTCATATAAATAGAACCATATCATATGCGGCCTTCTGTGTCTGGCTTCTTTCACTTAGCTTAATGTTTTCAAGGTTCATTTATGTTAAAGTATTTACCTTTTTGTTTTGTTTAACCAAAGCTCCTTTCTCTAACTGCCTTTAAATCTATCTTAGAGCACAAAATTAAACATTAAATATCCTGTAAGCCAAAGACAAAAAAAAAGAAAAACACAAATATATTACTCTGCTCTGGTTACTTATAAAGGAAGTGCATAGTTTATCATGTACACAGATTTTTTTAGCACTATATTTTAAGGGAAATCATAGATGTAGTCCTTTAATCTGGCCATATGGATGTGTCTTTTGATTATTTAAGGCATTTTTCTTACTTTCTTGTTCCTACAATTCCCTGCTTCCCTTGAGTTGGGCATGAACAGTATTGAAAGGGGTGAGAGGACTACCTAGTGGTATCCTCAAACGACTCTTCTTTTTTTGTGTATAAAAGTGAATTTTTACTTAATCTTTACCAACATGCTATTGACCACCACCGTTAATTCTCAGGATTTTTCTTCCATTTATGATCATAATACTCACTTTAATCTCAAATTTGTGTAATTTTCTTACAACTTTGTTTCTGAAAAGGGTCAGTAACTTTGCCAACCCAAAATATGTTCCAAATAATGCAAATTCTCTAGCAAATGTGGGGAGAGAGGACAGGGAGCTGTACCTCACTAGAAATGAAAAGAGGAATATGATTGATTGTTGATGTCTATGTACCCATGGGTTTGGCACATATATTTTTTCTTTTTGAAGGCCCTCAGGTGCAGAGAATTAAATTAACGTAATACTCCTAAACTAACAGCAAACTATTATCATCAGTTCATGAAAGGTCTTGTTTTTGTTTTAATTTTCACCTCTCTCTTATATAATCTTTCCTTATGTGTTTGATATATGTTCTTAAGAGGCATGTGTCATTATAGGGTATTTAGTGTTATTAGGTGTGAATGAGCAATTTTATAAGTAATATTGTGCCATAAATCTCACTCAGTGTGTTTTTTTTTAATTTAACACTAAACCTTTAAAGACTATTCATGATGTTGGATTTACATTGACTTTATTGTTTTAACTGCTGCATAATATTGTATAGTGTATATCCACATTTTATTTTTCCATTCTTCTAGCAGTGGACATCTGCTACAGTGACATAGAAAGAATTCTCATTCTTACCTCTTTAGAGACCTGAAGAAGAATTTCTTTGGTGTGTATGTCTAGGAGAGTAGCTGGGGGGCCATAGGACCTAAATACACTATTTTCTTTATCCAGCCTCATTAGTGCATAGCTGGCATCCTCCCAGTCCCACCTCCTACTCTAGCCATCATTGTAGAGATCAGGGCTGGGCCAGCATGCAGGCTGCAGCCAGCTAGGTGTCAGTGTACTACGTAGTACCTCACTTCTTATTTCCTTCTCTGAGGCAGAGATGAGGAACACTCAGAGAATCTGCTCAGCACTCAGGCCTGCACATGAAATAGGGATAGAGGGGCAAGGGGTTAATGGTCACAAGGCTACTCATGCTTTCCCTTGTATCCCCTTGGGGGTCAGTTCTGAGACACAGTCTGTAAGGCTCTTACCAAGATCCCTGTGAGACTGAGTTTTTGCCAGCAATGGTTGTCAATTTGAAAATGCATCCTTGTCTTAGTTTTCCCTTCTTCCCTATTTCAGTCCCCCAGTCCCTCATTCCTGCTCCTTGGTATTATTTCTTGAGTGAACTACCTATAAACAAGCCTTTGACTCAGGTTCTGCTTTTAGGGGCTACCCAGTATACAATCTTACTCCTAAGTGCCGATTGCAGCCCCAAGCATCTGCACACTGATCTGAATAGTTTGGTCAGTCTTCATCTTGTGGGTCAGAGACTAGGCCATTTCAAATCTTCAGTGTGCCACCTTTCGACAGGAAGTTTTGCTTCTGCTTGGAAGGCATGCAATTATTCCCTGTGTGGGATGCGTCATTTGTGGGCCAGTGACTTTTCTTTTTACCCTTACTGCAGTTATTTTCAAAGTGTGATTACAATATACCTGGACTAGTAATTATAAAATAAATCTCCCACGAGCATTCTCTCTACCTTCTTGTGATTTGTGGCTTTTGATGCTTGTGTTGCATTCATGGCTTTTAGGGAGTACGTGTGTCATAGATGTGCTATAAGAGAGACTGAAAAGCATTGTTTCTCAATGCTTGTTGATATGGAAACACAATATGATTTATATTTTTTAGTGGAAAGTACTGCAGTCAGTTTACATCCTAGAGTATGCACTTGTTCTGTCACATTATCACTTGGGTTTACTTAGGGAAAAATGATAATTTCTTTAAGTGGATATGTGTCAATGTTAATGCATTTTGGTTTGTGAATGCCAACTCACTGAACTGGGTGCATCATCATAAGAAAGCACAAATCATGACCCCCTGAAAACAGGAAATCAGATCAACTTCCTTAAGGGAATGTGTGTTTCTTCTCATGTGGGAATAGCTTTTAAAACCTCGTTATCCCCTTCTGCTTTTGTTGTGTAAACAGGTGGTTAATACATACACTCCAGGAAAGAAGATTTGGCTTGAAGGTGTGGTGACCACCTCAGCTGGAGGCACAAACAATCTATCCGATTCCTATGCTGCAGGATTCTTGTGAGTAACACCTGCAAGTTCACCCCCAGGGGCTTTCAGGAGGGAAGGACAGTGAATCTCTGGTGTTGCTGATTATTCTGCCCATCCTAGGGGTGAGGCATGTTTCCCGTTGAAAGTTCATTTCATTCATTCATGTGTGTCTTAAACCATTCAACAATGATCAACACCTTCTCTAGATATTAAAATGTCAGGCACAGGCATCAGAGCAAAGATTATAGTAATAGTAGTAACAGTAATAATTATAGTAATAACAGCTTTATTGAATGTCTAAAGTTCAAAACACAGTGTAAACAACATACATTTTCTAAGCCAATTTTCACTATAGTCTTGGGAGATAGGTAACAATAAGGCATGGTTTTTTCCCTCCAGAAAAAAATATGATTGATGGAACTGGGATAGGAGATAACTACATTGTAAAGCTGTAGGAGGTAAGTGCTGTAGTAATCATACTTTTAATGATACGGTGCTTACCGCTGTCTGAAGTGCTTTATTTATATTTCATAATTTAACAACCAATGAAATCGATGCTACTGCTTTTATAACAATTTAGTGAAATAGATGCTGTTATTATCCCATTTACGGATGAGAAAACTGAAAGAGGTGAAGTAACTTATTCAAGATCACTCATTTAGTTAGTGGCACAGCTTGGACTCAAACCCAGGCAGTTTGCTCCAGAGTACAGCTTCTTTACCACTGCAGTAGACCACCTGCCTTTCTTCCTCACATGGTCTGTCTACAAAAGAAAAATGACAGACATGCAAAGGAATGAAGTATTTCTGTGACTGGGAGTATCAGGGAGGACTTCATGGAGGAAGTGGCATTTGAGTGAAGCATAGTAGGATTACTCTAATTTCTATAGGTGGGAGTCATGGTGATGACAGAGGAGAGCCTTCTAGGCCCAAGGGACATTATGAGCAAAGGCACAGAGGAGCAGAGAATGACTAATGTGACTAAAGCCTTGTTATCTGTGAGGATGCAATGAGGACTGAGACTCAGGAAAGGGTTTACCACCAAATTACAGAAGGTCTTAAAAACCCGGTAGAGGAAGTGAGGCCTTGTTCTATATTCACAGCAAGCCACTGAAGATTGTGAAGGAGAGAGACAGAGAGAGAGAAAAAAAATCTGGAGAATCTGACTTGTGTTTTAAAACTTTGACTTTATCAATGGTAGTCACAAGAGTTGGGAAGGAATGGGAAAATGAATTTGAAGGCTACTACAGTCGTCTGGAGAATGACTTAAGCCAGAAGCATAAGGGCCTCTCATTAGCCTGCCAGTGTCATGTGGCAGGGACAAACCCCTCAGGATCACTAAGTAAATGACTTGTTCCTGCTCCAGTACAGTCCTATGGCCTTGGATTTTTGACTGAGCAATGTCCTCCTAAGAACCATAGCTTTGCCCTCAGCTATGTGTTTTGCTACTAACAGCTGTTCTTAATTATGCAGCTTCCATTCCCCTGCATAGAGGCAGCTTCTTTAATACATTAATGAAGGACAAATCAGGCCAGTCAAGTGGATTGCCTTTACAGATGGAGTTCTGGCAAACGCAGATGAAGAAAATGATTCAGTGTAATTCACAGTGATACCTTGGGTCTTCCATTTCTGTGTCCTCAGCATCTAACGTTGTGTAGCACAGACAATGTCAGCAAGCGTGGTTCAAATGCATGAAGTGGAGTGAGTCACCTTTGATATAGTGTGGTTAAGAATCTTCTTTCAAAAGTACACTCCCAGCCAGGCACCGTGGCTCACGCCTGTAATCCCAGCACTTTGGGAGGCCAAAGTGGACAGATCACTTGAGGTCAGGAGTTTGAGACCAGCCTGGCCAACATGGTGAAACCCCATCTTTACTAAACATACAAAACTTAGCCGGGCATGGTGGCATGCGCCTGTAGTCCCAGCTACTTGGGAGGCTGAGGCGGGAGAATTGCTTGAATCTGGGTAGCAGAGGTTGCAGTGAGCTGAGACCGCATTCCAGCCTGGGCAACAGAGCAAGACTCCGTCCCTCCCCCATGCCCCCCAGATAAAACCCCACAAAAGTACACTCCCACTCTCCACTGGCTTGATATGAGACCTGTTGAAAGAGTGAGAAGCCAGGGTGTCAATGCTGCAGGGACCCCCTTGGAATCAGCAGAGGAATGGCATTTGCTCAGCACTCACTATAGGACGCTGCTGCAGGGCCCAGCAAGCAGCCCAGTTGTACTGAGTGGTTTTGTGAGCATTCTTCCCTTTAGGGAATGATATGAAATGAGAAATACTGCAGACCTTCATGGAGGAAGTTGGAAAAGAGAACTGCCTTTTCATGAGCATCAGCCAAATAGCCATAGATTCCTACAGTCACTTTGCAGAACACAGATCAACATAGTTGTTTATATTCTGGCTGTAATTCAGATATCCAATGCTTAGTTGACACAGATCTGATGAAAACTAGTTTATTCTGCTCCCCATCTCTCTTACCTCTTTGTCACCCATTTGGTCTCAACTCCACTGACAGCACCCAGCAATGTGCCCTTTGAGTTCAGTTCTCCAAGGGGCATAAATTGCTTCCTGTCGTGGCGGGGGGGAGTAGGGGAGCAGTAAAGCATTCTAGGAAGCTGTAGGAGGCTATTAAGAAATTGAAAAGACGGCATTTTTCCAGCCTTTTTGAAATGTTTATATATCACGTAACTCTGAGTTCACCAGGACATATACATGCACGTATGCATAAATTGGGATTCTCTGCTACCGAGTGTTCAAAAGTAGAGTTTCCCAGCTAGGGCTTTGAGATTCTTTGGTGGACCACAAATACTCTTGGTATGCTGCTGTGTCTCAAGCACCTAATAGTGTCTGGTACATAGTAGATATTCACCTTTAGTGGAGTGGAAAATAATGGCAGGGTAGCATCTTTGGTTAGATATACCAGTCATTTTATCAACTGTCTGTAGCTAAGCATAGAATGGGAAGACCATTGCTTTCCCTCTCTGAGGGGTCTTGTTATTATAGGAGGAAGATGAAGATAACTTTCATGTTAACCATTCTATTCCTAAAGCCATGGGAAAGCAGTAGTTCTGGTTCTAGCCATTTTTGAATGCTCCAGATCTTGCATATGCATATAGGGATGTAGGTTTGCAGGGAGAATGCATATTCTTAATTTCTTAAATATCTTCCTATACACTAGTAAAAACATCAGGTTTATGAATTGATATTTATTTGTTGAGTATATACTCTATGCAGGTCACTAAGCTAAGCTCTGTAGAGGTCAAAAGTAGACATTTGATATGATTCTTTTAAATATGTATACACAGGCATTTACATGGTCACACAAGCGTTTTTTAATATCTTCTCAATTCTGAAAACAATGCCTAGCATTTAGCATTGACTAATGTTATTGAATAAATAATGAATGAGTAAACAAGTAGGATCTTTTCACATATAAAAACACCAAGATAGAGCCCTGTATTGACATGAAGATGCTGCTAGATGGAGGGACTCACATATGTGATTATGTGTTTCTTCATTGTTTTGTTTCTTCCTTCGTTTGACAAGCATAGGGATGGAAAGTTGAATAAGACAATTTGCTTTTAAAATACTTGTTAGATATAGACCCTATTGTATTTGTGCCATTTCAATACAGAAAGAACACTACTTAGGAGGCGTTAGCCCACAATTCATGTTATAGTTCTACCACAGGACAGCCTTTGACAAGGTATTTCATAGTATGTCTCAGTGGCTAAAGGAAAAGCTAAACCTGTTATCTTGATTTTATAGGATTACCAAATTAATAAAAATTATGAAGGCAAGTAGCTTGCTTAGCCATGTCATGTTCCAAAAGTAATTTCAATTCCCTGGGTCACAATGTTCCAATTTGAAGAACAACAACAAAAATGATTCTACTATATTACAGTCAGATTTCCCTTTTGATTTAAAACTTTTGTGTTTTGCTTTGCTTTTTGTTTTGTTTTATTTTTATAACTCTAATTGTCAGTAAATATTTGTTAGTTTTTTTGAGAATAAAATATAATTGTAAATGTAAAAAACATTTAAATATAGGAATAATATTTATTCACAATATAAAAATTAGCAGTGCTCTTTATTCCAGCAAGGAAAAAACTTAATTCTTCAAGTCACGGGTTTGGAGCTCCATATGGCTTCAGATTTAGGAAATCATAACTATGCGTAATTTTCCCCAGTGTGCTGAATGGTGATTCTCAAAGTTCCGAGAATCTAATTTTATCCAGACAGATTTCAAGTCAACAGAGTATTGAGTACCTACGGTGTGCCAGGAATGGTGATGGGTGTTTGCGGTACAAGTTCAGACATTGTGTCTATGCTTGATGAACTCAGAACTGACAGAGGAAAGGTGGAGAAATAAGTTAAGTGATTCTTTCTGTGGACTTTCTGAGGGTATGAATAAGAGATCTGGGGAAGTACAGAGGAAGGTACCACTGTTGGCTGGGGCAGCAGAGTTTAGAATAAAATGACACGTGATTTGGAGATTAATATATGAGAAGAAATCTGCCAGATGAAAAGGGGTAGGTTCAAAGAAGAGTAGAAGGGAATTCTAAGCAGAAGTTAAAACATGTATAAGGACTTGGGTAAGTGTGAGAAAGCAATGTGTATTTGGGTAGCCAAGAGTAGTTTCATGTGTCTTGGAGCCTGTGGGAAATGGGGTCTAGGGTGAGAGAAGATGGGGAAGAGGTGACAGATAAAGCTGGACACACACATGTTTAGGACAAGTTGTGAAATGCCTTATCTTTCATATAGAGAAGACTGAATCTCTAAGTCACATTTATTCTATGTATTATTACAAGTAGAAGTTTCCCTAAGTTTCAGAATTAGGAAGAGAAAGAGAAGCCCAAATGAATGCATGAATGTGTAAATAATGAAGGCAGAGTTAGCAGTGTTGGAAGAACTAAGAGGGCAGTATTTTTGAAGGATGGCATGCCCTGGAAAATAGGTGTTTGGCATAGTAGGATAGATGATAAGTATGTGAACAGTGCAGGTCCTCCACTGCAAAATATGTGTGATGGTGGCATACTTGAATCCCTGAATAGTTACTTATAGTGCCAAGGAAAATTATTATTGCATTGACTACTGACAGTGATATATGAGGGTTGCTAATGACTAGACTATATTTGCATAGGTCATAGGAGTATATGAGTTAGAGTTCTGTTAAAGGTACATATTCAGGGACAGGGTATAAGCAGGGGAGTTTGAGGGATGGAATGCACAATGTGCGCTCTTCTGTAATTGTATGTCCTCTGGCCAGGAGGGATATTAGGCTTACAAATGGCTAGGGTGTTCATTTGTTAGTATTTCAGGAATAAAAAGTTAAGTCATTCACAACAAACTATTTAATGATCAAGGGCAGTTCATTTTACTCCTCTAGACCTCTGTTTCTTTTTCTATCAAATGAAGAGGTTGGATTTGATAATCTCTAAAATATATTACAGCTGTGAACTTAATGCTTAAAATAACCCTTTTTAAAGTACTAGGTAAATTTGGTGACTGGAGATTGGTGTATATGTGTATATAGTAGCCAGTCTCTATAGAGCTTGTTATATGCCATTTAAAAAATATATTGATGTAGCTCTTTTTCTCTGCCTTTTAGATGGTTGAACACTTTAGGAATGCTGGCCAATCAGGGCATTGATGTCGTGATACGGCACTCATTTTTTGACCATGGATACAATCACCTCGTGGACCAGAATTTTAACCCATTACCAGTAAGTGTGGGATAAAGATTCCCAATCCCTTTTCCATGTCATTCAGTTCTTTTGATCATGCCTTGTTCCATACTAGGAGAATATTTTTCCTCTTGCTGTTACCAGTTAATTTCATTCATTGAACAGAAACATTCCTGTCTTTGTTCCCTTGATCCGTTTTACAGACTTTTGGCTTCAACACACACACACACACACACACACATCTGTTCACTCACTTTTATATATACACATACATATGTATGTGCAGTATGCAATATACATATATTCATTTATATATATTTGTATATTTATTACTATTGTTTTAACAATCCAGGCCGGGCACGGTGGCTCACGCCTGTAATCTCAGCACTTTGGGAGGCCAAGGCGGGTGGATCACGAGGTCAGGAGATCGAGCCCATCCTGGCTAACATGGTGAAACCCCGTCTCCACTAAAAATACAAAAAATTAGCTGTGTGTGATGGCGGGCACCTGTGGTCCCAGCTACTTGGGAGGCTGAAGCAGGAGAATGGCATGAACCCGAGAGGCAGAGCTTGCAGTGAGCCGAGATGGTGCCACTGCACTCCAGCCTGGGCGACTGAGCGAGACTCCGTCTCAAAAAAAAAAAAAACAAAACAATCCTTGTGCAGTTGAGATTCCCCATCTACTTGTGGCCTGTTTGAACTCTGCTTGAGAGTGAATTTTTCCAGATTGTTTTATTTTAATGCTAATAGGAGACATTAGTTAACATCAAATGCAACATGTTGAAAGCAGATGGGGGAGTGTTATCCAAGATCAGACACACTAGGAACCCATCTCTTGAGGAGTGGCTGAAGTGCAATTACAGTTAGATGATGAGCCCCGTGTGACAATGAGGGGATTTACCAAGAGCGTCAACTTATCTAGGAAAGAAAAGGAAAGAGAAAAATAAACTAGAATGGCAAAAGCAGAAATATGGGTTTGTCTAGTCACCTTATTGGCCAATCAGAGAAATTCCATGGACCAGAAAAGCTACGCTTATCAGAAATATTACACGGGTTATCCTTTATCACAGAAGTCATGGTCATGACAAAAGATCAGACTGCTCTCATCAAGTCATAGAATTTCAGAGCTGGGATCCCTCCTTGAGATGATCCAATTCCACCTCATTTAACTGAGGGACTGCTAGCTAGGGGAGGGGCAAGGAGGTGGGACATGTAGGGCTAGCCCTAGAACCTGTTCCTGTGCCTTGGTTCAGTGCTCTTTCTACAGAACTATTTGTTGCCCTGGGGCCCACAATAAACAAACCCAAACTGGAACCAGTGAGCATTCCTACCACTTGCCTCTCTCTGCCTATTTCTACCACTCCCTCCATTCCCCAAGCCCTAAGCCAGGAAGCTTCCAAGCCCAGAGCAGAGAACAGCTCAGCACCCACAGCACCAGTTCCACGTCTCAATTACAACCAAGTAATTGTTGTATCACTTGGTGTACATGACTCCAAAAGTACAATTAAATCACAAAGAGTAAAACTAACTAGCATAATTGCTTACATTTGCCGGACTAGTGTACCTCTCCCAAGATACATGTGTGGGAGACTGGGGTGGAGAGGGGTAAAAGAGAGTTTTCAGCATGGAACCATAGAGGATTGTTTTGTTTTGTTTTTGCAGAAATAAAATAATTAGAAAAGTATCTATGAAATGTAAGCACTAAACAAATATAATGGCACACAGAAATAAATATTTTTTGAACATCAGGCACTGGAGAGGACTAGTAATAGATAAGTGAATCAACAAATAAGAGAGCACTGCTTGGGCCCTTCAGGGTACATGTGCAGGAAAGGCTTCTCTGAGAAGGTGACATGTAAGCCAAGAGCCAATGACAGTAAAGAGCCAGCTATGCAGATTTCACAAAAGAACTTTCCAGGCCTGGGAAGAAACTAACACAAAAGCTCCGAGGCAGGAACAAACTTGGCACGTTTGCGGAAACACAAGAACACTAGGGTGACCGGGGCATGATGAGGAAGGGGGAGAGGTTGGAAATGAGGTAGGCAGGAGTCATATCACCTAGGGCTTTGTAAGCTGAAAGGAGTTGACCTGTAGATAGTATGAAAAGCCACTGGAAGGCCTAATTAGGGAAGTAACCTGATCTAACTTACATTTTAAACAGATCACCTTGGCATAATTCACGCATTAAATGTTAGTTATAAAAGATGCAGATAATACTTAACAATGTACAGTTCACTTTCATAAATGGCATCTACAATGCTCTGAACACTTCCCTCTGTCCTTCTTTTTCCTTTCTTTCCTTTTTTCCTTTATTCCTTTCATCACTCATTCAAATTTCATTCACTCTTCTTGATCATGTACTATGTGCTGATTGCTATTCCTGGCAATAGGCCACTGTGGGGAACCAAAAAGACAAGGTTGCTGAACTCTTGGAGTTTACAATGTAGTGAACTGTACTGAGAAATGGAAAATAAATAAACATAAATCAGAGAATTGCAATTTGTCATAATTGCTCTAAAAAGAACCTGGTGAGATGAATATGACTATTTATACTAATTTTGCTAAAGAGAAACTAAGGTTCTGTGACATTATTGAGTGACTTATCCAAGGTCAGACGAGTAGTAAGAAAACTGGAACTCAGAGTTTTCCAGTTCTAAATTGTGTTTTCTTTTCACTGGACTACACTGTTTCTTATGGTAGCCTCTTTGATGTCTTTTCTGTGTCTGAGGCCAACATTGCCTTAGAATTGACTCTGGAAATGAAAACAGGCATGTTGAGAAATTGGAGAGAAGAAAACAGGCTGGAAAAAGATGGTCTTTGGGTGACTAGACAGGCTTCATTTCCAGAGTTGGACAAACTTGGATTCCATATCAACCCTCTTTGGACCTTTGCATGGCCATGTGTAAGTTAAGGATGTCAGTCCTCATGGCTTTGTCCTCCTCAAATAAGAGTTGCTGTCAGTGACTTTCTTTAAAAGCATGGCACAAAAGACCTCAGTTGATACATGGTGGAGCAGAGCTCATAGAAGTTCATAGGAAGAGAAAACAAGTTCCACTGATTCAGCACAAAGACTCAAATGATCTGGGCAGCTGTATTTCTGGAAACACCAAGCTGTAATAAAGAAACTGTATGTAAAAGCACTTAAAAAGGTAGCAGGCTTTCTTTTTATCTTTCTTTGCACTAATAAATTCTGCACCTTATAAGTAGAGAACTTGGCAGCTGGGAGAGTGTGTCCTAAGTCTCCCCTGGAAGGAATTTACAAGGCTAGACCAGAACACCAATCTGACACACATTGCCAGCAGGCCCCTGGAATGTGTAATGGAGACAGACCTGGGAATCGTACTGGTTGCCACTTCAGAGAGTTGTGCAATTGATAACTAAACACTGCCAATAAAAACTTGTGGATTTTACATTGTGATTAAATCTTCAAGAGAGTTTGTTAAGCGCTTAGGGGATTAGTGAGTTGCATTTTGCCTCCCAAAACTAGTGCTTTTGAATAAATTGAGAAAAGTGAACATCCTGGCCTTATGGCTCTTCAACCCATATCCCATTTTACCCCTCCCCCTGCCCAGTCAACTTTAATCCCAGTTTGTGGCATTCTAGCCTAGCTCTGGCAGGACCATTTCAACAGCCCCAATCTAAGGTAAGAGAGAATATGAGGATAGCTCTTTAGAAGAGAAACTTGTCCTTAGAAAAGATCATTTTCAAATATACCCCATGTTCTTCATGGTTATTCCTCCAGAAAAGTGCCACCCACCTCCTGCTATGACATTTTCCTTCTCCTGGGAGGAGAATATTTAGTTCAGCCATGCTTCATCACTCGACTCCCACTCCCTTCCCCTGGCCCCCCCCAACACTGGGAAAATGGGGACGTGTGAGTCTCCACAGCTGGTCAGTCAGTCACGGGCTCCCTTGGGAGTAGGCGATGTTTGTGCAGAAGAGATCTGCACATTTGGTGGACATAGTCCAGACCCCACCAGTCATGGGCATTTCTCCTCAGAGAGGGTTTTGGAATTTAGCTTGCTGCTTTTTTTAAGAGCTTGATTTACAGAGCTTTCAGGGAAAGGAATGGTGAATTACTAGTCGACATCTTCTTAACTCCCACACCAGGCTGTCTTCACACAATTCAATTCAAAAAGCATGGACACCTCGGTTGTGTCTGGCTTCATGCTTGACATTCTAGGGACATGCACATAAATTCATCTATGGAACTAATAATCTGATATGTGTTTGTGGGACTACAATTTAGTCCTCTATTTGGAATAAAATAAAAAGCTAGATCACATTGGATTGCCTTTTCCACAGTGGGCACAGTGGTATGGAAATTTACTGCCAGCATGCTTTTTTGCCTACTTTCCCTGATGAATCATATACATTCATTTCAGCCCAGTGCACACTTATTGAGTGCCTGCTGTGCACATTGTTCTGGAGTATAGTCATTGGTCATGGATTGGAGTACAATTCACTAGTCTATGGTGAGATTGAACCTGTGGTTGCAGTTCCCATAGCAACATGCTCTGAGCCAAGCCATCGCTGTTCAGATGTCATTTGACCATCAGAAGGAAACTCTAACTCTTACTGGTGCCTGCCTAGCACAGTTGATGAGCCTATCACAAGATCCTAGGACAAGATCCTAGATGCTCCATCCTTGTTTCCCTCCAAAGTGTTAGAGACAATGCCGAGTATGCACTGCCAAGCTATGGTGTGGACACAGGGCTTAAATCTCTCCCTGTGTAGAGCAAGGACACCCAGTTACAAACCCATGTTCCATTGATGCTGGATTGATACAAGAACACCACCTGAGGCCAGGCACAATGGCTCACGCCTGTAATCCCAGCACTTTAGGAGGCCAAGGCGGGCGGATCACGAGGTCAGGGGATTGAGACCATCCTGGCTAACATAGTGAAACCCCGTCTCTAGTAAAAATACAAAAAACTAGCCAGGCATGGTGGCGGGCACCTGTAGTCCTAGCTGCTCGAGAGGCTGAGGCAGGAGAATCACTTGAATCTTGGAGGTGGAGGTTGCAGTGAGCTGAGATCGTGCCACTGCACTCCAGCCTGGGCGACAGAGTGAGACTCTGTCTCAAAAAAAAAAAAAAAAAAAAGAAGAAGAAGAAGAACACCACCTAATTAGAAGGCATCATAGGAAACAGCAGGAGCCTGGAACTATGGTAAGATTCATGAGTTCTAGTCCTAGCTCTGCCATTAATTAGATGTGTATCTTGGTATTCCAGTTTTCCCATCACTTAAATTGGAATAAAAATGCCACCTCTACCTCCAGAAGTTACTGTTACAATCTTTGAGCAAATTAGGTATAAAAATAGGATTCTGATTTGGTATATATACATACATGTAGAAAATTACAGAAGGGGACTACATCTAAATGTTAAAAGTGGTTTTCTTTGGGTGGTAAGATTACAGGCAGTTTTTATTTTCTTACGTGAATTTTTTGTATGGAAAATTGCTGCAATCAGCATTATTGCTTTTAAGATCTTAAAGAAGGCCTATTTTTCAAAGAAAAAAGAGTATTTCAAAAGGATTGTGTTTAAATAACTATGCAAATGTTCACTTATTATTCATGTTTCACTTATTCGTAAACACTTATTGCATTCATGCTATGTGCTAGATACTATGCTAGACACTAGAGATACTGTCCTGCCCTCAAGGAGCTTACAGTAGAGATAGGGAGATAGACAAGTTAGCAGGGACTGTAACAGAAGCCCTATAGTGTATTAGAAGAGGAGTACAGAAGTCATACTGGGTGGAGGACAGGCATGGGGCATCAAGGAAGGCTTTCTGGAGGAAACAATGCCTGAGCTGAATCTTTAAAAAGGGCCAGTTAGCCATAGGAAGAAGAGTTTGGGGTCTGGGGAGGAGCTTCCAAACAGAAGCAGTAGTATATTTAAAGTACAGAGGCATTAATTTTCCAGTGAATCATGTTAGATGGATTAGGAAAAATTAAGAAAACTTTTCCCATTGCTGTCCAGTGGCCACACAGGGTGTATGAAAATTAAAGAATTTCAAAGCTACAGACCTGGAGGTGGTAGGGCGGGGGAGGCACAAAACCCAGCCAAACCAGCCTGTGACCTGTTTCTTGGTGAAGCCGCCTTTCTCTTTCTTTTCTTTCCCGTGGGAGCCATCAGGAAGATGAAAGAAGCAGAGTGTACCTGTTTAGGGGTAGCTGTGATGTGAAACCCAATGCTCCCATTAGGGGCCCTGACAAAGATTTCACCATGTGCAGCCTTCCTTTGTGGGAACCTGCGGCTGCTGAGAGAAGGGCATCCTTGGCTGCAGGATCAATCACTGAGACTCAGGCTGGCTCCACGTCAGTGGCCGAAGTGCCTGGGCTGCATGCCCAGGGAACATGACTTGCTTCTTTTCTCCTCTGTGTCTTTAAACCCTGGCTGCTCAAATCAGAGCCTGTGCTCTGCACTATCTGACAGGAAGGCAGTTCTTTTGCCCCTAATGCTTTCACGTAGACGTTCCTCTGATTTTCTACTAGGAGTTCTCCCTTGCTTATTTATCAGCCTGAGCGGTGTGCACAGGATGTCGGCAACAACACTAGCAGTTGCAACAGCTCACGCCGATGCAAGCCCCCTTGGGAAACAGAAAGCGCTCTAGACCTAAAATCAGAAGGTGCAAGCTCAAAATGCACACCACAATTTTCTAGTTACATGAGTCTTCATTTCTTCCTCTGTGAAATGGGGCTAACTGTGCTGGTGTTAGAGACAGGGAAGTATTTGAATGTACTGCTTAAAAGTATTGGCTTTGGAATCTGACTGACCTGAGTTTCAAAACCAGCTCTACCACTTACTAGCTATATGTCCTTGGATTTATAAGCATCAATAAATATCAATTTCCTCTCATAAAATGGAGACAATAATAGTGTCTACCTCAGAGGGTTGTTGGAAAGATTAAACGAGCCAATGAATATGTATCTTTTACCACATAGTAAATACTCAATAAATGTTAATCACTATTATTATTTATAAAGTCACTTTGTTAAAATTCTATAAGTCACAATAATTATCATTAATAACCTGAATATAACTGTGGTAAGATAATAAACATTTGTTATCAAATATATATTTGATATGTATTTGATATATATTTGATGCATTTGATACCTAATATACATTTGATATGTAGTTGACATACATTTGATATTTAGATATCTGGAAATCAATTCAAGCAATGATGACTAAAGGATGAAAAGTAGATTTTTTGGTAAAAGTAATTTAACTTTTTATAATTTTCTAGCAACTTAACTAGAAAACGAGAAGAACAAAAAAGGAAAACTATGATTCCTTCACTTGAGAGGAATTGACTGCAAAGGTTAAAGACAAACTAAAAATTACATTTTATTTCCCTCCGGAGAAGATGCTGGCAAGCTTTCCCAGTGAAGGCAATTAAGGCAGTAACCAGGCTGCAATACTAGCCCCAGCACCTTCATTTGGTATTTATAAATGGCCCAATAAGCCCTGGAAACCATGATATGTGACATCAAAGTGCTAATGACAGCACATTATGTGAATCACTGAGAAGCAACAATTGAAAATCCCACTCTGCCATCAGCCATTTATATTGTTCCCAGATTGCAATACTGAGGGATTACAGCTACAGCAAATTGTGTGGCCTCCTAAATAAATTAGGGAGAAGAAGCAATTATAGTCTTGCTGCACTTGAGTTTAGGAACATGATTTGCCATCCTTGAAGCAACGTGCAGACAGCGAGGAGCAAGGTCAGCTCTGGAATGAGAAGAACTGCACTCACCTAACCTCATCAGCTCACTGAAAACACTAAACAATTATCTAAAAATGACCTGAGAAGAAAGAGAGGGAGGGAGAGAGGGAGGGAGGGAGGGAGAGAGGGAGGGAGGGAGGGAGGGAGAAAGAAAAAGAAAGGAAAGCAGGAAGAGGAAAAAAAGAAATGTCCTTTGCTAGGTTGGAAGGCACTTTTGTGAATGCCACGATATGACAAATTTAAGAATATTTCATCTTAAAGACTATATTGGCAAACATTAAGGGCACAACGATGTCTGGTTGTGACCTGTAGGAACCAAAAAATAAGCCGCTGATAGAACCAAGATAATACGTTATGTTTTTTTCTAACTCAATTATGGTTTTGTGCTTGTTTAAATAAAAGCAAAAGTCTTTATTAAAAAATAGAACAAATAAAAATAAATTCTGCTTTTTAATTCTTATTTAAATGTACTACACTATAACATTTTTTTAAAAAAATCTGTCAGTCATTAGATACCTCACTTACTAACTTTCAATTATTATCAATCTCTGCTTATTTCATCCTTGATTTGGTTTTAAGCATTGAAAGGATTCAATAGAACACACCATTTTTATTTACCCTAAATTTGACGGCAGAAGACCTGCCTTCTATTCTAAAATTCACCCTCGTCTTGTTGTCACAATCCTTATAGCCTTTCTTTGTTAGAGCAGTGGTTCTCAAGCCTGGCTGAACATTATAGTCACCTCGGGAGCTTCTTAAAAATACCTGTGCTTAGGCACCAACCCCAGAGATTCCTGTTCAAGTTGATCCGTAGAGGATCCCAGGTGTTGATATTTTTTTAAAGTCCAAGTGATTCAACGTGAAGCCAGAATTGAGAACTGTATTAGAGGTTTACATTGCCCTAATTAAATTAACTACCTTTTTATTTTTCTCTACTCCTCTGTACTCAACTCTTGCTTCAATTTTTGAGATATTAACAAAATATTTAGTACTGTCTATCATTCATTCATTTGACAACTATTTATTGAGTACCTAGTATGTGCCAGACACTTGTAGATTCTGATGAAATGGAGGTGAAGGGGAAAGACAAGATCCCTGTCCTCACTGGAGGTTACAGTCTAGAAGGGGAGACTAAAAATAAACAAGTAAACTAACAATTAATTACAAAATTCTGAATGCTGTGTAGGAAGCAGTTGCTAAGTTGAATAATGAGGAGGGGAGGCTTCTTTAGAAAGTGTGGCTAAGGAGGTCTTCACTGAAGAGGCAGCCATTAGAGAGGCTGGTGGAAGAGCAGAGCATCGCTCAACAGGAACAGCATCTGCAAAGGCTGCAGTGGGGGAAAGACGCTCAGTCACACATCAGAGGTCACACAGTGTCCCTAAGACCAACCTGAGGTATGGTCCACCCACTGCCAGGCACAGAGGCAGGCAGCACTGCTCAGCAAAGTTTAGCTCAAGCTCCCTGCACCTGATGCTCTATCCTGCCCTTGCCACCAGCACTTGGCAAACTTCATTGCTTCCTGTTTATTGCCCTTCATACAAATAATAGTGGTGTATCTCACTGCCTGGCCCTTTATCTGGGATCCCCGACTGAACTTGGTGCCTAGAGTTTCCCTGTCACTGGCCCAACCATCCCCATTTACACTCTCTGTCACCTGTCATCAGACTTTGAAACGAGAATGGCAGAACATTTGGTGGTTTATTATACTATTCCGTTTTTTAGTATCTTTACAAATTTCACTGATAATTCTTTTTAATATCTTTGTTCGAGAACCTTATGACATACACTAAAACAAAGCACTGTTTTAGTTTCTGTAGAACATAAAAAATAATGTTAGATTCCTTCTCTCCATGTTTACAATCTGTGTTGGGTGGCATAAAGCCTTGGAGAGAGTTAATAGATGATGGATGTGTATGTTAAATTCTGTCTTGTTCACTCATTATCCCCAGAGCCTAACATAAGGTGCCTTGCATAGGAAGTACTTGATAAATATTTGTGAAAATAAGACAGGGAGGAAAGGATCCAAATGATCAGTAGACAATAGATTTTTTAGATGTCTGAGGTAGGAGATATTACTACTGGCTGGAAGGGAGGAGCTAAAGGGAAGACTTGGAAAGACTGTGCAACAAGACGTCATTGGCAGATATTTGTAATATTAGTTACCCAAATAATACATGTTCCTGAGAAGGCTCCTTACCCCAGGGCACCATAATGAAGTGACAGCAGGAAGGCAGGAAGGCCTTGGGATAGAAGGCTCACCTACTGGAAGACCAGGAGTTCTGGATCTGATTCCACATTCTGACACCAACTCACTCATTGTAGGGCACTGGGCGCTCTGGGTCTGTCTCTAATGTAGAGGTTGAATTGGACAATCTGAGTTTCCCTTCAGCTCTGAAGTTTTCTGATTCATTTCAATATGTTATTTCCATACCACTATCTTCAGATGGACCTCCCAGCTGAACCTAAATTAATAAAATCTTTTAAAATAAAACTGCACTGCTTCCCTTTGAAACCATTCAGGAAATAAAGCTTTTTTCTTCAAGGCTCCTGTAGCCCTGTTATAGTACTTACGACTGTCTTTTGTTATTAGAATTGTTGGGGTCCATCTACTACTAAATTCTCAGTCATTATTGTTTCAATTATTTCTTCGATTCCTTTCTCTTTCTTCTCCTTCTAGTTTGTTACACCTTTTGTAGTTGTCCCACAGTCCTCTGATATGCTGCCCTGTTTTAATCAGTCTTTATTCACTTTGCTGTTCAATTTGGGAGATTTCTATTGATATATCCTCAAATTCAGAGATTATTTCCTCAGCCATGTCCAGTCTACTAATAATCTTATCAAGGGCATTCTTCATTTGTGTTATAGTATTTCTGATCTCTAGCATTTTTTTTTTTTAGTTCTTTCTTAGGATATCCATCTCTCTGCTTGCATTGCTCATCTGCTTTTGCATACTATTTGCTTTGTCCATTAGAGCCTTTAGCATATTAATAATAGCTGTTTTTAATTCCTGTTCAGATAATTTCAGCATCCCTGCCATGTCTAATGTTTGCTCTGTTTCTTCAAACTGTGTTTTTTCCCTTTAAGTGTGCCTTGTAATTTATCTGGATAGCTGTGATGTATCAGGTAAAAAGAACAATTGTAAATAAGCCTTTAGTAATACGGTGGTAAGGTATGGGGGGAGAGGAAGCATCCTATAGTCCTATGATTAGGTCTCAGACTTTTTGTGAGCCTGTGCCTTTGGACTGTGAACTTCACAAGTGTTTTTCAGTATTTTTCTTCCCTCTTTTGGTGGAACAGGATGGCTAGAGTGGGCTGGAGTTGGTATTTCCCTTCTCCTGCATGGAAGGCTAGAGCTGACTGGAGTTGGGTATTTCCTTTCACTTAGGTCAGTTAGGCTCTGATAATACCCCAACAGGGTATTATTAGGCTATGGTTAACTAGTTTCTCCTGAGGGCAGAACTTGCTAAGAACAGAGGCCAGGCACGGTGGCTCACACCTGTAATCCCAGCACTTTGGGAGGCCAAGGTGGGCAGATCACGAGGTCAGGAGATAGAGACCATCCTGCCCAACATGGTGAAACCCCGTTACTACTAAAATACAAAAAATTAGCCTGGCATGGTGGTGTGTGCCTGTAGTCCCAGCTACTCGGGAGGCTGTGGCAGGAGAATTGCTTGAACCTGGGAGGCGGAGGTTGCACTAAGCCAAGATCAAGCCACTGTACTCCAGCCTGGCGACAGAGCAAGACTCTGTCAAAAAAAAAAACAAAAAAACAGAGTGCTCTGGCGTATTTCAAAATAGTTCCTTTCCCCTTACCCCTACTGAAAGCATGAAGAATTTTTGCCCAGTATTTGCTGTGAGATCCTGGTTGAGCTCCTGGAGGTAAAACTCACAAAAATATGGGGGTTTTCCCAATGACTGAGTCCTCCGGGAGTTGCAAACTCTCAAACTTGTCCACACTGAGCCTCCAGCACAGTCACAGTTCAGGTTGTCTGCTGCAGTATGCCATGACTCCCTGTATTTGTCTGTCTGTCTCTCCAATTTTGGGGGCAGTGGTTTGCCCTGTGTCCTCACCTCTCTAATGGATCCAAGAAAAATTGTTGATTTTTCAGACTGTTCAGCTTTTTATTTATTGTTCAGAAGGAATGGTGACTTCTAAACTCCTCATATATGGAAGTGGAAACCAGAAGTCCAATAATCTGTGTGTTGTCTTTTTATTTTCTTGATGGTGTCCTTTTAAGCACAAAAGGTTTTAATTTTGATGAACTCTAATTTATCTATTTTTTGGTCATTTGTACTTTTGGTGTTCAATTCAAGGCCACAAAGATCTACTCCTATTTTTTCTTCTAAGAATTTGTATAGTTGTAGCTCTCCTATCTTTAGGTCTTTGGTCCATTTGAGTTAATTTTTGTACATGATATGAGGTAGAGATTCAACATCATTCTTTTGCATGTAGATACAGTTGTCCCAATACCATTTGTTGAAAAGACTATTCTTTTCCCATTTAATCATCTTGGCACTTTTATTGAAAATTAAGTGACCACATATGTAAGGGTTTATTTCTGGACTTTCAATTTTATTCCATAGATCTTTATGTCTACCTTTATACATATATGTATATGTACAGTAATCAAGAGATTATGGCCAATACCATAATCTCTTGATTACTGTAGTTTTGTATTAAACTTTGAAATTGGAAAGTGTGAGTAACTGCAAAAATGAATATGTTCTTTTTCAAGACTGGTTTAGTTACTACTTTCAGTTTTGAGTGGTGTGACAGCTGCTCACAGCTCAATCAAATGAATTTCCAATGTTTTCAGCCCTTCCAAAGCCCCATGTCAGGTGGTAAGTTCATAATTACTGACATCATCTATTTCAGCTTTCAGTAAGCACAACCACATTGCATTTGGGTTAGGATCACAGGGCTTGCTATCCCATTGTCAAAATAAACATCCTTTCCCTCACCCTCCTTGGGAAAGTGACCAAAAGCCAAGGTACCATTTTGGTGGCTTGTTTCAATCCTATCACTGTTTGCTTCCAAATAATTAGTTCTACTTTTGTTCATTAAAAATAGGACACTGGGGAACCCTTACTCCTCAGCATCACTCACTACTTTGGTGAGAGCACTTACTATCAGCTCCTGGGAATACTTATATCCCCAACCCGACCTGCAAAGCCTCTGTCCTTCCTCTTTCAGAAAGTCATGTCACTGTTGGCATCCCGTCCTCGTCACTGTAGCTGTCAAGAACTGTGAAGGGCCTGAGAGTTACCCTATTTGCAAGCTAACAAGTTTGCCTTTGCTGCTTCAAGCCCAAGTCTTCTAGGTCAGAAACAGAAGACTTTATCTACTCAGCAAGCATCATTAGCATATTTGCATCAGTTTCCCTGGCCACCGAGTCCCACAGGAACAACGCAGTGGGCCCAAATTTATGCTACACATGCAGTGGGTCTAAGCTGCAGCTGAGGAGTTCAGGCCAAAAGCCTAGCACTTTTTAGGCTATCAGCAAACATTGTGGAAGCAGCAAACAAGCCAGTATTCCTCCCCGCAGGGGTGGGCAATTATATGGTAGTCATGCTGTGGTCATTTTGACAACTTAGTTGCCTGTGTAAGTAGCTGCAGAAACTACTTTTTATCAGAAGACATAAGTCTTGCAGTCTGGCACACTCATCAAGAACATGCAGAGATAATCACGGTTGGTAGTCAACTACTTCTCCCAACAATCCATCCCTCAGCCCTACATGTTCTTGGCTGAACTCAGATTTACACTGAGTATGCCACTCCATCAGCTACTCTGATTAATCTGATGGATGGAGGCTGAGACCAAATTTGTTCCATTTTTCTTATATAGTATGATGGTTAATTGTATGTGTCAACTTGGCTAGGCCATGTTACCCAGATAGTTGGTCAAACATTATTCTAGATATTTCTATGAAGATATTCTTTAGATGAGATTGATATTTAAATTAATAGACTTTGAGTAAAGCAGATTACCCTCCATAATGTGGATGGGCTTCATCCAATCAGTTGAAGACCTTGATAGAGAAAAGACTGGCCTTCCCTGAACAACAACAACAAAAATTCTGCCAGCAGACTGCCTTCAGGCTTGAACTGCAACCTCAGCTCTTCCCTGGGTCTCCACCCTGCCAGCAGCCTACCCTACAGATTTTGGACTTCCCAGCATCCATAATTACCTGAGCCAGTTACTTAAAATCAATCTGTCTGTTTCTTTCTCTCTCTCTCTCTCACTCTCTTTCTCTCTTTCTATATATATATATATATATATATATATATACACACACACATATATATACGTATATATGTATATATACATATATACGTATATATATAATATGTGTGTGTATATATATCTTTGTGTATATCTACACACACACGCACACACGTGTATATATACATACATGTTTATGTATGTATATATGTGTGTATATTTTTTTTGTGTGTATGTATATACATATATATCCTATTAGTATAGGTTCTGTTTCTCTGGAGAACTATGACTAATACATACAGCATTTAATTAAGCACTTATATGAAATACTGAGCATATTACATTGCAGTTCATCTGTTTGTCTTTTTTTCCTCCTTCTCCATGAGGAGGAGAAACATTTGAGTTGAAAGTGACTGAAATCTGATGTGCAGAGACTTTGTTTTTGGTAATCTCTATACTCCTCAGACACAGTAGGTACTCAATAAAAGTTTGATGAGTGAAAGAGGAACTGAGTATGTAAGTGTATGATTGGATTTCTTCAACACTTATAATTACCTTCCCCAACATCTCCATTAAACAAAACTCAAGCTGTCTTTCAAAGTTTATCTCAAAGACCACCAACTCTTTCTTGACGCTTTTCTTGAATTATCCTAAGTGAATGTTTTCTTTTCTGCTTCTAAAAATCATTAACATGTTATCTGTATCCTTTTATGCATGTAGTATATATGGTGTTACCTACAGGTATTTATAGTCATTTGTAAACTTGTCATTATTTCCCTTCCTAGAATATAAGCTCCTTGAGGGTAGGGACTTGATATACTTTTCCTATGTTCTTGCAAGCAGTAAACATCCATACCTAACGTACACTAAAAAATTATTTGCTGAATTGGACTGTCTCAAACCAGAGTAGAAAATCACTGGTGCAAATGTGCTAATTACCCACAGCTGGTCTTAAAGGTGTTTTGATTATTAGTTAGCGGCTCAGATTCCCTTTAGGAAACATGACTTTTTTGCTAATGATCACTTTAACCACTACACATCAATGTAATGACTATTTGTCTTTAAAATTAGCCAAAAAAGAAGGCTGGGAGTATAGCAGCAAGATGGCAGAATAGGACTTTCCAGAGCTTGTCTCCCTGTGGAAACATCCATTTGAACCACAACAATTATGTGTGAAAATACCTTCACAAGAGCTAAGGAAGCCAGGTGAAATATTATAGCACCTAGGTAGAGCACAGAAATAAGACACATTGAACCTCTTCAATATGGAAGGAAGAACAGTTTTATACCACTCCTCCAACCCTAGGCAGCATAGCATTGAAAGAGATACCCTGCACTTGGGGGAAGGAGAGGGAAGTGAACACCAGACTTTGCTTCAGACCCTCAACACCAGGACTGTACCCAATAAAACTGAGCACTGGTCAGGCCCCCATGGGACCAGACTCCAGGCCAGTACCTACAGACTGAGTCTCCAAACCCGCCCTGCACCAGTCAAGACGTCACAGCCCCAGGCTCCAGGCCTGTCCCACTATTGGACTGGCCCTAGTGGTCCTGGGCTTCAGGCCCACCCTGAAGGGCCAGGTCAGGCCAGCCCCAGCAGACACAGTATCCAAACCACCCCTGCAGTCTTAGCCATCAGGATAGCACCGTTCAATTCAGCCTTCAGGCTGGCCACCGTGGATACAGACTCTAGACCCGTCTAGCACCAGCCAGCTCCTGTGGCCTCAGGCTTCAGGACTACCCCAGAACCAGGTTGACACATGTAGCCTTAGGCACCAGGCTGACACCCATGGACACAGAATCTGGGCATGCCCAGTGCCAAGCCAGTCCCTTTGTCCTATCCTTCAGGTCAATCTCTGTGGCCCCAAGCTCCAGCAGACCCAAGGTTTAGGCCATTCTCAGTAGATCCCAGTGCTGGTTGGACCAGTCCCCGTGGACCCAGGCTTCAGGACCACCTCTGTGGACCCAGGTTCCATGATGGCCCCCATGGCCTAAGGATCCAGGTCACCCCTCACAGACCTAGTTTCCAAGCCAGCACCTATACACCCAATCTCCAAGCCAACCCCAGTGGACCCAGGCTTCAGGCCAGTCCCCGTAGCCCTAGGTGCCAGCCAGTACCCATGATCGCAGGCTCTATACCAGCCCTTATAGACCCAGGCTCCATGCCTGCTTCATCACTGGCTAGCCCCAGGATCCAGGCCAGTCCTGATGACACCAGACTCCAGTTGACCCAAGGTCAAGACCCACCCAAGTAGATCCCAGTGCCAGGCCAGCCCCTGTGGGCCTAGGACCCAGGTCTGCCTCCACAGACTCAGGCTTCAGGCCTGTCCCAGCACCAGGTCAGTTGCTGTGGACCAGGACACAGACCCATCTTCCATGAGCTCAGGCTTCAGTCACAACGCTGTGGACCCAGGTATCAGACCCATCCCAGCACCTGGCTGGTCCCAGAAGATTCAGGCTCAAGGCCCACACCAGCACCAGGTCAACCTCTATGGACCCAGTCTTAGACTGGCTGTCATGGATACAGGCTCCAGGTTCATCCCCACAGATACAGGCTCCAGGCCTGCCCTAATTGACCCAATTAATAAGTCTACCACAGTGGATCCAGGATCCAGGCCCAGCCCTGAGGACTTACACCAGGCCTGCTAACCTGACCCAGGCACCAGGTCAGCCTGCCCAAAGACTCCAGCAGCAAGCCCATCTATGGACCACTCCAGACAACCTGCCCAGAATCTCCAGATGGGCTGACTGGTAAAGCCACTCTGCAGCAAATAGAATAAGTCCTTACTTCTTCAAAATGTGCAGATATCAACCTAAGGCAACAGGTAACATATAAAAACAAGGTGACATACCACCAAAAGAACACAATAAGACAAGTTGTTTGAAAATATACTGTCAGAGGTGGAAAAAAGAAAAAAAAAAGAATGAAAGGGAATGAAGAAAGCCTATGGGATCCATGGGACAGCATCAAAAGAGCAATTTTTTTTTTTTTTTTTTTTTTTTTTTTGAGATGGAGTCTCACTCTGTCACCCAGGCTGGAGTGCAGTGGCATGATCTCGGCTCACTGCAACCTCCACCTCCTGGGTTGAAGCAATTCTCCCACCTCAGCCTCCTGAGTAGCTTGGATTACAGCCACGCACCACCATGCCCAGCTAATTTTTGTATTTTTAGTAGAGACGGGGTCTCACCATATTGGCCAAGCTGGTCTCAAACTCCTGACCTCAAATGCCTGCCTCAGCCTCCCATGATGCTGGGATTACAGGTGTAAGTCAACACATGCGGATGAGCAATTTTTTTTTTTTTTCTTGAGACAGAGTCTCGCTCTGTTGCCCAGGCTGGAGTGCAGTGGCACAATCTCGGCTCACTGCAACCTCTGCCTCCTGGGTTCAAACGATTCTTCTGCCTCAGCCTCCCAAGTAGCTGGGACTACAGGCACATGCCACCACATCCGGCTATTTTTCTTTTTTTTTTTTTTAGTAGAAACAGGGTTTCACCATGTTGACAAGGCTGGTCTCGAACTCCTGAGCTCAGGCAATCCACCCGCCTTGGCCTTCCAAAGTGCTGGGATTACAGGTGTGAGCCGTGGCACATGGCCACAAATTTTTTAATTGTAGAAGTTCAAGGGGGAGCAAAGGGACAAAGGAATAGAAATTTTACTTAAAGAAATAATAGCAGAAAACATTCCTTATCCAAATCTGGGAAAAGATATAAATATCCAAGTACAGGAAGGCCAAAGGTCTCTGATATTGTTTGGCTGTGTCCCCACCCAAATCTCATCTTGAATTGTAGTTCCCGTAATCCCCATGTGTTGTAGGAGGGACCTGGTGGGAGGTAATTGAATCATGGGGGCAGTTTCCCCCATGCTGTTCTCATGATAGTGAGTAAGTTCTCATGAGAGCTGATGGTTTTATAAGGGACTTTCCCCCCTTTTGCTTGGCACTTCTCCTTGCTGCCACCATGTAAAGAAGGACGTGTTTGTTTCCCCTTCCACCATATTGTAAGTTTTCTGAGGCCTCCCCACTCATGCTGAACTGTGAGTCAATTAAACCTCTTTCCTTTATAAATTACCCAGTCTCAGGTATGTCTTTATTAACAGTATGAGAACGAATTAATACAGTCTCCAGTCAGATTCACTCCACACAAGACTACACTAAGATATATTATAATTAAATTGTCAAAAATCAAAGACAAAAAGTAGTTATTGAAAGCAGCAAGAAAAAAGAAGCAAATCGCATATAAGGGAGTTCCAATAAGGATAGCAGCAGACTTCTCAGCAGAAACATTACAGGCCAGGAGACAGTGTGATGATACATTCAAAGTGCTGAAGAAATAAAAACAACAAAAAAACCTGCCAACCAAGAATACTTTACCCAGGAAAGTTGCACTTCAGAAATAAATGAAAGATAGACTTTCCCAGACAAACAAAAGCTAAGGGAGTTCATTATTACCACTAGACCTACCTTAGCAAAAATGCTAAAGGGATGCTTCAAGCTGAAAAAAAAAAAGGATGCTAATTAGTAACGTGAAAACATAGGGTAAAAATCACTGGTAAAAGTAAATATAGAGTCAAGTTCAGAATACTTTAATACTGTAATGGTGTTGTGTAAACCATTTATATCTTTAAAATGAAGATTAAAAAACTACTAAAAATAACAATAGCAACAATAATTTGTTAGGGGATACACAATATAAAAATATTTAAATTGTTGTATCAAAATTATAAAATGTGGGAGCAGAGAGTAAAAGTGTAGGTTTTTTGTGATCAAAGTTTATTTGTTCTAATACCAAAGCCAGATAAGGTCACTAAAAGGGAAAGGAAAATATAGGCCAATATTCCTGATGCATATAGATGCAAAAGTCACCTAAAAAATACTGGCAAACCAAATTCAACAGCACGTTAAAAGGATTATTTATCATGATCAACTGGGATTTATCCCAGGGATGCAAGAATGGTTCAACATGCATAAATCTATAAAGGTAATACACTACATTAACAGAATGAAGGACAAAAAACATATAATCATTTCAATAGATGTAGAAAAAGCATATGACAAAACTCAACATTGTTTCATGATGAAAACTCTCAACAATTAGGTATACAAAGAATGTATCGCAAAACAATAGAGTCCATATATGACAAACCCACAGCTAACATTATACTCCATGGTGAAAAGTTGAAAGCTTTTCCTCTAAGATCAGGAAAAAGGCAAGAATGTCCACTCTCACCATTTCTACTCAACATAGTATTGGAAGTCCTAGCCAGGACAGTTAGGCAAGAGAAAGAAAGCAAAAGCATCCACATTGGAAAATAATAAGTTAAATTGTTCCTTTTTGCAGATGACATGATCTTATATAAGGAAATCCTAAAGACTCCACTAAAAAAACCATTAGAACTAATAAATTGATTCAGTAAAATTGCAGGATATAAAACCAATATATAAAAATAGTAGCATATTAATATACTAACAAGAAACTATCTGAAAAAGAATCAAGAAAATAATCTCATTTGGCCGGGTGTGGTGGCTCACGCCTGTAATCCCACCACTTTGGGAGGCTGAGGCGGGTGGATCACGAGGTCAGGAGAGCGAGACCATCCTGGCTAACACAGTGAAACCCCATCTCTACTAAAAATACAAAAAAATTTGCCAGGTGTGGTGGTGGGCATCTGTAGTCCCAGCTACTCAGGAGGCTGAGGCAGGAGAATGGCGTGAACCCGGGAGGCGGAGCTTGCAGTGAGCCGAGATTGCACCACTGCACTCCAGCCTGGGTGACAGAGCGAGACTCCGTCTCAAAAAAAAAAAAAAAAAAAAAAATCTCATTTATAATAGCTACAGAAATACTTAGGAATAAATTTAACCAAGGAGGTAAAAGACCTATATCCTGAAAACTATAAAACATTGATGAAAAAAATTGAAGAAGACACAAATAAATGGAAAGATCTCTTGTGTTCATGGATTGGAAGAATTACATGTTCATACTACCCAAAGTGATGTGCAGATTTAATGCAATCTCTATCAAAATTCATCCTATCAAAAAAGAACATCCTTTGCACACTGTTGGTGGGAATGTAAATTAGTACAGTCATTATTGGAAAACAGTATGGAGGTTCCTCAAAATAATAAAAATAAGCTACCATATGACCCAGAAATCTTGCTGGTAGATATATATCCAAAGGAAATGAAATCAATACATTGAAGAGATATCTGCCCTTCCATGATCATTGCAGCATTACTTACAATAGCCAAGATATGGAAACAATCTAAGTGTCCATCAACAGATGAATGGATAAATAAAATGTGGTATATATACACAATAGAATACTACTCAGCCTTAAAAAGAAGGGAATCCTGTCATTTGAGACAACATGGATAAACTTGGAGGAGGACATTATGGTAAGTGAAATAAGCTAGGCACACAAAGACAAATACCACATGATGGCACTTATATGGAAAATAATAAGTTAAATTGTTCCTTTTTGCAGATGACATGATCTTATATAAGGAAATCCTAAAGACTCCACTAAAAAAACCATTAGAACTAATAAATTTATTCAGATATATAGATATATATCTGAATTGATATTTGGATATAATCTAATAAATTGAATCTTAAAAAGTTGAATTCATAGGAGCAGAGAGTATAATGGTGTATATCATGGGCTTGTGGTGGGGAAGGGGAGGCGGGGTAGGGAAATGTTAGTCAAAGGATACAAAATGTCAATTCCATAAGAGGAATAGTTTTAAGTTATCTATGTACAATGTGGCAGCTCTAGTTAATAAAAATGTATTCTTGAAAATCACTAAGAATATATTTGTGTTCTCACCACAAAAAATGAAAAGTATGTGAGCTAATACATATGTTAATTAGCTTGATTTAGCTGTTTCACAATATATACATATTATACATATTTCAAAACATGTTGCACACCAAAAATATATGTATAATTTTTATTTGTCAATTTAAAAATGAGCCAATAACTAGATATTTATAGAGATACATGTGAAAGATATTTAAATAGTATATACCAAAAGTTCAGAGACCTGAAAAGCATGGGTATTGATTTGTTCTGGAAATCTTAGTTCACAAACCTCATTTTCATTTTTATTTTTTGTGTTACCCTGAAATGAGAGCCTGCTGTATGCCAAGAAGGAACTAAAACATCTCATACTATGTTTTTTAAATCCTTAATATAACTGGAGATATTGTCTTCAATCTATTGTTAAGAAAAGGAAGACCCCAACAATGTAGGTAATTTACCCAGAGATCACTCACAGCCTACCCTGTCTTCATATCTTACTCACCTCTAAACTCTATGAAGCCCATCTCAGCAATGTGTCTCAAATCCAAGCCATCCACTGTCATTACTTTAGTCTCTGTCATCAGTCAGAGCCTCTATATTTCTTGTCTGGATCATCACAGCAGTCTTCTGAATCTTCCCCTGCCTATAGTTTCTTTCACTTCCAATCTGTCTTCCACATTATCATAGTTAAACATATGATTATATCATTCTTTGTATTTAAAAAAAAAAACCTTCGTTGGATCCCCTTTGCCTACATAATGCCCCAGACTCCTAAGCATGCCATCCAACGCTTTCCATAATCTGGATTTTCGCTGCCTTTGGAATCTTATTCCAATGAGCCAGTCCCAGATTGCATGTCTTCCACTGTAGCCACCTACTCTTAATTACCCACAACATACTCAGTAATTCCTAAGTGCAGCCATATTTCCATATTCCCTGATGTCTCCAATAGGAATTTCTGGTTCTTTCATAGCACTTTGATTATATGTTACATTTAGTTCCTTCTATCATAGTTTAAATAGATGGATCAATTTTTCCTTTTAAACAATGAGCAAATTGAAGGCAGGAAATATTATGACTTATTGTACCTAGCACATAAGAGGTACATAGTGAAGTATTATTAAATTGGCTGGGATTAAATTGAAATGAGTTTTAATTTTGAATGAATCAGCCATTAGAAGCCATAGCCCACTCTGAGGAGCAGTTATAGCTGCTGCATAAAAGAATCCTGATGATAAATTATTTAATCACTCTCTATACTGTAAGATACCCTCCATTCAGGCAGTTATATATCAACTATAAAATGGACAGAATGGCATCTCAGATATTCAGGATGACTTTTTGAAGTATCTTGCCAGCACTGAAAAGCACCTGGGTAGAGTTCCATACCAACTCAAATAAAACGCAAGAAGGAATTTGAAGGGCAAGAGAGGTAGCTTGCCAAATGTAATGTCTTAGAAACACCAATTCAATGACTTCTATATAAATTAATCATAAGCATGTGGATTAAATTTCCCCCAGAAAACACATGTTTAGGCTCTCTCTGGACCACAAAAAATTGAAAAATGATTGGAGATATTTCCTGAGCTCAAAGACTGAGAAGGAGCAGGTCTTTACTTCTTTAACTGCACATAATAATGCAATAGATAAATTATCCAGGGGGTCTGGGGAAGTTAAAAATATGGACAGGAAATAAGAAAATGAGATTTAGCTTGAAAATATTTTCCAGATACATTTGGGACAAATAATCAGAAATAGAGGATTTTTGTTTGAGGGAGAACCCAATAAAGTTACGTAAACTATAAGACATTTAGGGTGATTTCTAGTTGGCATGGTCCATGTGACAGAAGGCTGGTTATTCTGATTCCTGAGGATGCAAGAGGAAAGGCCCTGAACTATGGAATATGAAATCATACCCATTGCCCACAGAGTGTGAACAAGGTCTTCACTTTGGTTATATCAAGATTTACCTGGTGTAGAAAAGGTTTAACTAAAATCAGATTAATTTCTCCAGGTAACTCAAGGAAATGAATGACCAAAGTCAAGACTGTAGCAGTCTTTGAGCATGGATTACAGAAGCAAAATGGAGTCTGAGATCCAAACCAAGAGAAACTGAAGCTTAAGTTCCAACAGGATACCTTCTTTAGGGAAGGACACAATCTGTTTGAAGCTGTAAATGCATCATGAGCCATCCACAGGAGTCTTGCCTAAAAGTGTTTTATCCTTTCCTTGTCATTTGGAAACACTTTTAAAGAGATCAAATATTCATCCAAATAGGCCAATAAGCCAAACTGAAGTATAGTGATCACAGGCAAGCTCTGACCTTGAAAACTGGGCCGTGTAATGCAGTGTTATACGTGCGCTGATACATTGAAATGAAGACGAAATGCTCTAATGCCAAGGAAATGCAAAGGGGCTTTCTTCAAGTCTAGAAAAAAGGGTTAAAGAAAATAATCAATTTCTTTTTACAAGGCAGGATATCCTGATTTATTTATTTATTTTATTTTATTTTATTTTGAGATAGAGTCTCACTGTGTCGCCCAGGCTGGAGTGCAGTGGTGTGATCTCAGCTGACTACAACCTCTGCCTCCCAGGTTCAAGCAGTTCTCGTGCCTCAACTCCCAAGTAGCTGGGATTATGGGCGCACACTACCACGCCTGGCTAATTTTTGTATTTTTAATAGAGACAGGGCTTTGCCATGTTGCCCAGGCTGGTCTCGAACTCCTAGCCTCAGGTGATCTGCCCCTGTCAGCCTCCCAAAGTGCTGGGATTACAGACATGAGCCACCATGCCTGGCCAATATCCTGATCTTATACATGTCTCTGGATGCCAATTAATTGTGAGAAGAATGATGATCAATGATATTAATGACCTTTTACATTTGTACAGTGCTCTGCCATTTACGTGGTGCTCCATGTAAATTGTCCCATAGTCTTCTCAGTAACTACCAGGTAATATTACTATCTCATTTTTGCAGATGAATAAATTGGAGCACAGAAATGATAAATAATTTGCTAGCTAGTGGCAGTGTCAGGGGCTCTTCTTTTTTTTTGATCCCTATTTCACCGTTCTTCCTGTATCTAAATAAATGTATATAGCTCATAGGTATAACTGTACAGGGAAGATTACTATAGCTTGTTCAGAGTCTCTTGACGTAATTTACATCCCTTGTTGACTGGATTAATTGGATGGTCTAAGCATTTTACATATATTAATGCATTTAATGCTCACAACAACACTATGAGGTAGACCTTATTATTGCCTTCATTTAAAAAAATCTTTCCATCTCATTTATTTATTTTTTAAAGGTAGAGAAACTCAGACACAAAGGAATTAAGTGACTCTCCCACTGGCTAGTAAGTGGAGGGGCTGGAATTCAAATCCAGGCAGTCTGGCTCCAGAAACCACTCTGTAACCACTAGACTGTATTGAACTTAGAAGCTACTTTATCATAAATTTCATTTTCCTGGTGTGGGAAAGCTATTGGAAGTTGGCATACAATCCTGGGTGTATCTAATCCTGGTGTACAGATTTCAATTTACTGCATGTTTCTGTACTGGAGAAATGCTTATGTGACATGTCTATCAACAGATAAGCGCATCATGGCTCCAACCTAGACAAAACTCTTTTCTCAGCCACTAGTGACTGTTGAGTCCTGAATGAAAAAGAGAATCCGAAAATGAAAGAATAAAGGGTGATATTTAAACAAGACAATGTTTGAATGATATGACCCCTAGAAGCATAACCAGAGATTCCCACCCAGGCTGGAGTGCAGTGGTGCAATCTTGGCTCCGGTGCAAGCTCCGCCTCCTGGGTTCACACCATTCTCCTGCCTCAGCCTCCTGAGTAGCTGGGACTACAGGTGCCTGCCTCACCCTTGGCTAATTTTTTTGTATTTTTAGTAAAGACGGGGTTTCACCATGTTAGCCAGGATGGTCTCAATCTCCTGACCTCGTGATCCACCTGCCTCGGCCTCCCAAAGTGCTGGGATTGCAGGCATGAGCCACCACGCCTGGGCGAAAGTTATCTTTTATGACTAAGGCTTTGGGGGTTGGTGTTAGAACATGCAGTAAACCCCTTCTTTACTCTCTTACTTTTCTGTTCTTGCTTTGTAGAGAAGTAGTGATCAGGGAACTTGGACCCAACAGCTGACTTTCTAATTAACCTCATCTCTTTGTTTAAACCTATCAGCATAAGGGAGATAAGGTAGGGAAAATTGCGAATATCTGGATAGTTGAATCACAGCTGCCAGCGGCCTTCTCCTGACAGGATGACTAAATTCTGTATAATTCCAAGAGGGGTTTGAGTCAAAGATGAGGATTCAAGGGAATGAAAAGAACCATTCCAGTCATGGCTGAGGACAAAAGTGGAGTCTTATCAAGCAGTTATGTGTTAACAGTGTGAAGTTACTATGAAGGGAATATAGGTAACTTGCAAATACTTTTAGGGAGAGCAGTCTGGATGGTGACAGGGTGATGGATCATATGATGTGACTGTGGATTAAAAGTTCTAGAGAAGGTAGACCAACGAAGGACAAGCTCACAGGGGAGACAAAGGTTGTCTTCTGACATCTGAAAGGCTGTCATGTATGAGAGGGCTGATTTCTTTTATTGGGCATAGATTTCTTGTAGGGCACAGAACTGCACTCCTGGGTGGAAACTAAAAGGAGGAAGATTTCAACTCATGCTAAAAAGTGATGAGCCAGGATTGGAAGCATGAAGTCTCATCCCAGGGCTCATCATCTTGACCACTATTTGTTAGATTCCAGCCCAAGCTGAGGTCTGAGGGGAGTCAGTGGGGTGGCAGGTAGCTGAAAGAACACTCAAGAGACCACAGATAGGTGGGACATGGCTTTATTCAGCAGCTCACTCAACTGTCAGTGCTGCATTTATGCACCTCACAGACAACAGTGGCTCACAGCCAGGTGATGAGCCCTCGGATGTTATGACTACACAGCTGTGATTATACAATGCATGGGATTGTGCGCCTGAGTTCCAATCCTGCTGTGTCATGCTGTGCCAGATGTGTACCTTGGCCTATACTTGACTGCAGTGCACCCATCGTCCTTACACTATGTTATTTTAACAGGAAGCCTTGAATTCATATTCTACCAATCAGATATTTTTTTAAAAACACACTTTATTTCATGGATTGATCACTCTTGAGCCCCTAACTCTGCTTGGAAATAACAAAATCACAATAACTACAACAACAAAAATCAACTTTCCAGTTAAAGGTAGCTCAGTTTTTTCTTTCTGGTAATTTTTCATGTTTTGTCGAGTTTTGAACTCTTTCTCCTTTTTTTCCTTCTAGATGCCATCTAGGTACTAAGAGCTGCTAACACCATGTGCTGGCACTGGGCAGGGGCCTTGTGGCTCATGTGCTATCATCTGGTTACTTACTGGCCTTCACTCAGTCATCCCCATCCCTGATTACTTGGTGCACTACACTGGTGTTTACTGAGCTGTGCTGGGTGCTGTTAGATCTTTTTGGCTTTGTCTCGGTGCCTGCTGTTGAGCATGAGCGTTACCATTGCTCCATGTTAAGCTGTCCGTATTTTGAGACTTCCTTGTACTGTCACCAAGATTATTTCAGAAAGCCAGTCACCTCAGCAGTCCTCTGTGGCTTCACAGAGCACATAGGAACTTGTGGATCTCCTGCAGGAAAGCAAAGGCCGTGGCAGACTAGAAGCACTGACTTCGGTCTTGTCTTGCAGAATCACACCAAGACACTGTTTCTGTGCCACTGTAGCTGCCCTAGGTTGGTAAAGTCTCCCCGCAGCTCCATATGAAAAGTCAAACACTTGCATGCCTGTCTTTCAGTTTCTCCTTCTCCCTGGCCTGAAAATTAGTAGGATAAACACTGGGCCTCTTTTCTGTGATGCAGGCAATGTCCTGGCCCTGGTCTCATCCCCTCCAAACTTTCCCTACATCATATCCTCAATCCTCTCTAAGGCTTCTAGTGAAATATTATGTCAGACCTCCAAGCTTTGCTGTGTTAAGAAAAGCTTTGACAATTTAGAGAGAAAAAACTTACTTAATAAAATCTGTTTTCCAAGACTTTGCCTGAATAAATGTTTTTAGGCTAATTTGAAACTCAAAGCTGGATATTGACCTTTTTGTTCTAAGTAGTATCTGACCTTCTGAAGAAGCTTGGATGTCCTCAATTCAATAGATAAAGAGCTGAAGGGCAGCATGATATATAGAGAATGAAAGCTAAAACTGGTTACAGAGAATGAAAACTGAATTAGCTATTTCATGTATTCTTTTGTTTCAGTGAAATATTTTACAATTTTAAAAAGTTTAAAACATTGGTTTAAGATCTCTAAATATCATTCTCATGACACTTTACTGTTTTCTGGAGTAAAGAAAATCAACCAGAGAATGTTAGCATAAGCCTTTACTCAAAAATGCCAGGTCAAAGAAGGTTCTGAAGGAGCATTTTAACTTGGGGAAGGAGGGCAGAAGTGTTTATAGGGATTCAGAAGGAGGGGTGAACTGAAGTTCATCTAGTTTCAGAAATATTTGGATCAAGACAGTTCTCAGAAGAGGAGGAATTGTACTCAAGAGTTAGCAGCCATTGTTTGGTAACTTGAATTTTTTATTAAGAGGAGTAGAAAGGAACAGCTGTGGGAGGACAAGGGCATGCTAGGGACATGTGGAAAATTTTCTGGCCCTAAGTGTCTTGCCTCTTAATTTACAAAGTAGAAACATGTATCAGTTGCTCTTTTCAGCATGTATGAGGCTGTTTCCTGAGCAACTGTTCTGATGATATGGCCATAACCTGCCTGAGTGCTCAATCTCTTGCAGGTTTAAATTTGCAGATTTTTTTCCGAATCATGATATGACTCACAGAGCTTTGGACAGAGTAGGCTTTCAATCAGCGTGTGCTTTGCTCTGCTCTGCTGAGAAGAGGCTTTGCCTTTGAAAAACTCACTAAACAATGAGTGAGACAGATATAAACAAGTCATTCAAATGAAAGTATGTTCAGAGTGTTGTGAAATTTCAGGGAAGAAACTGGCATTTTTACAGAGGGTATAATATTTGATCCATGCCTTGAAGGATGATAATGATGATAATGATAAAGATAATAATAATATAAGCTATGGTTTATTAAGACATTTCATATGCTAGCCATCTTATAAATACCTTATCTCAAATCCTTCAAATCTCCTGCTGAGGTTGATCATATTTACTTAAGAAGACAGGAAGTTTACAAAGGTCAAGTTACCTGTCCAAAGCCAAATTTATAAATGGCAACCCTCAGGTTTGAGCACAGAACAATCTGGCCCCAAAGCCCACCATTATTCCTCTGCGCCAATGTTTCCCAAAGTGTGGAGCACCCACGACTGATGATACCGGAGAGGAATCTAGGTATCCGACTGTGAGTAGGAGAAACATGGCATGGTATTATATAACATTGAATCCCACCGTGGGAGAATTATTTCCTTTTCATTATTCTGATCAAGTCTAAGAGGAAGTTTCAGTTTGTTGGAGTATGTCCTCAACTCTTTAATCTTGCAATCTCCTATTTTACAAAGAGTCTCAGAATCAGAGCATTTGTTAGCTTTCTAGCTAGAATATAACAACGTATTTTTTCCAGAGTATTTGTTTTTATGGTTACTTTCTAATTATGGAAAGTAATGCTATTTAAATTTTTACATAATTTGATATTAAGTTTCCCATTTATATGCTTAAATTAAGAAAAAACATTTAAACAAGTATTAGAAAAACACCAGTGGAAATGGATGTAGAAGGTGTAATAGTGGCCTATGTGAATGTCGTTTAGGACATTAAAGCACAGAATGCCTGGCTGAAAAGAATTTCACTAGATAAACAGGGATGGTGGAACATAGCTGTTGGTGGTAAGAGGGAAAAGAGCACTCCAAGGATAGAAAATGACTCATAAACTCAGAAATATGTCAAAATACGATGCATCTGCAAACAGTGAACAGTTTGGGGAACTAAGATATGCATGGTAGATACTGAGGCATGAACCTGGCAATTCTATTGTATATGAATCCTTTACTTTTTACAATTTCCTAATAGAGATGTAAGTTACATTAAATAGTGTCCATGTCTTTTTTGTTGTCTACTGTGAACTCTCTTTCCCTTTGTATCAATGTTATGCCATAATAATTGGAATTAGAATAATTGGAATAATAATTGTAAAGCTTCATTTATATAAGTAGGTAAGAGATTAAGGACTTTTTTTTTTTTTTTTTTTTGAGACACAGTCTTGCTCTGTCACCCTGGCTGGAGTGTAATGGGGCAATCTCAGCTCACCAAAACCTCTGCCTCCCGGGTTCAAGCAATTCTCCTGCTTCAGCCTCCCGAGTAGCTGGGATCACAGGTGCCCACCATCATGCCCAGCTAATTTTTGTATTTTTAGTAGAGACAGGGTTTCACCACGTTGGCCAGGCTGGTCTCAAATTCCTGACTTCAGGTGATCCACCCACCTCGGCCTCCCAAAGTGCTGGGATTACAGGCGTGAGCCACTGCGCCCGGCCTTAATAAGTTTTTACTTACCAAAAACATACTTCTTTAGCATAAAACATTTGGCATCAAATAAACATTAGGTGACTGTTCCTTTGAAAATACACTACTGTAGGCCGGGCTTGGTGGCTCATGCCTGTAATCCCAGCACTTTGGGAGGCTGAGGCGAGCAGATCACAAGGTCAAGAGATTGAGACCATCCTGGCCAAATGGTGAAACCCCATCTCTACTAAAAATACAAAAAATTAGCTGGGTGTGGTGGCGCACACCTGTAATCCCAGCTACTTGGGAGGCTGAGGCAGAAGAATCACTTGAACCTGGGAGGTGGAGGTCGCAGTGAGCCAAGATCACGCCACTGTACTCCAGCCTAGGTGATAGAGTGAGATTCCATCTCAAAAAAAAAAAAAGACACTACTTTAAAACAACTTTTAAAATAAAGAAGCGCTTTTGGTAGAACTTGGTACCTTTCTTACTGATTATAACTTTTCATGTAGCATCTAACCCAAGACTCAGAGCAAACTATGTGATTTAAGTCATCCTGGTCATGGCTTAGCCATACAACCCCCATGTAGCACCAGTAGACCAAACTGCAGAGGATTTTGGGGGGATTGAGTAGGTAGATTATTGGAAAGCTCTCAGAGAACTTATAGTCTAATAGAAAATTTAAATTATGTTTTCTTTGTTTTTCTCATTCTACTACTCTAATATTTTGTGACTTTAAGCAAGATTCTTCTTAGTACTACAGGAGCCTTTTACTACTCACTCCTAGGCAGGTCTGACCATCCAGGTAGGGAGGCAAGACACCTGTCTATACATGTATGTGGGGTTGCAGGCTTCCTTTCACAAATATCCACTGTCAAATCTTAGCTTTCCCAGAATATCTCCAAAGCAACCTGTTGTTAAGGCAAAACTGAGTTTGTTTTTGCTGGTGGAGAAAACACTATCTAAACAGACTCTTGGTAGCATCTTAGAATGGGGAAGGCAAAGTTAGAATATTTATGGGAGTTTTGAAGTCTGGTTTATCCTGGGTCTTAGTTAAGATTAGCTAAGGATTATGATATAATGGTTTAGTATTAGTGAATGGCCAGGTGGGGATTTTGAGGTGAGGAGTTCAAAGGAGACTTGAGGTGCAAACTATTGTTTGCTACTTTCTGTTGAGGGGTTGATGGATTTTTCAGGAAGTTCCTGGAATCCACAATTAAATTATTTGCAGCTTTTATCTTCCTGACCAGGAGTTTTCTGGAATAGGAAAGCTACATTGATGAAGACATTGGAATGGTAAAGTCAGGTTACTAAGGACAGTAAGAGGTGTGGCTATAGTTTTGATTCCTGCAACCCAACCATCCAATTTCTTATTTCTGCCCTTACACAGGGGAAGATTCAGTCCAGTGAAGGCTTTTTGGTCCTCAGCATAGTACAACCAAAAGTACATAGATTTTGGAGTTAATGTATGTTTTATGCTCAGTGCTCAGTGCATGTTTACTCCCTTCACACTCTTTTTACCCCCTACTTTCAAAGACTTCTATTAAGATGTGGAGCAACTGGAACCCTCCTACATCGCTGGTAAGATTGTAAAGAGGTGCAGCCACTTTGAAAAAACAGTTTTGCAGTGTTTCAAAAAGTTAAACAGAGTTACCATATGCCCCAGCATTTCCATTGCTAGGTATATACCCAAGAGAATTAAAAACACATGTCCACACAAAAGCCTGTAGGTGATTTTTTATAGCAGCACTACTCACAGTTGCTAAAAAGTGGAAACAGCCCAAATGTTCATCAACTGGTGATAAAGAGGTAAATGAAATGTGGTATGTCCATGCAATAGAATATTATTTAGCAATAAAAGGAACAAAGTTCCATGCTACAGCGTGGATGAACCTTAAAAAATTATGCTATATGAAATGTCCAGAATAGGTGAATACATAGAGACAGAAAGTAGTGTGAACATGAAATAAATATGAGTGATGAATCTTCAAGCAAAGGGTTTATTTAGAAATAATATACAAGAATTATAATTTGGGGCACACAAACCAGGGAGCTGTTAGGTATGTCCTAGAACAAAGGGAAAGCCTGGGGTTTTATTGGGGGAAAAGAGGAAGGTTACATACGTTATTTTGAAATAAAGTTAACTGGTGTGGGCATTGTTTTGCAGGAGCAGGCAAGTTCTGATTGGTGAATGGCAGCAGTTTCTAGGTAAAACTTGTATTTTAAAGGCATAGTGTTACCAGTGGATGGTGTCTGGGTTCTTGGCATTTTGAACAAAGAATTGGACAAAACACACAACCAAAGCAATGAAAGAAAAGCACAGATTTATTGAAACGAAAGTACACTCTACAGAGGGGGAGTTAGCTCGAGCAAGCGGCTCAAGAACACTGGTTACAGAATTTTCTGGGGTTTAAATACCCTCTAAGAGGTTTCCCACTGGTTAATTGGTGTACGCCTATGTAAATGAAGAGGATGAAGTGAAGTTACAAAGTTATTTACTTGGGTGTAGAAGATCAGGGTTTTTCCCTTTGATTTAGTTCTAGGAAGTTCTTAGGTTCCCTGCCTCCAGACCCTATTCTCCTGCCTCAATAGCAGGCTGATGCAGTTTTGGATTGGACTTGGAAGACAGTTCCCGGAGTAGGCATTTGTGACCTGCTTCCCTATGCCCCCCTAGTCTTCGTTGGTTGGGTATGACAAAAATGAGTCCATTTTGTATAATCAGTTTGCAGAGTAGATAAGTGATTACCTGGGGCCAGGGATTGCAGAGGAGAAAACGGTTGGGGGTGGCAGGGGGTACAGAAATAGGGAATGACTATGAATAGTTATGGAATTTCTTTTGTGGGTGATGAAAATGTTCCAAAATTGATTATGGTGATGGTTACACTACTGTAGACATACTAATTGGGTTATAAACACTAAATGGGTGAATTATATGATATGTGAATTATATCTTAATAAAGGTATTTACTTTAAAGTAAAGGCTCCTGTAAAATGTAAATACTCCATAGAGACAGTTATGCCATAAAAGAATACGTTAACTGACTGCAGAGAGCAAAACTTCAGAAGTGGAATCTTGAATTGGCAAAGCTAGGGTGAGGCCTGGGAAGGGACAGGGCTTGAAAGACGAGACACAGATGGAGCTGATGAACTGGTGCCACACTCATCTGCTTCACAGTACTGCCTGGTCTTGCCCTAGCAACCTGCCAAGTCATGCATGGGCATGCTTAGTGTATTTGGCACCCAGAAGGGGATCATTTTTCAACATCCCCTTCCTCAATATGACAGTTAGTCATAGTGATAATCTGTAATAGTATTATTTTCTTGATTCCTTTTATAGTATTAAAACAGTTGACAATTTAAAAGAGCAAATACATTTCTATTTTAAAGATCTTTCTATTTAAAGGTATTGTTCCATTTCAGTAAAACATTTTAGTGTAAACCAAAACTTGCATTTGTCCAACAGAAATAGAGCATAGCTTGTACTCTTTCCGTTTACATTTTCAACACAAAATCTCTAAGTGGCCACATAAATTGACAGAGTTGAAATAACTCTAGTTCTGTTTTTTCATCTTTAAGATCACGATGCTATCATGGTTTATTTCGAACCCTCTGTTTAAGTGCAGGAGGATGTAGTACCATTAGGAGTTGGAGATGTGAAGTCCTGGCTGGAGAAGAGCTTGCACAATGTCAAACAGCTCACACAGTCACAAATTCATTCTCACAAGGAACATGTGTGTGTAGGGGACCCACTAAACAACTGGGAGTTCTTGGAATTGACTTTCATCTAGAGTACAATATTTACTAAAGGATAAATTATTAAAATGTGCTAATTTGAAGCTTACACACATATTATTAAAACTCAACAGAAACCACAGGGGTTGTTTAGAAGTTAGAACCAACAAAAGATTGTTTCAGGGAGGAGTATTTTATGACTGGCAACGTTTAGAATTGTTGGCACATGGCAATAATAAAAAGCAGACTGACTTTTATTTCGTTTTATAATTGCTTTAAAAATCTCTACACACAATGTATCCCTCTCAATGCCTGTACCAAGGGTGGACTATTCCCACTACCCTACACGTGGGATGCCACAGTTGCATAAGCCTGCATGGATTTAATCATATCTGTGGTAAATGATTCCTTATACATTCTGACAGCTGTACTTACTGTGATTCAAATATGTTAACTAATAGTAAAAATATATATATTATTTAAATCTAAATTACTATTAGTCTGTTATATGACCCTAGCCCTGGAATTCAAAGGTAAATTTTTATCAAATCTCTGACTTATAGAGGCTCTAAAGCCCACACTAAGTTGTTGTTAAGTTAAAATGGATTTGTCAAGGTAAAAATTGGTTTTGATCATTAAGAAGAAAAGACTAACTTTTATAAACTACTTATAGCCAGATGTTGAGCTCTTGGGACACCCAACACAAATTTTGTTTTTAAATGTTGAAAATATTTTAATATAAAAAATAGCACATAAAAAGATGAATAGACTGGGCACAGTGGCTCACACCTGTATTCCCAACACTTTGGGAAGTCGAGGTGGGTGGATTGGTGAAACCCTATCTCTATTAAAAACACAAAAATTAGCCAGGCGTGTTGGCACGCACCTATAATCCCAGCTACTCAGGAGGCTGAGGCAAGAAAATCACTTGAACCCAGGAGGCAGAGGTTGCAGTGAGCTGAGATCACGGGACCACACTCCAGCCTGGGCTACAGAACAAGACTCAGTCTCAAAAAAAAAAAGAAAGATGAATAATAATTATCAAATAATTTTAATAATGCCACATAAAAGCCATATATATATATTTTATATATATCATGTTTATCACACACACACACACACACACACACACATATATATATATAAAACCAAGCACAACTTGACTAAACAGATTTGGGGAAGAAACATAACTCTTCTTGATAGGTATTCAGCTCAGTTTATAGAAGTAGGAATGTGGGCAAACCAGTGAATAGCCTAATAGCCATGAGCATTCAGCATGTATACATACTGGAAAGTGTCTGTTGATCCAATAAGTTGGTTGATGGAAGTCAGCTAAGAGAGCCCACAGTGTATTATATTCAGAAACCAGCACAGCAAGCTACATTATATATTAAAAGCAGGAACAATGAAAATGTAAGGACCTCTTGGAAATTAAAAATATAATTCCCAAGCAAAAATAATAATAAAAGGACTGGAAAATGAAATAGAGAAAAGTCCCCAAATACAGAACATAAAGAAAAACAAAAAGATACAAAATATTGAAAGAAAAGTTATAAAATGGAGATGAGAAGGTTCCCCTATTTCACTAGTAGATGTGGAGAAGGAGAGAACAGAGGAGAGAAAATGATCAAGGAAATAATGCAAGAAAATATCCCATAACTGAATATGCCCCTGGGTTGAAGGGATATAAAAGTCTTGATATTTGAAGGGCCTAGTAAATTTCAAGCAGAATGAAAGAAAACCAATCCACATGTAAACACATCACTGAAAAAAATTTTAAAAACCAAGAATAAATAGAAGGTACTGAAACCTTCCAGAGAGAAAAAGGAGTAAGGCTAAGATTGGCATCAACTTTCTCATCAACGCGGGAGACTGCAATACAATAGAGCAATACTTTGAAAATTAGTTGTCAACACAGAAATGTATAACTCACCTGACTTTTAATCAAGTGTGAGGGCAGTGACATTTTCAGACATGAAAGTCCACAAATCACCAGCTGGGTAGCAGACTTAACAGTGCAGATAGTCCAGATTGGAGCAAAAGAATGGAGGACTCCAGGAGGAAGGCTTTCTGGGCAGAAAATGGCAATTTGATGAAACAGGTAGTATATTAGAGATTTGGGGAAAAACTGAGAACATGATAAAGGCATGGGAGTTCAAGAAGCAGAGAAAAGCCTTTTAGAAACTGTAAAGTGGAGGGGAAGGGTGAGAACTAAATGAGAAAGTCATGATTCAAATATGAGTAAACTAAAAGCTGATAGGTGGTTTTCAACACTTAGACTACATCTTCCGATAGCCTTGGTTAAAGAATAGATTACAAATATTATCAGCCTTGGAAAGCTATAAAAGGAAAGCACAGCTGACAGAATTAGGAAGTGGAAGGGGGGAGAAGTGGTGGAGGGAAAGATGGAAGAACTAATGACCTCCTCTTACAAAGTGGAGTTGAGTGCCTGCCGGCTCCCTGAAAACATCAGCAAAATAACCTGGCGATCAGGCAAAGCTGAGTGACTTGCTTACCACAGTAATGGAGAGCACTACCTTGGCAAGTCTTACTCTGTTTTTGTTCTAAGACTCTTTAAATCTTCAGTGAGGTGGTGGAGGTCTGGCCATAGGACTGTTTCCCATTCTAGATTTTGCTTGCATATTAAATCCTCTATTTCTAGGCTATTCACAAAAAGTGAAGAGAAACTGGGATCAGCTCTGCTTCAGGATCTGCCCCTGAATGCTGTCCAGTAGTGTTGAAGAGCTGATCCTTCAAGTCTCAAATAGACATATCCTTCTTTACTTATGGGACTGCATCAGAGCTGCTGATGCAATTCTGGGTCTTTTAAGTCATTCTCCGGGTCTTGCCATTCTTCGTTCTCCATCCAATTTTTTGCAGCTGAGATTCCCACTGACATATAAGCTAATTGGTATAGATCTGGGAGCCCCACATTATATACAATTAAAACTATTTTAAATTCCTGTGTAAATTTCACAATATCTTATCTAGGCTTTGGAAAGTCTTTTTTCAATGGCTCTCAGCTCAGATTGAGACAAGGAATTAAAAGCCAGGGGTTTTCCTGTTCTGAAAGGGGTTTAATTTTAAGGGGTAACTGAGCTTTGAGAGTTTCTGGCTAGCCAGGAGAGGAGGGGAATGCATCTGAAGAAGAAAGAGAAGCAGAGGGAAATGGAGGAGCATAGGATGAGGGAAGAGGAATAGGAAGATGAAGGCGGTTTGTGTCTCAAGTTGTGAGTTGTAGGGGGTATCTAAAGGAAAAAAATTTTAAGTGTTTCACAATTTTTCCTTTGCTTTGGCCAAGGAATCTGTTAAAGAAGTAATTTTATAATTTTAATTTCTTTTGTATGCTTGTTTATACTAATCAAAAATGCAGACTATTTGATATTTACTTTGTTTTTTATTCTGAAGTGTTTCTCAAGTGAACATTTTTGTTCCTATTAAAAATTCTGTCATTCTAAATTATACTTGATGAAATTGTGCCATTTAGAAAGGAAGTTCACAAATTTGGATTTTATTTAAGAACATGTAAAAAGCAGGAGTGTGGCCCAGAAGATTGAAGCATTCGATTTAGACTGAGACAAACCCATGAGAGTGTGGAAATAGTTGGTTGAAAGTGTCGCTGTGCACCTCATGACTTGGGTCCCCATCCAAAAGACTGGGCCATCTCCAATGGAAAATTTGATGAATTTTCAGTTCCCATGGGACAGAAGGTTTAGAGAGGAGATCTCATCAAGAATCAGAGTCTCAGAGACAAAACAGCAACAGTGAAAAAAATTCTTAGGAGGTTTTGAAAACTGACCCAAAGCATAGTTTTTCCAAAGGATGCTGGACAAGAAGAAACCTTCTGAATTTCTTAGTCCTTGGGGCCAGCTTGAGAAGCAGACTCTGAGTCTTTATCCTTTCCCTTCAAACTTTTCTTTAAAGATGTACAAGAAGAAATGTCAAGGACAGATAGAAACAAATAGCAGGGTTAATAATAAGGCAGATTTCCATCAAGGATAAAAGTTTTCCCAATCTTATCAAATAATGAAAGAATTCCTGAAAAGGTTTCTTAACCCTAGGATGCAAAATAAACTCAGCATTTGGAGAGCTCAAATAAATGAAATGAAAAAGAAATCAGAGCCAAGTCCAATGCAGGACTTATAAACTTTATTGTCAATGTCAGTGAGATCCCAGCAGGAGGCAACAGGGCTCAGGGGAGCACTGTTTTAGAGTTGAGTCTTAGGTAGTGATAGTGAGCAGGTCCCAAATGAATTTCAGTGGCACTGCCAAAATTGTGGAATGAGGGCTCCAAAGTACCACCAAACTAACCTGATGAGAAGGCAAAACTGAGTTTATTGCTTACTGTGGTAAGAGAGAGAAAAATACCTCTCCAAAGTTTTAATAGCACCTCAGAAGAGCAAGGACAAAATGGGATATTTATGAGGACTTTTGTGAGATCTGGTTTGAAGTGAATCTTTCATTGTGGGGCTTGATTAGGGCTAGGTAATATCATAATATAATAATATAGGACTAGTGAATACCACAGAGCAATAACATTGGGTGAGGGTTATTCACTTTGTAGCTTAGTTTACACAGGATGAGTCTTAGAGAGTAAACAGTCATTTGATACTATCTATTGAAAATTTGTGCAATCTGATGTTTATTTAAGTGGGATTTCAGGAAATTGCTGAAACAAACAATAAACATATTTTCAAGTTGTATCTTCCTGGGCAAGAGCTTCCTGAGACAGTAAAATCATATTGATAAAGACAATAGAATAAATAAAGACAAGTTAAAGTAATCAGCAAGCTGCTTGCCTGTGGATGGTTTCCATTCTCGGTGGGTATCATGGATAACTATGTATTGTTGCTACCAAAAGAATTATAGGTTTAAATATGTTGTTTGGAGTTGCAGAAGTGAACAGAAGAAAGTGTGAGAATATAACTTCATCAGGAGAAGGAAGGAGAGAATAGAACGTAGGGGTTTTTCAAGAGCTAAATCCTCATCGTTCGTACCAGAAATTCAGAAATAGTGGTATATTTGATGGGAGAAGCTGCACTCACCATGATAAGCTTTTTGGCATTTTTTTTAACCATGTGAATATATTACTGTGGTAATTTAAAGAAAAACAATAAAAAAAGGAGGGCTAATTAGCAATTGAAAATCCAATAGACTATAGAGAACAAGGGCTGAGATTAGAGCAGGGGTCCTGGAGATCTGTTTTCTCAGACTGTGTTGGGGGCGGAGGGGCAGGACAGGATGGAGGAGGGGAGAAAGCAGAAGCAAAGGGTGTGCTGGAGAAGTTTAGGAGGCAAGGAAACAAAAAATGAGGTAGACCTGAGGAGGGCCCTCTGTGAAACACAGGGGGTCTGACAGTGAGAGATGTGGAGGTGCCTGGGACCCCGCAGAGCTTCCTCTTCTCTCCTCTGTCCCCCACCTCCCTCTCTGCTTCTCCTTGTCCTCTTTTGCTGGCTGTAACATGGGCCCGAGGTAGTTTTTATTACAGTTTTTGGTATATTATTGAGTATAGTTTTATGTTTCCTGTTCATAATTGAAAAAGCAGATGAGTTCAACATTTTCTGTTTCTTCCAAAAAAAGATATTAAACTGTATTGAGTCGCTTTTTATTTCTCTGTGGTCTTCAGTTGTCTTCATTCTGTGGGTGAGTGGCCTCAAAGATTCACCCCTCCCCTCCCCAGCCTACAGGATTCCCTTTGGAAAATGTAATCCGCCTTCTCATATGCCAGAATTTTTATTGTTTCCCTGGTGATTTGTGCTCTTCCATGACACCTTTCATTATTTTAACCTACTCTAGGTTTTACCCGTGATATCATAAGTTGTTCACTTTGTAGCTTAATATATTATTATTCCAATTATTTCGGAATTCATTTTTTACCTTTACATATATTTCTTCAGTAAAGAGTGAAACAGGGGCTTCATTCTACTCAGAAACAAAAGAATCAATTTCAATTTTTAGCTAAATAGTGACAATAAACACCTAAATTATAAGTATCAGCTTATGAAAATACTAAGTGGAGGTGCACACAAGATGAGTGAAATTCTACAAGGTAATTATTTACTAATATAACCTCTTGTCTTTATCAGGTGAATTTAACTCAAACATACAGTTAAAAATGACAAGAAAAAGTTTAGTAGTCTGATTTCAAATTAGAAACTCTGGGGAATTAAAAATGGTGGTGGTTGTTGGAGACTAGGGAAAGAAAGTCAAGAATCTGCACCATGGCATGATAATAACATTGCAGTGGAATCAGAAGACATGATGTTTTGTTCTAGCCCCCAGCTAGCTGTGTGACCACAAGCAAATTACCTCATCTCTCTGAGCCTTTATTTTTTTATTCATAAAATGAAGGTCATGATAGCATCTACATTATAAGGCTGTTGTGAGGATTAATTGAAATAATAAATATGAAATGCTTAGCATAGTGCTTGGCACATAGTAAGCACTTAATAAATATTAACTATGTTATCACTATTACTATGACTGTTGCTACTACAAATTCACCGTTTGACTTCAGGCAAGTGACTTTACCTGTTTAAATGTCTGTTAGAATTGATGAGTTCTATCTTATCTCTGTTTTTTGTGACATTCCAACTTGGCTGTCTTCCACCTAAGAGCCATCATTTATCATCACGGCCATGTGGTGCTGTGTGGAAAATGGGTACCCTGAGAATGGGTACCTGTATTCCAATCCTAGATGTGTAGATAGCAGATATTCTTTCTAAAGTCATCACAAGCAAATTCAGTTATGCCTAGGTCTTTAGCATCTCAGAGTCTATTGAAAATGAAGGTAAATTCTTCTCATGATCCATAATTGGTTGCTTAAACTGAGGAGCCTATATGACGCCTTTTCCTTTTAAAGGTGGCTCAGACTGTTTGCTGAGGGCTCTTTCCCTACAGTGGTTGGTTGTGGGATCAGCCTATCCAGCTTTCCTCTTCCCTGCTTTCCCAGGAAATGGTAAAAATAAAAAAGAAAAGAAAAAGGACAAAATGTCCCCCTTTCCCCCTTTTGTTTCAAGATCCACTCCACTAAATCTGTGGAGACCACTGAGGTCAAGACAGTTCCCAATGTCCTAGGAGCTGGATTTCCATCTCAGTATGTATGTACAGATACACAGGGTCCTGGATAGTGTAGTTCCTGCCCTCCTTATATTTCCCTAGAGCTTAACAGTGTCTCTCACAGTTCAGAGTCCTCAGTCTTCCTACCTACTTCCCTTTAAATTAGTAGGAAATGAGGACAACTGAGGTTGTCCTGTGGTTGAAGTAGACCTTCTTCTCGATGCCAATGCACAAAGGGAATCACTGCTCCCTGGGCTTTGCTTCAGGGCTGCATCTTATCCAGGGAGTTTTTCTGCATATTGGGTAGACTGGATGGGTCTGTGGGATCAGAGTGGTTCCAGATTCTTCAGCAGCATCAGGGAAGCTTGGACTTCCTGCCCAATTCCATTTGGACTTTCCAAGGAAAGCTCCTGCTTCTCTTTCTCTTACTTCTACTGTTCTCTTTTGAATTAATTTTTAATTACAGAAGTAATGCATGAAAAGTTATCCTTGAAAAAAATTAATAGGAAGAGTCCTCTTTGCATTCTATTCCTAGTCTTATTCCTCTCTCCCCCTCCCTGGGGTTCTCTTCTTTTATCATTTTGATGTATATTCTTCCAGATTTTATATTTATGTGCTATGTAGATCTACGTTTTTTAATGCTGCAGTAATCCACAGTATGACTGCACTTTATTTAGCAACTCTCCTTTTGTCATACACTGAAGATACTGCTGTCTTTAAGAAATATAGTAGTATTAAGTGAAAGAAGCCAGTCACAAAGGACCATATGTTATGATTCCACTTATACAAAATGTCCAGAATATGCCAATCTGTAGAGGTGGAAAGTAGATTAGTAGTTTCCTAGGCGTGAGGGGTGGGGTAAGGGGTTGGGGGATGAGAGCTGAGGGATGCAGGGTTTCTTTTTGGGGTAAAAAATATTCTAAAATTGATTGTGGTTATGGATGCACAACTCTGTGAATATACTAAAAGCCATTGAATTATACACTTTAATAGGTGAATTACATGGAATGTGAATTATATCTCAATACAGCTGTATAAGAAAAAGAAATACAGTAGTATTCTCATTAGGTATGCTTCATTAGGACTAACTAAATTAGAGGCCATCTCAAGGACTGCCTGATAGTGCTCGTGGTTTTTAACCTCTGCTCCTCATCTATACAGCTAGCATATTCTGTGATGAGCCTGGTTTCCTTTGCAGATAAAGACTTTTTTAGGTTTGAGCCATGACCTGTGTGACCCATGGCCTTTTTGAAAAAGTGCGAGGTGAAAAAGATAGGAGCTGAGCAGTGCTGAGTTCCTGCTGGTTTCCATTTTCCATCCTAAGAGCAGGAGTCAAGCGGGAAACGCTCTCACCCCATTTCACCTGTGCTTTTAGAATGGGGGACAACAAAACAAATGTTCTCTTCATTCTTGTGGGCCTGAGCAACAAGCAACACTCCCCAGAGTGGGCTCTCCACAGAGTCCCTCTTCAGTTGCCTCATGGTAAAATCAGGCCCTTTTTGGGGAAGTAGAAACATGTTCTATATGCAAGCCTCAAGAGTCAGGCTTACCAATAAGCCTGGAACAAATTCTTTCTAATACATATTAAAGGCATCTCTGAAAGCTTTTCTACAATAGAAGTGAGTTCCAGATTTTGTTTGGCTGGTTCTAGAGTTCTAATAGTAAATGCTGCTGTTATATTTAAAAAGAATAATAACAGTAAATTATTAAATGTCATTTATTGAATGCCTAGTATATACTACTTGCACTAGTGAATCCTCACAAGAGCCACTATGAGATAGGTATCATCTCCTTTTACAATTGAGGAAAATAAAGTTAAGTAACTGGCCCAAGATCACTCAGATCTGTTGCCCCAAATCTAGTGCCCTTTCTGCTACACCATGCTGTAATCTGTGTATTTTAGTCTTGAATATTGTGCCAAGGACCTTAGAGCTCTTTGAGGTCAGGAACCATAGTCGATTAATCCCTGTCTCATCCACCACTCCTAGCAGGGTGCTGGGCACACAGTCAGTTCCTAGTACACGTCAGTAGAAATACTCTCTTAGAACCCTCCACTTCACTTAGTCTGGGCAGGCCTTGCCTGTTCGTGGCCACGTACCACCTGAGGCATCTGAGTCTTGTTGGGGGGATTTCACACAGGAGGCATGTGGAGCCTGTGACTAACTCCAAGAAGGGATTTTCTTTTTAAAAAGAGGATGTTAGGAAAAGTCTAAAGGGAAATGTTAGGAAATTAAAATCTGTAGAATCAGCATGAAGGCTGCTTATGGATTGCATTAGTCATGGAAGGTGAGTTCACTCTCGAGAAAGCAGAAAAGTGGAGAGATGGGAGGATGCAGTTTGCAGGATGCAAATGACAGGTATAAGAGTTCACGAAATACCTTGAGAAGGAAGAAATCCAACCCCAGGCATCCGTAATGCACATGAGCGTGTGTGGATCAGGTCAGGAAGGAGAGAAAATTAGAGCAAGCAGCCAAAGCAGAAAGATCCACATTGAGATATGGTTATATGTTCACAGAAACAAATAAAACTGACCTCTGGAACATGCAGATGCTATCCCCAGGGAATAAATAAATCATCAATTATAGTATCTCTCCTTAATGGAAAATATATACTATATTTAGAAAGAAGTTTTGTTTTGAAATTAGAAATAAAACCAGGTAAGAAAAGAAAAGGCCAGGCACAGTGGCTCACGCCTGTAATCCCAGCACTTTGGGAGCTGAGGTGGGCAGATCACCTGAGGTCAGGAGTTCGAGACCAGCCTGGCCAACATAGTGAAACCTCATCTCTACTAAAAATACAAAAAGTAGCTGGGCGTGGTGGTGGGCACCTGTAATCCCAGCTACTTGGGAGGCTGAGGCAGGAGAATCACTTGAACCCAGGAGGCGGGGAGGTTGCAGTGAGCCAAGATCACGCCACTGCACTCCCGCCTGGGCAACAGAACGAGACTCCGTCTCAAAAAAAAAAAAAAAAGAAAAGGAATTCTCTTGCTCTGAATTAGAACTCCAAGGACTCATGATCCAGAATAGATAGATAGAAATCTGAGTGAGACTCACAGCTATGAAAATAAGCTTGGCTTAACTGCCAGTGCCTGAAATGAATCAGGCTGGGCTGAAAGACCCTCCCTCGCCTAGCAGTTATTTTGTGTGATATTTTTATGGAACTTTGTCTCGAAGGCACCTTTGAATGCCTTCATTTCTGCTCACAATTTCTTAATCTCATGAAATACATCAGTAGTCCATGAATGTTGTAATTTTGAAATTGGAGTCCAGTATCTGGAGTAAGTAAATATTGAATACAGTTCTAGGTCTACTATGGATATGTTAGGAGACTCAAGTTAGTTACTTCCTCTTTGTTCCTCAGTTTCTCCTTTTGTAACAGAGAAAATGTAATTTTGTTGGCCAATTACATCAAGATAAATGCTTTTTTAAAATGTAAAATTATTTTACCCCTTTGAAGCCCATTCAACGATCATTCATTACACATTGGTCTCCTTTTGCAAGGTTCAGGGTTAGTCTGTGCAGTATGATCCCCCATGATTTTTTAAATTTTGTTTTAGTAGTAGTAGTAGTAGTAAAGATAGAATCTCACTGTGTTGCCCAGGCTGGTCTTAAACTCCTGACCTCAAGCGATACTCCTGCCTTGGCCTCCCAAAGTGCTGAGATTACAGGCATGAGCTACATGCCTGGCAGGTCCCCATGCTTAATCCACAGGATTATTGTACCAGGCAGCAAATGGGCCAAGCACTGACATACATTAGGTCTTTCTACTTTCTTTTCTAGAAATATTTCTCCTGGAATCCAACTCTGGAATTTCCTGACTGTTCAAAGTTTAGATAATAAATCTTCGATTGCACTAGTACAACTTAATGCCTTTATTTGCTTGAATTATATTTTAAAAAGAAAGTTGTACAGTCCCACTGCCCTCAGCGAGACCACAACAAGCATATGTCATTAGATTTATACACTTGAGTTTCTACACTGTGCAGCACTACGAACTTTAAACATGCAATAACTAACACTACGTGGTTGAAAACAATCTGAGAAAGAATCGTATTTTTTTAATTGGACAGGATAAATCATTTCAACCCCAAACTTAGAGCCAGAAGACATGAGGTGCGTGTTATAATGGGACTGCAGTTGACCTATCCAGGTTGGTTGTCCACCCCTAGACCCTTTATCTGTGGTGCCAGGGTCTCATTTGTAGAAAATGGCTGCTTCTGTGGTCTCATCTGGTGGGTCTATTTTATGTGAAAAAGCTAAAGGAATTGGTAGATGGGGTCTGAGCAGACAAAGCAATGTATCCAACTACCAAGTCATTACTAACTGCTGTTTTTTTATTCTAATGCCCAGGTCAAAAAAAGGGAAAAAATACAGTCCCCTCAGTGCCTAGCATATAGGCAATTCAGAGCTAATTAATTAATTATCAGCCTCTTATTTTAAAAACAAGACCAAAAAAAAAATCCACAAAAACACTTCCTCTTAGTCCAGAGGGAAAGTTCTGAAGCAGGCAGAGGGTTTGTCTTAAAGAAGAGAAGACAGCTTTCATTTGAGTACCTACTGGGTACAGAGCATTGTGCTGTACCATGAAGGCATAAAGCAACAGGAGCCGTGCCATGCAGATAGCAGGAGGAAGGGCAAACAACAGACAGCAAGCTGAGCACAGAGACAGCAGGTAAATGAAACAAGGCTCCTTAGGGGAAGACTGCCTTCAAGGAGAAGGAATGTTCAGAGCTGGCCTTGGAAAGAGGTGAGGGGCAAGGAAGGAGCAGCTTGGGGCTAGGATTCCACCTGCCAGGAGGAACCTTTGCAGAGACCCATAAACCAGCTGGCCAGAATAGAGTGGAAATGTTGTGAGGTGGCCAGAGATGCCAGTGAGATACAAAACAGCTGTCTCAGAGAAGACCTCTTAACACTTAGTTGGATTGTGTGTGTAATTGGAGTCATTGGAGTTCTTAATTAGGAGACTAAAGTAAATGAAAATGGATATGAAGAAGTTTAATTTGTGGCAGTTGTTTGGGAGTTGGAGGACCCAGGAGGCAGGAAGGTTGCCTGGGCATCAGTCCTGGTCTGAAATGGAGACTGGGGAGCTATCCTGGAAGAGGTAAAAAAGAGACTTCTGGGTAGAGGAGATCCTAGGAGTGGTATTGTTAATATCTTCCTTTAGCCCTGCTCATCTGTGCATCCCTGGGCCTAGTCCCGTGCAAAACAGATAGGAATAACTTAGCACAGATTTGAAAAGTGATTAGAAAGATACTTCTTGGTAGAGACCAAGAAAGGCTTCATGGGATAAATCTAGAAGGATAAATTGAATTTTGACAGGTACAGTAGTACTTGAGGAGGAGAGAGAATGAGAATGAGAATGAATATGGATTTGGAGGGATAGAGGTGGTATATCATCTTGATTCAAAATGCTATATGGTATAACTCTATATTTTTGTTAAATTTATATTTTAAATTTGTAATTTAAATGTATCATTAAGTTTATTTTACATTTTAATTAAAAGTAGAGAAGGATAGAAGAATGTAAAGCTAACTAAATAATCAGACTTCTGGCCAGGCGCAGTGGCTCACGTCTGTAATCCCAGCACTTTGGGGGGCCAAGGTGGGTGGATCACCTGAGGTCAGGAGTCCAAGACCAGCCTGACCAACATGGTGAAACCCCATCTCAAAATACAAAAAAATTAGCTGGGCGTGGTGGCGGGTGCCTGTAATCCCAGCTACTCAGGAGGCTGAGGCTGGAGAATCGCTTGAACCCAGGAGGTGGAGATTGCAGTGACCTGAGATCGAGCCATTGCACTCCAGCCTGGGCGACAAGTAAAAAACTCCATTTCAAAAAAAAAAAAAATCAGACTTTTTAAAATAACAACTTTATTGAGATATAACACAAACCATAAAATTTACACTTTTAAAGTGTATGATTCAATGGTTTTTAGTATATTCACAGAGTTATACAACTATCTCCACTATCTAATTTTAGGACATTTCATCACACCAAAAAAACCCCAAACCCGTTAGCAGTAGTCTTACCTATTTTTAATTTAAAACTCACAAAAGCAATGAGTAGATTGCCAGGAATTAGGAATTCTCTGTCTTCCTTAGCTGGGTGGAAACCTTGAGTGACTCATTAATCTTCAAGTCCCATGTCACTGCTGCTCTAAGGAAAAACATCCTGGTGTGGCTAGGCTGCCAGGGTGGGGTTGAGGGGAAAGAACCTGAAGCCCGGAAAGGAAAGATGTATAAGAGAACCTCAAGGCAGAGAAAGGAGTTGTTGGACCTAGAGAGAAAGAGAAGTCAACCAGGGTTTCAAAGAAGATAACAAGGCCACACTTCTTCCAGAAGCCCCAGTAACCTGAGAACCTTAAAGGACAATCTAGAGACTGCTCTATGCCCACAGACTTCTGGGGCTTGGCCAACAGGAAGTTATCTCCCTTTGTCTACCCATCCCTCCTAGAGCAGTATTCATTCCCACCTTCAGCCATGGCTCCTGAAATGTGCCAGTCCCTGACCTAGGGACTTTCTTGGTGCCATCTCACTGAATCCCCACAACAGACCTATGAAGTAGATATGGCCATTTCCCATTTTTATAGATTAACAATTGCAAGTTATATAGAAGTTAAAGTAACTTGCTCGGGATCATACACTTAAATTGATTTTAAACTAAGGACTTCACCCAGGACTCATTTTGCTTCTGGAGCTTTACTGTCACTGTCTCAGCAGGGTCAACAGGATTTCTTCTAAAGAGTTTAGTTCTTCTGCATCCTTCTTGACATGCTGAGGCAAAGAATCAGGGCACAGTAGAAAGTCTGCTACCTAAGTCTGATAAAAGCATTATGGTGACTAAGGTTACAAAACCCATTGAACCCTGCACTAATGTTTTTGAGAGCTATGTGGTCTTCCCAGCAGTGTCTTTTCCATGTTAGCCCTTTGCACATCTGGCATGCTTGATCCCAGATGTGTGATTTTTATCCCATGAGGTGGGGCCACAGTACTGGGGATCCTGCTGGCTCAGCTGTGTTCGCAAAGGCCTGTTTCTTTGACAGGGCCTGCAGGAGGTAGCTAGTGGTGGTTTTGTAACCCCTGATTTATTACTGTCTCCAGTCAGAGGCAAGTGCTACACAATTTGGTACACTTACATGTATACACACACACACACACACACACACCATCCATTTGTAGAGAAACACGAAGGAAATATTCACAAGGCATCACCATTGATTCCTCTTTTCTCCCGTATCAGCTGGTCTGACTTTTCCCTGTTGCCTCCTTTGCCTGTGGTCTGTCAGCTGGAGGTGATGACAAGGAATATTTCAGACTCTTTTCCCATCTGCTCCAAACACCAGGAAGCTGCAGGCCTGCTTCCCTCCAGGCCAGCTTAGAAATCCCGGTGACAGGATAGAGCAGGCTTCCAAAAGCCAACCACAAAACATTTAATACCTGTGCAAACCCCACATAGAATTCATATGCCATGGGGTCATGGCTTTATGAGTGTTTCCATGACATGGTATTATTACACCCCAAATCTCTCACCTCATATGTCACTCAAGCATTCTCTGTCAGGAAACCAAGGAATAAACATCCAAAAAGAAGATTAATATTAGAGAGACTAAAAGAGTAAAGTTCACCCAACCATCTGGTTCAGCTCAGAAGGGATGTATGTGAGCCCTTCTCTCTCTTCCTTCATCCCTGCCTTACACCTCATCCTGTCTCACACTACAGTAGGAATCCCTTTACCACTGTGTTGCTTGGGCTACCTGTGTCAGAGTCGGTGGGGAAGCTTATAAAAAATGCAGCTTCCTGGGAATCATAATTTCTGGGATATGACTTAGGAATCTGCATTTCACAAGCTCCCCAAGAGATATCTGTGCACTGCAGACTACCTTATCCCCTTCCTGAGAAGCAAGTCATCTACGAGTGTATGAGTACAGTTAGCCATGTAGAACTCACTACTTCCTTGGGCAGCTAAGTCTAGTAAAAGATTATGGTAATGAGGGGAAAAATATCTTTTATTGAGAAGAATTTGACCTTCTATAATTCTCACCCATTTTTCTTTTCATTATTACTCTTCCATCTGGAGTGACAGGAACTAAGTCACCTCCCCTTCCATAGGAGAGCCTCTAACTCAAACCCTTCTGTGTCCCACCTTAGGAAGTGGAGAAATGAACCCAGTTCTCAAACATAAGCACATTGTGTTCAGGGGCAAGTTTTCCCCAGCTCTCCAGCTCATGCTGTCTCACACCTTCCCTGGGCACATGGGCAGGTTACTGATGGCCTGATGTTGTGCTGCCTTCGCACAAAGTCTTGGAGAAAATGGGCAGAAAATCTACGTGCTATGAAAATAAATTTGACTTTTAAAAAGCCATGGTTGCTTCTGTGTCCCTAGGTCTTTAGCGTGGCCTTCTAGAGAACAGGTAAGGAACTTACATAAAAGGTGTAGCTTGAAGGCCACTAGAAAGGTTCTCCATCCCCAAATGCCTCCCGTGCATGTGCAATGGTGGCCAAAATCCCCCTGTTCAAAGATCATCCCTTGTGGTAGGCTTTGCCTTTCCAAAACAACTCAGTTAAAATGGAAATACCCACGAAGAAGATCACATGTTAAGTCATTAGCAGTTTGTGAAAAGAGCAGTCAGAGCCAAGTCCTAGGTCATCATCCTAGCTATGCCACTTTTTCTCTATATAGCTTACGTTTCCTTCCTGAGCCTCAATTTTCTTTATGTATTAAATAAGAAGAATGATAACCTTCACTAACCGCCTCACAGGGTTGTGAGGATTCAAGAAGAGAATGTGTATTTCACACATTTGAAGTGTTCTGAAGTATTTTTATTGTAACACAGTATTGTAGGGATAGCCAGTCTGGGCTGGGCACTGCAGCAAAAGGTCTTGTCTTGCCAGGATCTTGCAGGAGGCCTGGAGGGGAGCATGTTGGCTAAGAACACAGCCTCTGGACTTCTTCTTTGGGAAGATCCTGGCTGTAGAGCCTTGGCTGATATGCTCTCTCTCTCTCTCTACCTCTTGGTGACCCATTTATTCATCGGCAAAACAACAATAATGATGATGATGATGATGATACAGGTTTTTATGAAGATTTAATAAAACAATACTTTAAGACACTCACCTAGTATACCTATTAAGTGTTCTGTAAGTATCATCATCAAGGACAAGGAATAAATTCTTCCAAGTTTTTCTAGAACCAGAAACCATTTGACCCAGCAATCCCATTACTGGGTGTATACCCAAAGGAATATAAATCATTCTACTATAAAGACGCATGCACACATATGTTTACTGCAGCGTTAGTTACAATAACAAAGACATGGCATCAACCCAAATGCCCACCAAAGATAGACTGGATAAAGAAAATGTGGTACATATGCACCATGGAATATTGTGCAACCATAAAAAAGAATGAGATCATGTCCTTTGCAAGGACATGGATGAAGCTGGAAGCCATCATCCTCAGCAAACTAACCCAGGAGCAGAAAACCAAACACCGCATGTTCTCATTCATAAGTGGGAGTCGGACAATGAGAACACATGGACACAGGGAGGGGAACAAACACACTCCGGGCCCTGTCAGGGGGTGGGGGACAAGGGGAGTGAGAGCATTAGGACAAATAGCTAATGCATGTGGGGCTTAAAACCTAGATGACGGGTTGATAGGTACAGCAAACCACCATGGCACATGTATACCTATGTAGCAAACCTGCATGTTCTGCGCATGTATCCTGGAACTTAAAGTAAAATTAAAAAAAAAAAATTCTTCAAGTTTTGTCTGTCTGCTTGGGTTTCTGTTTCTTTTTCCCTCATTCCACAAACTGACAAAAAAGTAAAAGCTTAAGAATATAAGGTTGTTATGTAGACCATGGGAACCAGTTGTTCTTTTCTGCTAAGTACCAAGTAATATAATGTGGACAACACTCAGAACAGGACAAATGACTATACAGGATGATGTCTGTGTGTCCTAGTTTGTCCAGAATTGTCCCAGTTTGGATTTTGTCCCATCCTGGTTTGGATGATAAATTGTAGAGTCACCCCAGAATTAGATTTTCAGAAGAACTTTCAATGATGGTTGGAAACATTAAGACAGGTTATTGAGAAAGCTTGCAAAATCTTCTTCCTTGGAAATATTTAAAACATGGCCATCTGGCTGAGATGATTTAGAACAGCTACAAATAAGTACTCATTTATAAACCCCCTAAAATGTTTGTTTGGTTTAGTTTAACTAAACTGCCTTGCCCTGCCTCCAGGAGGTACGTAGGTAGTAAAATTAATGGAAACAATATTTTTAACTACTCGATTTGCCAAACAAAAATTGCTTTGTGCTGTGAACTAGTGGATATGGATGAGTAACCATTATGAGTTTGCAGCCACAAAATTCTGCTTCAGATTGTATACAAGAAATACTGTAAGTTTGGAACTTAACAAATTACTGGACAACTAAAAATTTGAAAGAAGAACATAGAATACTACATAAAGAAATTGCAACAATAGTTAACAATGTGCCATGTTCTCTGCAAATACTACCACACTTCATCCTCAAAAAAATGCCTATAAATTTAGTACTACTATTACACATATTTAAAGATGAGGAAAATGAGTCACAGAGAGTAAAGGAACTTGCTCAAGTTAATGGCAAAGACAGAATTTGGCCCAGAAGGTTTGGATCTAGAGCCTACGCTCTCAACCTCTGTGCTTCATACTCCTGGGAAAGAGGTAACACTTTCATTTAAGCAAAGGCAGAGAGTGGGGACAACAGCACTAGCTAGGTTTTAGTACATTGTGGCTGGCTACTGGTAAGAGCAGTCTGCCTTGCAACTGAGGGAAACAAACCAGCTCTCACTAAAGGGAGGAGGGCTGGGAGGGACAAAGGAAAATAGCACTTATTGAACTTTGCGTTTCATCTTCTTGACAGGCATGGAAAGTAGGTGACATCATTTCCATTTTACAGTTACAGAAACTGGAGGTTAGAAAGATTAAAGAGTTTCTCCAGCCCTCGTAGTATGCCAGGGGCAGAAGCAAGGTTCCTACCCAGGAATCCTGTCTGACCCCAGGACCCCTGCTTATAACATTTGTGGAAAGTGCTATGATTCACACTAAGCCAAACAAGCAGACTACGATCTTGAATATTGAAAATGACCCTAGTTGTGTATGTTTGTGCAGCCACACACACATGTGCATGTGGATATACAGAAAAAAAAATAAGAAGAAAGTATAGCAAAAATGTCAAGTGTGGTTATCTCTGAGTAGTAAAATAATGGGTAAGTTGTTTCTTCTTTGTATATTTTTTTATTTTCTAAGTGTTGCTTAAGGAACATGCATCTTTTTTATAATGGCTTTATTTGACATATAACTTACATGAGCTACAATTTACCCATTTAAAGGATACAATGCAATGGTGTTTAGCATAGTTACAGAATTGTACAATAATCACTTTTTGTACATTTTCATTACCCAAGAAGAAACCTCATAATTATGAGCACTCACTACCGGTACGCCCCCAACCCTCCCAGCCCTAAGTAATCACTAATACAATTTCTGTCTCTATAGAATTACCTATTCTGGACATTTCTTATGTATTAAATCATACAAGATATGGTCTTTTGTAACTAGGTTCTTTGACTTAGCATAATGTCTTCAAGGTTCATCCATGTTGCAATGTGTGCTTATACTTCATTTTTTTATTATAGAATAATGTTCCACTACATGGATATACCATGTTTTATTTATCCACCCATCAGTTAATGGACATTTGAATTATGTCCACTTTTTAGCTATTATGAACATTTGTGTACAAGTTTTTGTGTGTATACATGTTTTCATTCATCTTGGGTATATATCTAAGAGTGAAACGGCTAGGTCATATGGTAACTCTGTGTGTAACCTTTTGAGGAACACATATATCTTTGAAAAGATTTTTTGGGTTTGTTTGTTTGTTTGTTTTTTAAGCCAGAGCCCCAGGAACCATTTGTGTGACACCTGGCTCAAGGAAGATTATCCTAACATCAGATTTGCTATATCAAACCTCTTGTAAAATCATCCAAATAAAAAAATCAACCCATCCAAATAAAAAAAGAATAAAAAAGTAACTAATCCTCAAGAGAAATTTGTACATAGAATCATTTGTTTATCCTACAAATATTTTTGAATATCTATTGTATAAAAAGAGTAGACCAGCAGATTTTTTTTTTTTTTTTTTTTTTGAGACAGAGTCTCACTCTGTTCGCCAGGCTGGAGTGCAGTGGTGCAATCTCGGCTCACTGCAAGTTCTGTCTCCCGGGTTCACGCCCTTCTCCTGCCTCAGCCTCCCGAGTAGCTGGGACTACAGGCGCCCACCACCACGCCCGGCTAATTTTTGTATTTTTAGTACAGATGGGGTTTCACCTTGTTAGCCAGGATGGTCTCGATCTCCTGACCTTGTGATCCGCCCGCCTCAGCCTCCCAAAGTGCTGGGATTACAGGCATGAGCCACCGTGCCCGGCCAACCAGCAGATTTTAAGTCAGAAGACCTGATCTCTGCCTTTCCATGCTCTCAGAGGCTGTCTGTGAGGATCCAACAGGATTGAGTAGAGTCATGTATCACTCAACATTAAGAATATATTCTAAGAAATGCATTGTTAGCAATTGCATTGTTTGTGTGAACATCATAGTGTGTATTTATGCAAACCTATAAGGGATAGCCTACCACATGTCTAGGCTATGTAATATAACCTATTGCTCCTAGGCTACAAACCTGTACAGCATGGGACCATATTAAATACTGTAGGCAACTGTCATGTAATGGTAAGTATTTGTGTATCCAGATATCAAAACATAGAAAAGGTACGGGAAAATATGGTATAAAAGATTAAAAAATGGTACACCTGTATAGAGCAGTTACCATGAATGGAGCTTGCAGGACTGGCAACTGCTCTGGATGAGTCAATAAATGAGTGTTGAGTGAATGAGATGGACTAAGACATTACTATACACTACTGAATTTATAAACACTGTATACTTACACTACACTAAAGTTATTTAAAAGTTTTTCTTTGTTGTTGGGTTTTTTGTTTGTTTGTTTGTTTGTTTTTGAGACTGAGTTTAGCTCTATCGCCCAGGCTACAGTGCAGTGGCACGATCTCAGCTCGCTGCAAACTCCGCCTCCTGGGTTCAAGTGATTCTCGTGCCTCAACCTCGTAAGTAGCTGGAATTGCAGGCGCCCGCCACCACACCCAGCTAATTTTTTTATTTTTAGTAGAGACGGGGTTTCACCATGTTGGCCAGGCTGGTCTCGAACTCCTGACCTCAGGTGATCTGCCTGCCTTGGCCTCCCAAAGTGCTGAGATTATAGGCATGAGCCACTGCACCTGGCCAAAGTTTTTCTTTCTTTAATAATAAATTAGCCTTAGCTTACTGTAACTGTTTTACTTTATAAACTTTTTAATTTTTTAAAACTTGTTGATGCTTGTATAATAATATTTAGCCTAACAGTTGTACAAAATTTTCTTTATATCCTTAGTCTTTAAGATTGTTCTGTTTTTTACTTTTTAATTTTTTTACCTTTTGAAGTTTATTGTTAAAAACTAAGACAGAAACACACACGTTGGCCTGGGCCTACAAGGGGACAAGATCATCAGTTTCCTACTCGGGAGACTGAGGCAGGAGGATTGCTTGAACCCTGGAGGCAGATGTTGCAGTGAGCCGAGATCATGCCACTGCACTCCAGTGTGGGTGACAGAGCAAGACTCTGTGTCAAAAAAACAAAAAAAAGAACAAAAAAAAAAACCAGTATCACTTTCTTGCACCTCCACATCTTGTCCCCCTGGAAAGTCTAGTTCCATGGCCTGGAGCTCTCACTTCCTATACCAATGCTTTCTTCTGGAATACCTCCTGGAGGATCTGCCTGAGGCTGTTAAATTTTAATAAGTAAAAGGAGTAAATTCTAAAATAATGATGAAAACTATAGTATCATAAATACATAAACCAGTCACAAAGTCATTTATTATCATATCAAATATTATGCACTATACATAATAATTATATGTGCTATACTTTTATACAACTGTACAACTGGCTGTGCAGTAGTTTTGTTTTTTACCATGATTACCACAAACACGTGAGTAATGTGTCACACTACATTACAATGGCTATGATGTCATTAGGCAATAGCAATTTTTCAGCTCTATTATAGTCTTGTGGGTCCACCATTGTATATGTAGTCTATCATTGACTGAAACATCTTTATGCAGTGCATGACTGTACTTGGCACATTGGAAATGGCTGTTCAACTGTGAAGCAGTTGTAGTGGGACTGATCTAAAGGAGGCAATGTCCTGCTGAGGTGGACCAAGAAAATACACTCGGTGAAGAAAAAAAGGCCTGAGTGGCAAAGAGAAAGGTGGGGCCTACATGGGGCCAGGACTGGGCTTTGGTCTCAGGCTGCTTAGGGTTCATCAGGAGATCCCCAAGGGAGTGGCAGGCCATGGGACCACCTGTGAGGTGCATCTCAGGGCAGAGACATGTACTGTGTGGCTTTGCGCCTTCCTCCACCTGCCTGTTTGTCACGATGAAATCTGGTTGAGAGAAGCCAGCTCATCCAGTCACACTTTCAGGAGACCCCTGGCTTATCAGGAAACGAATAGAGAGAAAGCAGTGGGTGGTGCCTATCATTCACAGTATCTAGGATCTGCTGTGCTGATTGGAGGACAAGACTTCCAAGGGTATTTGGAGATTAGATTGGCAGTAATGATAGGTTGAGCTTAAGGGGGAAACTAAGCGACTCAGAGAGAGTAGGAGAGATGAACATGGATGAAAGATTCTTTATACTCCTGGCTCTGCACTCTATTTTTAAAAACCTTTTAATAGTCTTCACTACCTATACAGTAAAGTCTGTAGTGAGGCCTCCATGACTCTCCATGGTCTGACTCCAGCTTATTTTCCACCCTAACTTCCCACTGCTCCCTTTTAGGACATACAGGCACAGTGAAATACATACTCTTTCCCACATGAACCCAGAACCCAGTCTTTGTCTGGAAGAGTCTCCTTTACTCTCTGCAAATCTAAATAGCTGCCAGTTTTAAAAAATACAGCTCACAAACCATCTCTTCCACAAGGCCTCTCCAGAACCCCCACATTCTCCTCCCAGACAGAATAAATCTCAGACTTCCCACATTCTTATAATGCTTTATCTGTATAGTGACTCTCCCAGGCTGTCTTTACTTCTCATCAGAGGGTAGGGACCTCAGGACAAAGACTATCCCGTCATTCACCTGCTCTTCACCTGCTCTTGAACAGTCTGGCACATAACAAGTAGTCAATAAATGTTTGTCGGTCGGTGAGTGAGCGGATGGATTAATGAAATCAGGAAGCAGATAAGGGGAGAGTGAGAAGGACTTGGGGCATGTGAGGATAGACATAATCAGATGAGTGCTAGCGCAGGTCAGGAGAGAAGCCTTCAGGGTAAGATGACTGGAGAGTGTGCTGAGGTACAACCACAGTGGGAGTGTAGAGTTGGGGCAGGGGGAGAATAGAGGACAGAAGGAAAGAGTACACAGGGCAAAAAGTGAGCTCTATCCTGGGGACTCAGAACTGAGTTAAAGAACCAATAGACAAGACCGGGTGCAGCGGCTCATGCTTGTAATCCCAGCACTTTGGGAGGCCAAGATAGGTGGATCACTTAAGGTCAGGAATTTAAGACCAGCCTGGCTAACATGGTGAAACCCCATCTCTACTAAAAATACAAAAATTAGCCAGGCGTGGTGGCAGCTGCCTGTAATCCCAGCTGCTCAGGAGGCTGAGGCAGGAGATAGCCTGAACCTGAGAGGCGGAGGTTGCAGTGCAAGATTGCGCCACTGCACTCCAGCCTGGCCAACAGACTGAGACCCTGTCTCCGAAAGAAAAACAAGAACCAACAGACAGAGAGGCTTCGATTCCCAGGGACACAAACTCAGATGCCTAGAAAGGCTAGACAGGGAACATGAATGAGCAAAGTGGGTAGCGAATGGTGTATACCCTATCTCAAGGGTACGGCCTCTGCTCAGCTCCAGAGGATTCTTAGAAGTAAGCCACTATGAACAGATCTTCACATGTTTTCAGAAGCCAGAAATATGTATTTTTTGGTGAAATCTCCCTTTCGTGAGATATTGGAAACAAGTAGGGTTTTCAAAAACTTTTTGTTGAAACATGACACATGTATAGAAATGTACACATATCCTAAGTGAATTTTCAATGAATGTTCACAGACTGAAAATGCCCACGTATTCAGTTCCCTGATCAAGTGTCGGAATATTACTAGCAACCCAGAATTCCCCTCCCCATGTTCTCCCTTCTAGTCATTGCTGTCTGAATAGTAACCACTATCCTGACTGCAAATGATGTGGAATAATTTTGCCAGTTTTATACTCTATAAATGGAATCATAGAGTATTTTTTGTGTCTGGATTTTTTCGCTCAACATTATATTTGTGGGAAGCATCCATATTTTTGGGTATAGTTGTGGATTGCTCATTCTCATTGTGGGATGGTATCTCACTTGAATATACCACAATTTATAAATCCATTTTATTGTTTATGGACATTTAGAGTTTCAGTGTTTTAACCATTACACACAGTGCTGCTAGGAACATCTAGTGGACATCTTTTAGTAAACATATACGTACATTTCTATTGGATGTATACCTAGGGATGGAGTAGCAGGATCATAGAACATGTTTACATTTGGCTTTAATAGATACTGCCAAGGTGTATAAACTTATATTCCTACCAGCAGTGTATGAAAATTTTGGTTTCTCCACAGCCTTGTCAACACTTGATTTTTTTTTCATTTTAGCCATTCTCAGATACATGTAGTGGTGTTGATTTTGTTTTATATTGCTGTGATTAATAATGACATTCAGCACCTTTTCCTATATTTATTGGCCATTTGGATAGTTACTTTTATGAGATGTCTGTTCAGGGTTTTATTCATTTTTCTATCAAACTGTCTGTCCTTTTCTTTATATATTCTGGATATGAATCCTTTGACAGATGTAGTGGCATGATCTCGGCTCACTGCAACCTCCGCCTCCTGGGTTCAAGTGATTTTCCTGCCTCAGCCTCCCAAATAGCTAGGACTACAGGAACATGCCACCATGCCCACCTAATTTTTGTATTTTTAGTAGAGACAAGGTTTCACCATGTTGGCCAGGCTGGTCTCGATCTCTTGACCTCATGATCCGCCCACCTCGGCCTCCCAAAGTGCTGGGATTGCAGGCGTGAGCCACCGCACCTGGCCTCAATGGTGTCTTTTGATAAACACACATTCTTAACTTTAACATTGTCCAGTTTATCCATTTTTTTCTTTATGATCAAGATTCTTTGTGTCTTGTTTAGTAAATATTTGCGTACTCCACTATCACAAAGATGTTCTCCTATGTTTCTAAAATCTTCCTTGTTTTACCTTTCATATTTAGATCTGTAGTCCATCTGGAATTGTTTTATTGTATGGGATAAGGTAGGAGTCAATAAACATTTTTCCATATGAATATTCAATTGACTCAACAGCATTTATTGAAAAAGATCATCCTTTCCTCAGTATACTGCATTGGTGCCTTTGGCATCAATCAGATGATCATATATAGGTAAAGGTCTGTTTCTGGACCTTGTATTATGTTTCACTGGTCGGTTTGTCTATTCTTGCACCAAAACCTCGATGTCTGAATTACTATAGCTTAATTTTTTTTTTCCTTTGGAGACAGAGTCTTGCTCTGTTGCGCAGACTGGAGTGCAGTGGTGCGATCTCGGCTCACTGCAAGCTCCACCTCCCGGGTTCATGCCATTCTCCTGCCTCAGCCTCCTGAGTAGCTGGAACTACAGGCGCCCACCACCATGCCCGGCTAATTTTTTTTGTATTTTTAGTAGAGACAGGGTTTCACCATGTTAGCCAGGATGGTCTCAATCTCCTGACCTCGAGATCCACGCCCCCTCAGCCGCCCAAAGTGCTGGGATTACAGGTGTGAGCCACCGTGCCTGGACAATTACTATAGCTTTATAATAAGTCTTCATATCTGGTGGTATAAGTCTCTTCCAACTTTGATTTTCTTCAAGATTACTTTTGATATTTTTGGCTTTTGGCATTGCCGTATAAATTTTAGACTCAGCTCATTAGTCTACACAAGAACCTGCTGAAATTCTGACAGAGGTTGCATTGAATCTGTAGTTTAATTTAGGATTAATTAACATCTTTACAACATTGAGTCTTTCATTCCATAATATGGTAAATCCCTTCATTTATTTTGAGTTCTTCATTCCTTTCCATAAGGTTTTATAGTTTTCAAGGCAGAGGTCTTACCTACTTTCATTAGATATATTTCTAGGTGTTTGATGTTTTTGAAGTTGTATCTTTCTTAAAGTTTTATTTTCTTCATAGTTGTTGGTAGTAGATAGTGATCAAATTTACATTTGTATGTTGACCTTATATCCAGTGACGTTGCAAAATTCACTTAGTAATTCTAATAGTTTGTAGATTCTTTTGAATTTTCTACATACACAATAATAGTGTCAGCAGATAAACAGTTTTCTTTCTCCTATTCTAATTATTACTCATCTTTGAATCGAGCCATCTATTTGCAGAAGTATGTGAATGGGGGCAGCGTACTATCTCTATTAGGATCTGTTGTTCATACTTCCTTCCACCAAGTTTGCATGTCCTGTGCTCTGGGAGTACATCCCTCTTCTGTTCTCCACATTCCAGAGGTCAGTGTAGCTCACAGCAATTTCCCTTAGATCTAGACTCTGTGTCGCTATCTGGTAAGCTCACCCCTTTCTTTATCACTGTCAGTCTTTTTTGGCTAGAAGCACATGTGGCAAATAATAAAAGTCAATTAATAATAATAATAATAAAAGTCGGAGTTTAATATGGGTTCTTCAACTCAGTCTTTTCTGTGGTGAGGAGCTAAGTCTTTATAGAGACACTCTCCACTTCCACCTTTTAGAGTTCTTAGTATGCTTTCAAGGCTGTGACAGTTTTCAGGACTCTTTATTCTACCTCAAGCAAGCAAGCTCAGTACATAGTAAGTATGCTTTGTAATTATGGTGCTTGGTATTATGGCTGTTTACTTGCTTCATTGATAATGGCCTTCTTCTTAAGGCTGCTTTACGTTATTTTCGTGTTGTCAAATTGGTTTCGAAAGAGGAGAATTAAGTTACAATGCCTTTATTCCATCATCTGCAACCAAATGTCCTCTTCACAGTTTTAAAAACCAAAATTTATAGCTTTTCTTATTATAAACTTTATACATGTTCATTATATAAAGTATAGAAAATAAATGGAAATACACAGAAGAATAGTTAAGTATAGAATCACGTGGGCTTATTTGCTTGAGGCAAGGGCAGCAAAGACTTTACTGTAACTGCAAGACAAGAGGTGTTAATGGACAAACGAATCCCGTGGAGAGCCAGACTGTGCCAAAGTATACAGCCCTCAAAGGGGAGCTTAGTTAGACAAGTCCACAGGACAAGCCGAGTGTGCAAACATAAACAGCCCTCAGAGGGGAGATCCGGGCAGGCAGACACATACAGGGCTCTGCAGGAAAGCGGAGGCTGCAGAAAAGGCAGAATGTGCAAACAGCACCTCGCTCAGAGGGGAGGCATAAAAAGGGTGGAATCCCAGTCATTAGAGGTGCTGGAAGGCTTATTAAGTTACATTCTATTCCCTGAGGCTAATGCTGAATCATTCCCATTCAAGATTCATTTAATGCATTTTGTTAAATGGCTCAAGAGGGGGCATAACTTCCCCAGAGAAGATTTTAAAGTCCTTAGAGCTGAAAGGAACATGTCTAAACCAGTACCTCCTAAAGCATGGACTATGTGCCATTAGTGGCATAGGAAGTTATTTTAATGGCACATAGATTTTTATTTTTACTTAACAGTTATATTTAATTTATGTTAACAAATCATAGCTGCTGCAATGAAACCACAATTTCACAGATATTCTTATTTAGGATAAGGCTAAAGTTGGTAGTAATGTTAGGCCTTGGGTGATTTAAACTATTAAGCAAATAAAGTACAGATACTGCAAAAATTAAGGTTTGGGAAATAGTGATCTAGAGCAACCCCTTTGTCTTAGCTATGAAGAGACCAAGCCAGAGAGGAAACATGACCTACCCAAGGCAGAACCAAGACTAACACGCAAACCTCTTAATTTCCAGACTAGTGTGCTTTCTAAGGGCAACTGACTTTCCTGTTAATTTTAGAGAATTCAAAATTGCAAGGGTTTCTAGGTGTTCATCTTACTCTTCTGGAATATTACTTACTTTTATAATACTTGCATCATTGTAAACAATCTCTCTACCTTTGTGTAGTCAACTATTTAGTAAACGTCATGAGGCATTTTGGTGCTGATGTAAGGAATACTGAGACAAGATGGAGTCTCCGACCACAAAGAACTTAAAATTTTATGGGGAATTAGCTAAGTACAAATAATCATTCAAGACACAATGAAGTACAGACACAGCAATGCAAGAAATCTGTTGTGGGAGAATAGAGAAACAGACAGTTATTTTCAGGTAGAGACTGAGAGACTTCATGAAGGACGTCCTACTTTAGTCAGATTTGAGTAAATGAATAGGATTTCAGTGGCCAAAAAGGAGGAAAGAGAATTCCGGGCTTAGGCAAATAATAGGAACAAAGATTGAGAGGTGCCTGAGTCCATGGGGAGTTTGGATGTTGTTGTATAGTCTGATCTGGCTGGAAGCCTATGGAGAGGAGACAGTGTGCAGGATGCTGGGAGAGGTAAGGCTTGGAGGACAGGTTGAGTCTGAGCCTTGGTGGGCATGGGATGCACTGCAAATTTCTCTCAGGATTATGGGAAAAGGTAGATGATGGGACTGAGACATTACATATTATTATAATGACATGACATGCCTGTAACCCATTTACTTAATGCTAAGAGTACTCAAAGTACCCTTGGATCCTTAGTGAGCTCTATGGAGGAGAGAGTACTCAGTGAACAAGATCACAATGCAAGATTGTACTGTAAAAAGAAACAGGGGCCAAAGGACTGACTGGACACAGACACATGTGGCTGTCCACCTGAAGATGAGAAATTCCACTGAGAACAAAACAGCCCCCCAAAACAGCACAGGAAGAGCCATAGAGAGAAAAGAGAGAAACAAAATAGCAATCATCAGTGACAGCAATTAAATTCGTCTTTCTTATTGTGACACTGGAGAGGCTTTATTAACCTGTGGCCTTGGAAAAGAAGAGAGGCTAATGTGATCTAGGATCCAGAAGGTGAGAGGTGATATTAGCGCTTGAGCAGTGGGATGGCAGAGTCAGAAATGGTGGAGAGAAGGATGGTAGAAAATTCAGCTGGAACAGACCAAGAGAATTGACCTGGCCATTGCCAAGGCTTGAGGTGTGTTCCGTGCAAAAAGTAGGCTTGGGGAGGAGGTGAGCTCTTTACTTCAATAATGATGCATGTCTGAGCATGTAGTTGACCCCTAGGGATTTGGTGAGACTGAACACACAGGTAATGGCCACCCAAAGTCTCACATGTAAACAAGGAAAAGGAATAAAGCTTCATTAAGAGAAAGAACAGCGCAAACTAAGATAACACATAAAGTATCAACATCTGTAGTAATTACACAGTTATTAATATGTGTATGAACAGTGTTCTCTATTCTCAATATAACTTTGTAGTAAGATTTCTGGTCTTATCTTTTTAATATTCCCAGAATGCTGGGAATATGTTTCTTGAAATAGTTCATGTAACCAACTACCTGGGGAATTCACATTGTAGATGCTTTGAATTAGATGTAATGTTAGTAATCTGGAAACAAGTGTGTACTCACACATGTCAAATTAAGAGATGGGAACTGCAATGAGACTAATTGCAAAATTATCAGAAATTCTAAAAATAATTTATATCCTGCTTTAGAATTCAATTTAATCCAAGCAATTTTTATTAAGGGTCTTTTGCAGGCAAAACCATTTAGTGTGTCCTTTGAGAAACAAAAGGAAGAGTCAGAGATGTCTTGACCCTTGGGGTTCTTGCAGTGTAGTAGCTGATGGACGACTCTAATATTCAGCAGGCTAAAATAAATGTTATAGAAGAGGCTGATATGGGATGTCTTTGAGGTTCAAAGAAGAGAGATCATACTTCTCATATCATCAAATCTAAGATGCTGTCAACTGAAAGACACACCATTATTTTATGCACCACTAAAAAAGAAAGAATTCTGATAATTAAACAATGACATGTCATTGATGGCAAGAGGCATTCCTTTTCCAGAGATGTGAAAAATGTGAAAAAAGTCATCATAGAATTGATGAAATGTTGTCGAAGAATTTTGATAGGTTGAAATAAGACAAAAAGCCCACCAAGTAGAGGTCCTTCTGTTTTTTATATACTGTAGGTCCATACATTCTTAGATCATTCACTTCTGTGACTTCAGTCACTCCCTCTAGGATCATAACTCAGAAGCCTTAGTCTTCTCTCCTAAAATGCAGACCCTTATATCCCGCTTTTTTCATTCATTTCTCTGCCACTTATGTAGTACCTATATGTGCCAGGCACAGTTCTAAGTGCGTTAATATTAAGTGTCATAAAACCCTATGAATAGGTATTATAATTACTAAGATGATGATGATGATGATGATGATGATGATCTCCATTACACAGAGAGGCTAAGTAACTTATCCAAGGTCACACATCTAGTAAGTGGCAGCACCATTTACTAGCTACCTATTTTCCCTTAAATATCCTGCATTATCTAAATATCAGCATATCCCAAAACTAAATTCATTGTTCCCCTATAAACATGCTTCTCCTTAGCTTTTAGAGCATCATCATCCTGTTAGTCACTCAAGTCAGGTCCCTCTCCTCATCCACCACATCCAACTTATCACTATGTCTGTCAGTTTCTTTGTTTTTCTTTCCCTGCTGTCTTTGCCCTAGTTAGGTGTTTGCCAAGTTTGCCTGGTTATTAAAACCTACCAGAAAAAATGTATTAATGATAAAGATTCCTAGGCTGTTCCCCTGGGGTTACTGACTCAGTGATTTTGGCTAGGGTAGGATCCAGAAATATGTATTTTTAACAAGCACCTTAGATGATGTTTATATTCAGGCAAGTTTGGGATACAGTGCTGTATCAATTAGGATACTTTGGTTGTAAGCAACAGTAACCAACTCTGGCTAACTTAAGCAAAAAAGAAAAAAAAGAATTTATTAGAAAGATATGGATAGCACACAGACTATTTTAAAAAGCTAGGCAACCAAGAAAGGGTAGGAAATTGGATAACTCTGGGGATCCAGGGAGCAGGAACAGTCTCTTCAGAGGCCACAATTGGGATGAATGAGCCCCAGTCATTTTTCAGTCTTTGTGTCAGCCAGTTTGCGTCTCTGATTCCAGAGAGAGAAAATTTGATTGGCTTAGTTCGGATCATACTCCTGCCCCTTGGTGGGAGGGCGGGGCATCTTTATTGACAGTCTCAACAGAACAGCATCCAGTGGGGAATAGATACTTTTTATAAAAGGAAAATGGGAGCACTGTTGTCAGAAGAAATGGGAGTTGATGACAGGCAGGCAAAAGCAGCAGATGTTCAGTACAAACAACCCAAACACATAGTCCACGTCTTCATTCCCCTTCATCTAGAGAAGTATGCATCCTCTCTAATCTCCTTTTTCTGCAGCGCTGTCAGTATGATCTTCCAAAACATGCAACTGGTTGTCTTACTTTCCTGATTGCAACCCCTAGCAAACCCAATCCCACATACAAAATAAAGATCAAGCTTCCCAACAACGCTCACAGCCTGCGGTGAACTGACCCCTGCATACCACTTCAGTGTCATCTTTTGCTGCTTCCCCTTTCCCACCCCCTCACCCAATTCCCTTTATGCTTCAGTCATAAAACTATTTATAATTCCTCAAATGTGCTATACTGTTTGATGCCTTTGTATTCATTTATTCTTTTGTTCATCAGTGAATAGTTATGGAAGGCTCAACCATAAGCCAGGTACTGGAGGTACAACTGAGATCAAAACAAACTAGTCCCGGCCAAGTTCAGTGGCTCATGCCTGTAATCCCAGCACTTTGGGAGGCCAAGGTGAGAGGATCACTTGAAGCCAGGAGTTGGAGACCAGCCTGGGCAACAAAGCAAGACCCTATCTCTACAAAAAAAAATTTAAGAGGCCAGGCGCGGTGGCTCACACCTGTAATTCCAGCACTTTGGGAGGCCGAGGCGGGCATATCACGAGGTCAGGAGATCAAGACCATCCTGACTAACACAGTGAAACCTCGTCTCTACTACAATACTATAATATAAAAAATTAGCCAGGCGTGGTGGCGGGCGCCTGTAGTCCCAGCTACTCAGGGGCTGAGGCAGGAGAATGGCATGAACCTGGGAGGTGGAGCTTGCAGTGAGCTGAGATCGTGCCACTGCACTCCAGCCTGGGCAACAGAGCAAGACTCCATCTCAAAAAAAAAAAAAATTTAAGAAAGAATTAGCCAGGTGTGGTGGCCTGCACCTGTAGTCCCAGCTACTTGGGAGGCTGAAGCAGGAGGACTGGTTGAACTCAGGAGTTTGAGGTTGCAGTGAGGCAGTGAACTATGACTGTGCCACTGCACTCAAACCTGGGTGACAGAGAGAGAACCCATCTCGAAAAAAAAAAAAATGCTAAGCATTAATAAGGATGGAAGGGCTACCCTGAGAAAGGGACATTCAAGCTAAAGAAGTTTACTAGGCTGGGAAAAGAAAGGAAGTTTCTAATAGAGGTAACACAGGCTGTAAGGTGGCATTTTAAATGGAAAGAAGGCCAGCATGACTGGAACACAGAGAGAGAATGGGTTGAGAAGAGATACCAACAGGAGTAAGTCAATCAAATAAAATTCCCTTTGGAGGGAAAATGTTTAAACTTGAATAAGCTGAGTTTTTAAGTGCAGCAAGAAATGCAGGTGCAAATGACCCCGATTGAGTTGGAAATACTAGTGTGTAGATTTTCTCAGGTATCAGGCCAGGGATATGATCTGGGAGTCACATATAGAGCTGAACCGTGGGAGTAGATGATATTGCTCAGGAATAGATCTGGTAAAAGGAGACTGAGGACAACTTGAGAAAAGACCACGTCTAAGAGAGATGCAGAGAAGGCTCGTTCTGAGATGTAGGAAGCGAGTCATGGAAGGGAAAGGAAGAGAGTTTCAAGAAGGAGGAAATTGTTGGTCAATATTCAGTTGCTATTAAACGCAGAGGTGGAGAAGAAGAGTGACAAAGAAAAGCCCTCATATTTGGTAGATGGAAGTCTACTAGTGATGAAAAAGAACACTTGGACCAAATTGATTAGATAGAAACAAGTGGGTAGGTGATTTTGAAAGGGGCAAGGGCTTTTTAAAGAAGTTTGTCAGTGCTGCAAGGGAGACCCACAGTACTGTAGCAGGATAAGGAAATAGGTTTTTAAAATGGAATTTTGAAGTAGCAAGAGAATAGACCTAATGGAAATAAGTCAAGATATAAGATGTAGAGAATTAGAGTGAACTTCTGAAGGAGGCCAGAGGAAAGAGGACCTTTAATGAATACGACATTTATCTTCATTCTCAGCAATAGAGGGATAATAATAATAATAATAGTTATTTTGTAGTTTTATGGAATATCAGGCTCTATTCTCAGTAGTCTAGAAGTATTTAATTTTATCAACAACTATATAAGGTAAATACTATTAATTTCCTCATTTTACAGATGAAAAATCTAAGGCTCAATTTTTTTTAGCCCAATGTCTCTCTATGAGAGACAGTAAGTGGTATAAGCAAAATTTAATTCCAGGTAATTCGATTCCAGAATTTCTACTCCTAAGCAGTACACTGTAAGATAATAAAGATTTTGAGGTTGCTGGAATGGAACCTTAACGTGAGTACTTTAGGATATTCATATCAGATGACATACAACTTTGTAGGAAAATAGGACTTGAAGGTATCTGCTGCAAGTGGGCGAAAGAAGGTGCAATTGTGGGGCTCTGTGGGAACAGGGATGATATGGGAATCTGTTGTGTGAGAAATTCAACAGGGATCTAGTAAAAGATGAATTGAAAGACTGATCCTCTTACCTGCCACAGTGAGAGATATATGAGTCTCACAGTAAGATTAATGTTCTTGTTTTTCTTGACCATTTCAAGATGCCAGATGCTGAAGTACTTGGTTGTAGAATTAAGGCCAGGGGCAATGGGCCTAACATCTCAGCTTCCAAGTGTGCTCCTGCGCAATTCCTACTGTGGAATGCCTATGTCAGCACTTGTTCCCCTTACCCCAAGGTTGAAAACAGTACACATTCATCTCTAAATTTCTTTTTTTTTTTTTTGAGATGGAGTCTCACTCTGTTGCCCAGGCTAGAGTACGGTGGCACTATTTCCACTCACTACAACCTCTCTCTCCCAGGTTCAAGTGATTCTCCTGCCTCAGCCTCCCAAGTAGCTGGGATTACAAGTGCACACCACTACGCCCAGCTAATTTTTATATTTTTAGTAGAGACTGGGTTTCACTATGTTGGCCACACTGGTCTTGAACTCCTGACCTCAAGCCATATGCCCAACTCGGCCTCCCAAAGTGCTGGGATTACAGGCGTGAGCCACCGCACCCAGTCTCATCTCTGAACTACTGAAAGTAGGAGATAGAGGGGGAAGGGAATTTGCCTACCCACTGTCAACAATATACTTTTTTCTGTCTAGCACCATTCACTAAGTCATCAGAGAATCAGGATTACAACCAAAGTTTTATAAGAGCTATTAGAAGTGAGTAATATGTTCTTCTCTGTGGCCATAATGCTTTGTTCTTTTATGGAATATACGACTATCATTATGTTATAGTTATTTATGGGCATTTTTGTCCCCCTATGAGACCATCAGCTTTGGAAGACAAGGACTATGTGTTGTCCATATCTGTATTTCCAATGCCCAGAATAGTGCCTGGAATCTCATAAATCTATTATATGTATTTAAATTGAATTATTGTAGAAGAAGAGACCTCTTGCTCAACTTCTTGAAATTTTGTCTAGTTCAAGTAATTCTGAATTTAAATGAATGTTTAAACATGGAAAAGTCAGTTTCAATATCGTCACTTGAGTTTGTGTGTGTGTGTGTGTGTGTTTGTGTTCTATTCTTTTTTTTATTATTATTATACTTTAAGTTTTAGGGTACATGTGCACAATGTGCAGGTTAGTTACATATGTATACATGTGCCATGCTGGTGTGCTGCACCCATTAACTCGTCATTTAGCATTAGGTATATCACCTAATGCCATCCCTCCCCCCTCCCCCCACCCCACAACAGTCCCCAGAGTGTGATGTTCCCCTTCCTGTGTCCATGTGTTCTCATTGTTCAATTCCCACCTATGAGTGAGAACATGCGGTGTTTGGTTTTTTGTCCTTGCGATAGTTTACTGAGAATGATGATTTCCAATTTCATCCATGTCCCTACAAAGGACATGAACTCATCATTTTTTATGGCTGCATAGTATTCCATGGTGTATATGTGCCACATTTTCTTAGTCCAATCTATCATTGTTGGACATTTGGGTTGGTTCCAAGTCTTTGCTATTGTGAATAATGGCGCCATAAACATACGTGTGCATGTGTCTTTATAGCAGCATGATTTATAGTCCTTTGGGTATATACCCAGTAATGGGATGGCTGGGTCAAATGGTATTTCTAGTTCTAGATCCCTGAGGAATCACCACACTGACTTCCACAATGGTTGAACTAGTTGACAGTCCCACCAACAGTGTAAAAGTGTTCCTATTTCTCCACATCCTCTCCAGCACCTGTTGTTTCCTGACTTTTTAATGATTGCCATTCTAACTGGTGTGAGATGGTATCTCATTGTGGTTTTGATTTGCATTTCTCTGATGGCCAGTGATGATGAGCATTTTTTCATGTGTCTTTTGGCTGCATAAATGTCTTCTTTTGAGAAGTGTCTGTTCATATCCTTTGCCCACTTTTTGATAGGGTTGTTTGTTTTTTTCTTGTAAATTTGTTTGAGTTCATTGTAGATTCTGGATATTAGCCCTTTGTCAGATGAGTAGGTTGAGAAAATTTTCTCCCATTCTGTAGGTTGGCTGTTCACTCTGATGGTAGTTTCTTTTGCTGTGCAGAAGCTCTTGAGTTTAATTAGATCCCATTTGTCAATTTTGGCTTTTGTTGCCATTGCTTTTGGTGTTTTAGACATGAAGTCCTTGCCCATGCCTATGTCCTGAATGGTAATGCCTAGGTTTTCTTCTAGGGTTTTTATGGTTTTAGGTCTAACATGTAAGTCTTTAATCCATCTTGAATTAATTTTTGTGTAAGGTGTAAGGAAGGGATCCAGTTTCAGCTTTCTACATATGGCTAGCCAGTTTTCCCAGCACCATTTATTAAATAGGGAATCCTTTCCCCATTGCTTTTTTTTGTCAGGTTTGTCAAAGATCAGATAGTTGTAGGTATGCGGCGTTATTTCTGAGGGCTCTGTTCTGTTCCATTGATCTATATCTCTGTTTTGGTACCAGTACCATGCTGTTTTGGTTACTGTAGCCTTGTAGTATAGTTTGAAGTCAGGTAGCATGATGCCTCCAGCTTTGTTCTTTTGGCTTAGGATTGACTTGGCGATGCAGGCTCTTTTTTGGTTCCATATGAACTTTAAAGTAATTTTTTCCAATTCTGTGAAGAAAGTCATTGGTAGCTTGATGGGGATGGCATTGAATCTATAAATGACCTTGGGTAGTATGGCCATTTTCACGTTATTGATTCTTCCTACCCATGAGCATGGAATGTTCTTCCATTTGTTTGTATCCTCTTTTATTTCATTGAGCAGTGGCTTGTAGTTCTCCTTGAAGAGGTCCTTCACATCCCTTGTAAGTTGGATTCCTAGGTATTTTATTCTCTTTGAAGCAATTGTTAATGGGAGTTCACTCATGATTTGGCTCTCTGTTTGTCTGTTATTGGTATATAAGAATGCTTGTGATTTTTGCACATTGATTTTGTATCCTGAGACTTTGCTGAAGTTGCTTATCAGCTTAAGGAGACTTTGGGCTGAGACAATGGGGTTTTCCAGATATACAATCATGTCATCTGTAAACAGGGACAGTTTGACTTCCTCTTTTCCTAATTGAATACCCTTTATTTCCTTCTCCTGCCTAATTGCCCTGGCCAGAACTTCCAACACTATGTTGAATAGGAGTGGTGAGAGAGGGCATCCCTGTCTTGTGCCAGTTTTCAAAGGGAATGCTTCCAGTTTTTGCCCATTCAGTATGATATTGGCGTGGGTTTGTCATAGATAGCTCTTATTTTTTGAGATACGTCCCATCAATACCTAATTTATTGAGCGTTTTTAGCATGAAGGGTTGTTGAATTTTGTCAAAGGCCTTTTCTGCATCTATTGAGATAATCATGTGGTTTTTGTCTTTGGTTCTGTTTATATGCTGGATTACCTTTATTGATTTGCTTGTGTTGAACCAGCCTTCCATCCCAGGGATGAAGCCCACTTGATCATGGTGGATAAGCTTTTTGATGTGCTGCTGGATTCGATTTGCCAGTATTTTATTGAGGATTTTTGCATCAATATTCATCAAGGATATTGGTCTAAAATTCTCTTTTTTGGTTGTGTCTCTGCCCGGCTTTGGTATCAGGATGATGCTGGCCTCATAAAATGAGTTAGGGAGGATTCCTTCTTTTTCTATTGATTGGAATAGTTTCAGAAGGAATGGTACCAGTTCCTCCTTGTACCTCTGGTAGAATTTGGCTGTGAATCCATCTGGTCCTGGACTCTTTTTGTTTGGTAAGCTATTGATTATTGCCACAATTTCAGATCCTGTTATTGGTCTATTCAGAGATTCAACTTCTTCCTGGTTTACTCTTGGCAGAGTGTATGTGTCGAGGAATTTATCCATTTCTTCTAGATTTTCTAGTTTATTTGCGTAGAGGTGTTTATAGTATTCTCTGATGGTAGTTTGTATTTCTGTGGGGTTGGTGGTGATATCCCCTTTGTCATTTTTTATTGCATCTATTTGATTCTTCTCCCTTTTCTTCTTTATTAGTCTTGCTAGCAGTCTATCAATTTCGTTGATCTTTTCAAAAAACCAGCTCCTGGATTCATTGATTTTTTGAGGGTTTTTTGTGTCTCTATTTCCTTCAGTTCTGCTCTGATCTTAGTTATTTCTTGCGTTCTGCTAGCTTTTGAATGTGTTTGCTCTTGCTTCTCTAGTTCTTTTTTTTTTTTTTTTTTTTTTTTTTTTTGAGACGGAGTCTCGCTCTGTCGCCCAGGCTGGAGTGCAGTGGCGCGATCTCGGCTCACTGCAAGCTCCGCCTCCTGGGTTCACGCCATTCTCCTGCCTCAGCCTCCCGCGTAGCTGGGACTACAGGCGCCCGCCACCACGCCCGGCTAATTTTTTTTGTGTTTTTTAGTAGAGACGGGGTTTCACTGTGTTAGCCAGGATGGTCTCGATCTCCTGACCTCGTGATCCGCCTGCCTCGGCCTCCCAAAGTGCTGGGATTACAGGCGTGAGCCACCGCGCCCGGCCTTCTCTAGTTCTTTTAATTGGGATGTTAGGGTGTCGATTTTGGATCTTTCCTGCTTTCTCTTGTGGGCATTTAGTGCTATAAATTTCCCTCTTTACACTGCTTTGAATGTGTCCCAGAGATTCTGGTATGTTGTGTCTTTGTTCTCATTGGTTTCAAAGAATATCTTTATTTCTGCCTTCATTTCATTATGTACCCGGTAGTCATTCAGGAGCAGGTTGTTCAGCTTCCATGTACTTGAGCAGTTTTGGGTGAGTTTCTTAATCCTGAGTTCTAGTTTGATTGCACTGTGGTCTGAGAGACAGTTTGTTAAAATTTCTATTCTTTTGCATTTGCTGAGGAGAGCTTTACTTCCAACTATGTGGTCAATTTTGGAATAGGTGTGGTGTGGTGCTGAAAAAAATGTATATTCTGTTGATTTGGGGTGGAGAGTTCTGTAGATGTCTATTAGGTCTGCTTGGTGCAGAGCTGAGTTCAATTCCTGGGTATCCTTGTTAACTTTCTGTCTTTGTTGATCTGTCTAATGTTGACAGTGGGGTGTTAAAGTCTCCCATTATTATTGTGTGGGAGTCTAAGTCTCTTTGTAGGTCACTCAGGACTTGCTTCATGAATCTGGGTGCTCCTGTATTGAGTGCATATATATTTAGGATAGTTAGCTCTTCTTGTTGAATTGATCCCTTTACCATTATGTAATGGCCTTCTTTGTCTCTTTTGATCTTTGTTGGTTTTAAGTCTGTTTTATCAGAGACTAGGATTGCAACCCCTGCCTTTTTTTGTTTTCCATTTGCTTGGTAGATCTTCCTCCATCCTTTTATTTTGAGCCCATGTGTGTCTCTGCACGTGAGATGGGTTTCCTGAATACAGCACACTGATGGGTCTTGACTCTTTTTCCAGTTTGCCAGTCTGTGTCTTTTAATTGGAGCATTTAATCCATTTACATTTAAAGTTAATATTGTTATGTGTGAATTTGATCCTGTCATTATGATGTTAGCTGGTTATTTTGCTCGTTAGTTGATGCAATTGCTTCCTAGTCTCGTTGGTCTTTACATTTTGGCATGATTTTGCAGCGGCTGGTACCGGTTGTTCCTTTCCATGTTTAGCACTTCCTTCGGGAGCTCTTTTACGGCAGGCCTGGTGGTGACAAACTCTCTCAGCATTTGCTTGTCTGTAAAGTATTTTATTTCTCCTTCACTTATGAAGCTTAGTTTGGCTGGATATGAAATTCTAGATTGAAAATTCTTTTCTTTAAGAATGTTGAATATTGGCCCCCACTCTCTTCTGGCTTGTAGAGTTTCTGCCAAGAGATCCACTGTTAGTCTGATGGGCTTCCCTTTGAGGGTAACCCGACCTTTCTCTCTGGCTGCCCTTAACATTTTTTCCTTCATTTCAACTTTGGTGAATCTGACAATGATGTGTCTTGGAGTTGCTCTTCTCGAGGAGTATCTTTGTGGCATTCTCTGTATTTCCTGAATCTGAATGTTGGCCTGCCTTGCTAGATTGGGGAAGTTCTCCTGGATAATATCCTGCAGAGTGTTTTCCAACTTGGTTCCATTCTCCCCGTCACTTTCAGGTACACCAATCAGACATAGATTTGGTCTTTTCACATAGTCCCATGTTTCTTGGAGGCTTTGCTCGTTTCTTTTTATTCTTTTTTCTCTAAACTTCCCTTCTCGCTTCATTTCATTCATTTCATCTTCCATCGCTGATACCCTTTCTTCCAGTTGATCGCATCGGCTCCTGAGGCTTCTGCATTCTTCACGTAGTTCTCGAGCCTTGGTTTTCAGCTCCATCAGCTCCTTTAAGCACTTCTCTGTATTGGTTATTCTAGTTACATATTCTTCTAAATTTTTTTCAAAGTTTTCAACTTCTTTGCCTTTGGTTTGAATGTCCTCCCATAGCTCGGAGTAATTTGATTGTCTGAAGCCTTCTTCTCTCAGCTCGTCAAAGTCATTCTCCATCCAGCTTTGTTCCATTGCTGGTGAGGAACTGCGTTCCTTTGGAGGAGGAGAGGCGCTCTGCTTTTTAGAGTTTCCAGTTTTTCTGCTCTGTTTTTTCCCCATCTTTGTGGTTTTATCTACTTTTGGTCTTTGATGATGGTGAGGTACAGATGGGTTTTTGGTGTGGATGTCCTTTCTGTTTGTTAGTTTTCCTTCTAGCAGACAGGACCCTCAGCTGCAGGTCTGTTGGAGTTTGCTAGAGGTCCACTCCAGACCCTGTTTGCCCGGGTATCAGCAGAGGTGGCTGCAGAAGAGCGGATTTTCGTGAACCGCGAATGCTGCTGTCTGATCATTCCTCTGGAAGTTTTGTCTCAGAGGAGTACCTGGCCGTTTGAGGTGTCAGTCTGCCCCTACTGGGGGGTGCCTCCCAGTTAGGCTGCTTGGGGGTCAGGGGTCAGGGGTCAGGGACCCACTTGAGGAGGCAGTCTGCCCGTTCTCAGATCTCCAGCTGCGTGCTGGGAGAACCACTGCTCTCTTCAAAGCTGTCAGACAGGGACATTTAAGTCTGCAGAGGTTACTGCTGTCTTTTTGTTTGTCTGTGCCCTGCCCCCAGAGATGGAGCCTACAGAGGCAGGCAGGCCTCCTTGAGCTGTGGTGGGCTCCACCCAGTTCCAGCTTCCTGGCTGCTTTGTTTACCTAAGCAAGGCTGGGCAATGGCGGGTGCCCCTCCCCCAGCCTCGCTGCCACCTTGCAGTTTGATCTCAGACTGCTGTGCTAGCAATCAGCAAGACTCCGTGGGTGTAGGACCCTCTGAGCCATGTGTGGGATGTAATCTCCTGGTGTGCCGTTTCCTAAGCCCATCAGAAAAGCGCAGTATTCGGGTGGGAGTGACCCAATTTTCCAGGTGCCGTCTGTCACCCCTTTCCTTGACCAGGAAAGGGAACTCCCTGACCCCTTGCACTTCCTGAGTGAGGCAATGCCTCGCCCTGATTCGGCTCGCGCACGGTGTGCTGCACCCACTGTCCTGTGCCCACTGTCTGGCACTCCCTAGTGAGATGAACCCGGTACCTCAGATGGAAATGCAGAAATCACCCATCTTCTGGGTTGCTCAGGCTGGGAGCTGTAGACCGGAGCTATTCCTATTCAGCCATCTTGGCTCCTCCCCCGAGTTTTTTTTTAAGTGGTTTGTTAAGGCAATTGCGATGTTTTAATAAATATTATTCTTCCATTTGAAATTTGTCTTATGCAGTACATTTCAAAAGAACAAAGATCGCCTTTTAAAAATTTAATTTTAACAATGAAACACTAGAGTTGCAGTATAAGGATAGCATAAGGTTAAAGCCTTTTTAATTATAATTGAAAAGAGGAAAACTTTTTACAACTACAAGGATTCTAAACATTTACCCCACTCTAAATTATTACATTAAAATCTGTTTTTTAATTATATGAAGAGAATTAATGAATGATTCTCTATCTAATGAGTCCTTGGAGTCCTAAATAAAGATTCTTTTCAAAAGAAAAGCTATTTCTCTTCCTCACCGTGTTCTTGCTTTTCCTTTTTTATTTGATACAGTTTATATTATAGTCTTTAGGTTCCCACAACCTCAAATTTAATTATCCTCATATTTCCTCTTTACATCTAGAGTCCAATTATATCATGGTAGATGCATTTGAAATGGCTCTGCACTTCAAATTTGCTGTTTCCTGACTGGTTTATAAGTCTTAATGTGCTATTGATTAGTTGCTTTTGTTTACTTAATTTTCTTGCTGTTTAACCTTCTCTCCATCTTGCATACTATATTTCCAGAGAGCAAGCATTATCTATTTCAGTTATTTATGTACTTTTGAAGGAGTTTATGTTTCATATCTTTGACTTATTACCCCAAGATGCTCTGGATTCTGTTCTCTTTTCAATGTAGTCTGTTTTTCAAAAATTATTCTTTTGCTTTGTTAATATGCTCTTGATTTTCTAAAAAATGTGTTTAAGACATACTTGTAAATGGCTTTAGAGAATGGTCAAATGACCTATAATTGCATTTGGCCTACTACATCTTTAGGGTCCTACGACGGTCACGGTCATGGGCTCTTTACTTCATGGGCCAATTTATGTCACACCATTTACAGATCACAGACCTTGCTCATGACCTTGCTCAAAATTCACACAAATGTAGATTTTCATGCCCAAGAGAAAGTAGGGGAAAACATATGTATGAATAAATGCAAATTGAACCCTATTGCTAAAAAATGGTTTAATGTATATGCTCTGCCATTGGTGGTTTCTTCAGGCAACACATTTATTCATTTATTCAACAAAAATTATTGACTTCCTCCTATGTTCCTAGCATTCTTTTAGTTACCAGGAAGCACAATGAACAAAAGAGACTATTTCTAGCCCTATTCAGAACCATTGACTCATACCAACTTTATTTCTATGTGCAGAAATTGAGACCCAGAATGTGTAAGTGGCTTACCCCAGGTAATACTGCTGTCACTGACCAGGCAGGGCCTGAAATCCCGGTTCCCTACTTCTTCACTCAAGGGTTTTTTCTGCTATAGTGCCTTCTCTTAAAGATGAAGAAAGACTGTTGAAGGGTGCAGGGCGAATAGCAGAAGACAGAAGGAGGAAAGGTGTGCCTAAGGTGGGGGTAAAATCAGGAATGAGTATGGAAGTTAAAAGAGAAGAATCAAAGTGCTTAGGGCAGAGTGCCAAGAAACTGCAAGAGGCAGAGGGGTGTGAGAAAGATAAGAAAAGAAAAGCAATCAGAGGGAGAGTGAAGAAAGATAGTATAGGCCAGAGACAACCAGGAACAAAAAAAAGAAGGAGATACAGAGAGGGTAAGAAAAAGGTAGATGAGAAAGTCCCTGAAGTAGAATGCAACCCACACTTTTCTGATAATCTGAGTAAAATGCTAAAAACAGGATCACACAGCTTTGTTAACATGCTTTTTTGTTTGTTTGTTTGTTTGTTTGTTTGAGACAGAGTCTCGCTCTGTCGCCCAGCCTGGAGTGCAATGGCGTGATCTGGGCTCACTGCAACCTCCGCCTCCCGGGTTCAAGCTATTCTCCTGCCTCAGCCTCTCAAGTAGTTGGGATTACAGGCATGCACCACCACGCCCGGCTAATGTTGTATTTTTAGTAGATACGGGGTTTCTCCATGTTGGTTAGGCTGGTCTCGAACTCCCAACCTCAGGTGATCCACCCGCCTCAGCCTCCCAAAGAGCTGGGATTACAGGCTTGAGCCACAGTGCCCAGCCTAACATGCTTTTTAAGGAAGGGTAAGTGTCATGCCTTGCAGTTACCAGACTGTTAAATATTGTGGGGCTGATTTGTTGATAAAATGGTTTGACAAGAGAGGACCAAAAACTGATTGCAACCTCTTTACCACTTTCCTGAGCCTAATATCAAGCAGTCATGTTTTGCCTTCCCCTATGTAATGGGTCAGTAATTCTGGAGAACAGTATTCTGATTTCTGTTTGGCGCTGCTAGGAGAGAACCAGCCTACGTTGCTGGCTACCTATGGACAATTTAGACAAGATGTGTCAAAGTACTTGACAATACACATGAATCCATTGGCTATGGCCCCATCAGTGTCTTCACTGTCCCCGCAAATGCGTATGCTTATGCCTCTGTTCACTTGTATCCCTGAAGGGCCTGCTCAAACTTTGCAATTCTTCCATTAAGCTAAACAAGCAGTTCTCTAGAGATGAATATATGTCCTTTATTTGGAAATGCTGATGCAAAATCAAAAGCCACATTAATTAAGTAGGATCTAGGTCAGTTGTTCTCAAGCTTGGCTACACATTTAGAATCATCTGGGGAGCTTTAAAAAAATCCAATTCCCAGGCAGCAAAAGCAGAGTTGGCAGGGAGTCAGGAGTAGGTCCCATTTATCAGTATTTTTTAAAGCTCCCCAGATGATTCCAGTGTACAGTAAGGTTGAGAACAACTGACCTAGGCCTTCTTAATGAGATATTCTGGGGACATTATATAGACATAGGGAATAAATAACTGCCTTGTTTGCTCTTAGCTGCTTCAAGAAACTAGTGTAAAATACCAATAAATACATTCCTAAATCTACTGGTAATATTAGGTAAACCTAGTTTCAGGAAGGTTCGAGATTGTCAGGACCCATAAAAAGATGAAGAAAGCCCAACAGAAAAGGAGACTATTATCTATTTGTCACTCACATGTAGGGTCCAGCCCAAGGGGCTTAGCGGGTGTTCTCCCCATGTGCGGAGACGAAAGATTGTAATAAATGAAGACACAAGACAAAGAGATAAAGAGAAAACAGCTGGGCCCGGGGGACCACTACCATCAAGACGCAGAGACCGGTAGTGGCCCCAAACAGCTGGGCTCGATGATATTTATTGCATACAAGACAAGGGGGCAGGGTAAGAAGGGTGAATCTTCTAAGTGATTGACAAGGTGAAGCAGGTCACATGATTACAGGATGGGGGGCCCTTCCCTTTTAGGTAGCCGAAGCAGAGGAGAAGGCAGCATACGTCAGTGTTTTCTTCTCTGCACTTATAAGAAAGATCAAAGACTTTAAGACTTTCACTATTTCTTCTACCGCTATCTACTATGAACTTCAAAGAGGAACCAGGAGTATGGGAGGAACATGAAAGTGGACAAGGAGCGTGACCACTGAAGCACAGCACCGCAGGGAGGGGTTTAGGCCTCCGGATGACTGCAGGCAGGCCTGGATAATATCCAGCCTTCCACAAGAAGCTGGTGGAGCAGAGTGTTCCCTGACTCCTCCAAGGAAAGGAGACTCCCTTTCGCGGTCTGCTAAGTAACGGGTGCCTTCCCAGACACTGGCGTTACCGCTTGACCAAGGAGCCCTCAAGCGGCCCTTATGCGGGCGTGACAGAAGGCTCACCTGTTGCCTTCTAGGTCACTTCTCACAATGCCCCTTCAGCACCTGACCCTATACCCGCCGGTTATTCCTAGGTTATATTAGTAATGCAACAAAGAGTAATATTAAAAGCTAATGATTAATAATGTTTATAATAATGATTGATAATTGTTCATGGTCATCTCTATATCTAATTTGTATTATGACTATTCTTATTCTAACTATTTTCTTTATTATACTGAAACAGTTTGTGCCTTCAGTCTCTTGCCTCAGCACCTAGGTAATCCTCCGCCCACACTCACAAATACATATGTCTTGACCATTTCTCTCTTCTGGCCTTCAGCTTTCTGCTGGACATAAACAACTGGATGTTTCACAGGCATGTTTATCTAAATGTAAGCTCAACATCTCCATTCCCCTACCTCTCCATTCCCTTGCCATAAGTTTGAATCTTCTCTAACGTCCTTATCTAAACAAATGGCATCACTGTCACACAATTGCCTGAGTTAGAAACTTAACTTACTCCTTCATCTTACTCCCCAAGTCTCCTTAACTTATTTTGGCCTCTCTTTCAATCCATTTTCTACACTGAGGCCAAAAATATTTTATAAAACACAGTGTATGTTAACACCTTCTTAAAACCCTTTAATTCACTGCCTCTGGAATAAAATTCAGATTCCTTAAAATGGGCCACAGAGACTTGCATGATTTGACCTTTACCCACATCTCCAACCCCATCTTGTGCCATCCTTCTTCTTGCGCTCTGTTCTCCAGCCAAACAGAACTTATTTTAGTCCCTTGAATGTGGTTTATTTGTTTTCCTCTGAGTAAACTCTCTTACATTCATGGCTGCAATCCCAGTGCCTACCACAGTCCCTGGTACAGAGTCAGCACCAGGAAGCATTTGTGGCATGTGTGTGCATGGGTGAGACAGTGAATATGTACTTAAAGCTTTAGACGTTCTCTTCCCTGGCAATGAGCTAATTCTCCAGCACGAATCTGTTGATTCAGAGCTATGAATCTTCTCCTGCCTTACCTGACTCTGTTTCCCTTGGCCTTAGATGGCAAACATGACTACACTTCCTGATGTTTCCCCACCAACTCTGGCCTTCCCCTTTTTTCCCTATCTCTTGTAATGAGATTCGTCTGCACTTCACTTTGCCTTCACAGTTCAGAAGGAAGGACCATCAGGATTCTTTGTTCACATTGAAGTGCTCTCTCTTTCCAGCATCACCTCAATGGTTTCCACCTGCCCTGCTTCATTAGCAGTTTTGTTTGGGTTCCCCACTAACCTAAAATAAAGCAATAAAGAAATAGTTGTGTCTGAAATGATCTTTCGAATAATAAACTGAGAATATCCTTTCAGCTCCACCATGACTCTGATTCTGATTCTCATTGAGCCTTTACTTTTGTAACAAGTGGGACTTTTCTGTTGTCCATTCCACCTGAAGCCCCAAAGCTGAGGTTGATGGGTATAAAGTGCCCATACATCTTAAAAAGAAGTTAGAGCTAACCTGTCCATGCAGGACTTCCTAAGGGGTAGCCCCAGACCAGCTCTGGACCCAAATGAGATGGGACCTATTGCCCATCTTTTGTCTGCATATAAGAGGGGGCTGTGAGGTTAATGAGGGAGAAGATTCTGTCTGTGTTTGAAGAGAGCTGTGTCAACTTGGCAGTAGGAACAGGAGGAAGGCTCTTCTTCTCCACTCCAAGCCCAGTGATAGGGTTCCTTGGCTCCAGAAACACTCTAGAGTATCAAAAGAGTTCTTGGGAAGCCTTGATATGTGCTGAAGTTTGGCAGGCACGGAGCCCAGTGCCTGGTTCTCATCTGGAAAGGTCTAATGAAGAGGCAGGCTGGAACTGTCCCTAACAGTTGAAAGAGGTGAGAGGGTGGTTGTATTATGAAATTATATCTCTACTAAGGGCAGAACAAAGATGCCTCTCTCTCCTGGGCTAGAGTAGTTACCACAACAGGTAACCAAGCTTTCAGTTATCTTTAAAGAATCATGTCCCAACAGAAAGAGACTGAGATATATATATCAATAGTATACGCTTAGAGGAGTTTCAAGTGGTCCACCAGAGTATACTGCCTGCCTAAGAAAACAGTATGACATGGGGGTTTCCAGCAGGAAAGCATTGGAAGAACCCACAAAAATGTCTGGCAAGAGAGGAGTCCATGATTTGGCATCACCCTCAGAGGGTGAACCAAAGCCATATTACACCACCACAGTCAATAAGTATGGTTGTCCCAATTATACCTTTCTTCTTTCCCTCTGCTCCTTCAGGAATTGGTAGGAAGAGAATTAAAAAAAAAACAAACAAAAATATGTAGCCTCTCCCCTCACTGCAGTTTTCTGATTTATGTCAAGCCTAAATTGTCCAAGATGTAAATCAAATTGGATGAAAAACTAGTTTTTATATAAAATTGCCTGGACTTTTTAAAATCTGAAAATAAAATTGTTCATTATTATCTAAAAGCTAAGAAATCTGCTTTGAGAAGACGGACATTCACGGATAGGAAAGCAGGTTTCAAAGACAGTAGTAAAAATATAGTATGAAGTTGTTTTCTGTAGGTAACCCACAAAGTTGAATCATTTCACTTGCTCTCCTAAAATCTGAGAGGCGGGTGGAAGGGAAGGTTCTCCTTACACATGAAGTAAGCTTAGGAGGTAACATGCTAACTTTTTATCAAACATCTTAGAGCTTATATACCCAAATGAAGGAAGCTTTCTTCAAAAAAAGTCACTTCAGAAGGCTCTAGTTCTTTTATTGATGTTGCCTTTGCTGAAAATATCTGGAAATATCTCTTTAGGAATTGCTCTCCAAGTTTATAGCACATTCTTTGGTACCTTATCCATCACTAATCTTACCTGTTAGTGCTAAGCTGGATTTTTCAAAATAGACAAAAGTTATTTGATGCCAAAACTAATGAATAGGCTGGGTACGGTGGTTCATGCCTGTAATCCCAGCACTTTGGGAGGCTGAGGTGGGCAGATCACCTGAGGTCAGGAGTTCAAGACCAGCCTGGCCAACATGGTGAAACCCTGTCTCTACTAAAAATACAAAAATTAGTCGGGTGTGGTGGCACACGCCTATAATCTCAGCTACTTGGGAGGCTGAGGCTGGAGAATCGCTTGATCCCAAGAGGCGGAGGTTGCAGTGAGCAGAGATCACATCACTGCACTCCAGCCTGGGCGACAAGAGTGAAACTCTGCCTCAAAAAAAAAAATTAAAAATTCTAATGAATAAAGTGAATAATTAAACTGGGAAATTTCAGTTGGGGTGAAAAAAATCTCAGGTTATGACTATGAGGCAGATTTCTTCCATAACTTTTATTGGCTCAAAAGACAATTCCAATTTAAATATCCAAATGGTTATGAGTCATGGCAGTGTTATTTGAAGCACCAAGTGGGAAGGAACTTTAAGAATCAAATTGTCCTCCATTTCCTTGTAGGATAAAACAGATAGTAGTTGTCAGATCTTCAGAGCAGATGCCACCCATTCCTCCATATCATGGTTTTTGCCAGTTCTCATTGTGATGTCCTGGCATTTAAAAACTTATGTCTAACCCTATTTCTGTCACTTTTTAAACTGTAAATTTCTTATTGTCCTGAAAGGCTAAGTCATCTCCCAGCCTCCTTTTCTTAAGACAAAACAACAAGCACAGTTGTTGGATACCAACAAAAAGTCTGGTTAATTGCTCTCTGAGGACTGAGTGAAACTGTTTCACATCAGTAGAAAAAAATGAAAATGGTCATTTTGAAATTCAGATGACTATTAATGACCAACAAAATCAGCATGTTCTCCATCTGCATTTAAAGTCCCCATGAAAGGGTTCTCACGTTGGCTTTCATTGTTCTGTCCGATTTTCAAATTTCCAGAGTCTACCAAAGTCTGCCGGACAGCTTCCCAACTCCATCCATTACTTAGGGTGAGCAGTATTTACTGAGCTATCCCAGGCTTCATGCTTTGTTTCAGGAAATAGTCTTCCTCAGCTGACCCCATTGCTGGAGTGATCTAAGGTTTTCTTCTTTCTTGAATAGCAATCAGAACCACCTCTGAAAAAAATCAGACCCTAATTTCATCAAAGAGTTAACTGGTGTTTGGAACTATACAGGTCTATTCAATATAAAAAACATATGTTTAAAATTGACATTTGGACCAATTTTTGCATCCATTAGATCCCAGATTTAGAAGAATTGCATGTGATTAACGTTACGAAACATAAACACTGTGTTCCAATGACTCAAAAGAAAGCCAGGAAATTTTGTATTAAGGCATTATTCTATCTTCAAACTGTCCCATTGTGACTTCCATAAACACCTCCAAAAGCCTACCTTCTATAAAATTCTACTTTACGCTGTTTGAGCCTCAAATTATGGTGATGCTTCCTGACATTACAGCTGCTTCATTTGTAGTCCTCGCCATTGGCTGAAATCTTTGTTGCCCACACTGCCCTTGAATGCATCCAGCTTTGTAGCAGTCAAGGCCAAACTTCAGCTGGAAAGGGGTACCAGTTTGGATTCACAGACTCATAGAACATTGGCATTAGAAGGGATCTTAGAGATCATCCAGTCTCTACAACTGAGAAGATTGAGGCTCCAAGAAGACACATATCTAGTTCTAGTTCTTCAGTGAATATCAAAATAGAAAGGGATCAAAGTAAGCCCAGAGCATCTGTTAAAATGGAAATAGGCTCAGGCCCATGAAAGAGAAAGAATCAGGTCAGCCCTCATCCCTGAAAATCAGTAAGGCCAGAAGCAATAAAGGCCAAATAGACAAATAAAAGGAAGCTCTTCCAGGGTCTGCAGTCTATTCCCTGAATCCCAGAGAGAGAGAGAAGCTATTGTTCTGCCCTCTGAAAGGAAAGATGATAGAGGCTAAAAAAAGCTGATTATACCTGGAAGAATCTTTTGAAACCATCTTCTCCTACTCCTTTATTTTACAGAAAAGAAAGTGCAGCTCCAACAATTATTATTGGAGATTAATAGTGACACACTTGGACGAAAACTCTGTAACTTCAACTTCCAATCTGGTCTTCTTTACATTATGCTACAAGAGCTAATATTATTGAGTGTGTATTATGTATCAAGCACTATAATAATAATGCTTTACCCAAAATGTATTATTTAGTCCTCTCAGTAACCCCCTGAGGTAGGCATCTTTATCATCTTTGTTTTTTCAGATAAGTGAGGCAAAGGGTGCTTAAGGTATGGGCCCAAGATCACGAAGCAGAGGCAGAATTCAACCCAGGCTGGATTCAAGGGTCCATGAGTTTCCCATTCCCAACTCCCTTTATAGCAATAGGCATTTCAAGATTTCTGTGCTGGCCCTTTGTGTTGTAGGATCTGATGTACCTTCTCTATTTCTGAAGCTTCGTACATAACAAACAATTTGGGAGAGGTGTTGAAGAAATACTAGAGACTCCCAACATAGGAACAGGAGAGTTTTCTTCTCCAAGCTCTCAAAGAGCTTCTCAGCCCTAGCGATAGATTAGGGGTCTGTCATGTTAAACAGGCAAACATTGCACATGGCCTGGCTTAGGAAGGGCCCTCTTGAAATCCAGATAAAGAGTTCTGAATTAAACACATGAAAAAAATAGAAATAAGGACCTTCTGGGGCTAATTTACCTTAAAATATATTTGCTTGGTTTAAATGTCAATATGAAAAAACAACTAACAGTTATGGAGTACTTATAAGTATTAATTCATTTAATTCTCACAACAACCCTATGAGTTTAGGTATTATGATCCCCATTTGTGGATGAGGAAAATTGACACACAGAGAGATAAAGTAACTTGCTAAGGGTCACACAGTTGGTAAGCAAACAGTAGAGGGGAAATACAGAGTCACCAGGGGGCTTCCTGTGTTAAACTTTCACCTTAGATATCCAGAAAAATAGCTACTGTCTTTCTTATGTCACAGGATAGAGGTCAAAAAAAAGAAAAAGCCCACATGCCTGATAAGGCTGACATGTGGGAAAGATGAGAAATGTAAGATTGAGCTTGTTGCCCTAATTTGAGAAACTGGACATCTTTCCCTAGAAAGACCCTCTTTGGAATTATAAGCCATGATCATTCGTCATGAGTTCTCCCCATTATTAGCCCGCACGTGCACTACAGTTGCTTGAATACCAGGCCCAGAGTACAGTAGATCCCAGCAGTGACTACCAGTGTGGATGGCTGGAAGACACCCTTGGATGTGGGGCTGCAGCCAGGAAGAGCTGGTGCTCTTGATAGCACTAAGTAAAGGCTTTGAAATATGCTGTTTTCCCATCGGAAAGGGGTACCATACTAAGGGGAGAGCTTAGCCGTTTCTGTTCTCCAAAGCACAAACTCCTCGTTCTTCCCATTCTCCTCCTGGAACAAGTTAAAATGCCACCCTCTTATTGAAGTCTTTCCTAATTTCTTTTGTCAGAATCCATTGTTCCTACCTCTGTGCTCCCTGTATTTCCATGTATTTGCATTTTAGCACCTATTGCTTTTGATCTTCTATGGTGGTCACTTAATATCTGTCTTTGCCACTGGGGCATAAAATGTTGGAGGGTGAGGACTGGGTTTTCCACATTTGTTGTCCCTAACTTCCATAGTATAGTGCCTGGCACGGAGATATATTCAGTTAATATTGAGGGAAGAAAGGGAAGAAGAAAATGGCCAGGCAGGCAGGGAGGGGAGTAGAGAAAATCAAGGGCAGAAATGACTGACTGACTTTCAGGGCCTTCTTCACAGGGTCCAGACCTCTTCCTTCAGTAACAGGCCTCAGTGGAGGGTCCCTCTACTCGCTCCTCCTGGAGTCTTCTCCAGTAGGGCCACCTCGGGGGTGGGAGGCATCATGTTGGGGAAGGGATGAAAATGCGGGGCTGCATCCTTTCCTACATCTGACTCTCCAAAGCCCTGCTACAGGTTACCTGTGGATGCTGTGTATACACTACAGGGTGGGGGCTGCAATCCTGGAGCCAGTCCGAGCAGAGCAGACACATTCCACACAGCTACTTGCCACCTCTCTAATGCAGAGACTGCCAGGAGCTTGTCAGGCAGTGAAATCAAAAGCCTTTGGACTGAGAGCTAACAAAAGGGATGGATGCTCTCCTGTATGACCTCATGACACTTGCCTCAAGATCCCTTGTACATGGATAAAGGAGAGTCAAAGTTAACCCATTGAAGTAACAGTTCTCAAAGTAGAGTCCCAGACCATCAGCATCACTGGGAACCTGTTAGAAATGCAAATTTTGGAGTCCACGTCAGTCTTACGGAATCAGAATCTCTGGGGATGGGGCTCAGAAATCTGGTTTTAACAAGCCCTCTGGGTGATCCTTTATGCATGCTAAAGTTTGAGAACCACTAGAAGATTTAAAGTCCTCCAAGTGAGGGATGGAACACAGAAGGTGAACTGAAGTAAATCTGGCTGGCTTAGTACCTTTGAGCAGGAGAGAGCGCAAACCCCACCCCACCTCATCCCCATGTATATACACTCCTCCATACATCTGTCTAGAAATACAAATGAAGCAGCCAGAAGGAAACCAAAAGGAGCCAGTGGGCACCAATTTGCTCTGCAGGTTTTTCCAATCAGATGAGGTCCTGGCAGTTGGTAAGGATCCAAGCAATCTGTCCCAGAGTCAGCAGGGATGACTCCAGTCATCTAGGTGCTCTATCACAGAGTGCTCTACAGCTATTTAGGTGTGGCATAAACCTTTTTCAATACCATGGCTGAAGATATAAATGTGTAAGCATATCTAAATCCAGGTGAAAGTTAGAGGAGTGAGGATGAAGGAGAGAAACAAGGTGAGAGATGACAGACACAGAACCTAACCTTGCTTAGGAAGAACAGCATTTAGCACATCCAATTTGTGCAGGAGAAAAGAGAAGGGTACAGTGGCAATCATGCATAGATTTGGTGGTAATAAGAAAGGAGAGCTTCCAAACCATAGCTTTCTGTACTTACTGCTTGAAGTGCGAGACAAGGCTAAGAGGAAGGGAAGTGATTGGAGAAGAGATTTTGAAGAGAAAGGAAAAGTGCAAAATAGTCATATCAGAGATTAGAAAGGCAAGCTTGATAAAGAAACTAGAGAAACATCTAGGATTACTGCAGAGTTGAGGGCATGTGAGGTTTGAGATCATGTTAAAGTGAAACCTATTTGCCTGACTGTGCTTTTCTCCAGCTACATTCAGCTGCTTGAGTACAAAAATGGAGAAGATGGATGGCTAGGTATGTCTTTGTATATTTTTACATGTCTTTAATAAAAATACCTAGAAATAGAATGACTGGGTTAAAGGGTATGTGCATTTTAAGTGTCGATAGAGATCACTATCAATCAATATTTGCAGATTTAACTAGAAATTTAAAATCTGTTTTTCATCCCTGTTAGTCTATCTCAACACAACAAAAATAAAAACATTAACTGGATAATAGAATTATTAAGACTGATAACTTAGAAGTTTCGAAAGAGGCTTAATTCAATTTAAGAGAGAAAATAGAAAATTTACTTGCATAATTCATCTTCTGTGTGTGAGGCTATCACTGAGTGTGTGTTGGTTGAGTAAGAGTTTGTGTGTGTCTGTGTGTGTGCGCGCGTGCGCGCATTTGAAAATGGAGGGTGACCCTGCCCCGAATGAACCCAAAAACATCATGATTAAGCCCAGGGCGTACCATAAGTGGTTTGCGGTTGTTACCACTGATTTTTCACAGTGTCTTCCCACTGTGCAAGTCTCTGTCAGGAAAATAGAGTGGTTTGGCTGGAGATGACTGAGGTTTGCTATGAGTGGGGTGGAGCTGTCAGATTTATATGGCTTTTTCTCTTAAAAATACATGGCCTTTCTTTTTCATTCACAGTAACCGTAAAGCCCATTTGGGGCTGCTGCTTCCCAATCACTTGGCTCCCCATGTTCTAATGAATGCACAGCACTTCCCTCGGAAAGGCTGCCCTTCCGGCTGACACATAATAGGACAGGAAACTCAGAGGGATTTGGTCCCGAAATTCATTCTGGGTGTCCAGGTTTCCGTAGTTCCTTCCTTTCATTTACCAGTCAAAGGTTATTATAACTAATTGGGTGTCTGTTCTCCTCCGGCTCTCCTGGTTTGATCTGCACACACCGTGCTTCACTGATGGAATCACCATGTGGCCTGGGAAATGAGTGTTGATCAAAGCATCATCCATCCTCTTTGCTCTCCTGCTTTTTTTTTGTAATTCCAGCTCTGCCTCCGGAAATGCCCTCTAAAACTCACATCATATGCTTTTTTGAGAAAATGACATGACTCAGAGAATGTAAGTATCTAGAATTATAAAGCTCAGCTTTCAAAACTTAAGTGTATTTGAATCTAAGCCAGTCAAATGAACTAAAAGCTGGCTGGGAGAAGGCAAACACAGGAGAGTGATGAGTGGCTCTGGCTGAGCAGGGAGTGCCTGCTGGGAGGCTGTCAGGGATGAGGATCCCTTTAATTGTTGTCTCTCTCATCATCATTCGGGATCTAGAAGACAGATGTTAAAGCCACCTTAATGAGAATGCGGGTGATACCAAATTTAGAGACATTCTTCAAGGCATAGAAAATACAGGTAGGAAGTAACAGAAGAAAAAAAAGTTTTTTCAAAGCTGCCACTGCTACAATAGAAGGTTCAGAGAACACCTGACCGCGAATGATACCCACCTGTCCCACTGCTGAAGGGCCTCAGATCAGCAACTTGGGGGCTTAAAATACATAGTTCAGTTTACTATTCAGGTACATTCATTAGCTCCGTGGCTGTAGATATCCCCCCTAGGAATGACCATGGGATTCAGAGGTCCAGTTTTTAAACATGCTGGGCACAGCAGTGGCCCATGATGAGAGACAGGTTTAGTTACTCCTCAAATATTTATTGAGTGCCAGCCTTGTGCCAACACTGTGCTAGGCTCCGGGAATATAGCTACAAAGGAAACAGACATAGCCTCTTACTCTCAAGGAGCTCAGAGTCGATCTAGGGCAGAGGCAAATAAAAATAAGTAACTGGATAAATAAGATCATTCCAACAGATTGTGGAAAATATAATAAGGGATTGGAGAATTCTGGGGAAGTGGCCACTTTAAATAGGTAAAGATAGGTCTCTGAGGAGGAGCACTTAAGCAGAGACCTGAGGGATGAGAGTGCCGTGGGCTCTTGAGGAGCTAGAGGAAGCACCGTCTTGCGCAGGGGCCTTAGAAGGGAGAGGGTCCAGAGGGTTCAAAGAACAGAGAGGAAAGCTAGAGGTAGCAAAGTAGTCACGTGGTAGGAAACGAGGTTGGAGAGCTGAGCAGGGGCAGATCATGCAGAGTGTGCGGATCACCATAAGGAGCTTGATTTTTAGTCCAAAAGCAGTGGGCAGCCAATAAAGAAACTTTACAAGGAACTGATATAATTGGATTTAAGTTATAGGGGAATGACTTTAGCTGCTCTGTGGAGAGTAGATCATAAAGAGTCAAAAGTGTAGGCAGAGAGCCTAGAGAGGAAGCTATTGGCTCAACTAAGGTAATGGCAATAAACAAGGCAGAAGGGGACAGATGAAAGATATCAGGAGGTAGAAATTAAAGGACATGTGGATGAATCAGCTAGGAAGGGGTAAGGTTAAGAGGGGAACCAAGGGATAACTGTTTACATTCTGCTCCTTTTTATGCACACCCGGGATAGTATTATCCTAAATCACATCAATACTGCACAAACCCGAGTGGGTTTGAGGTCCCTTTAAAAAAAAGTTTTTGCCCCTCCCAGAGCTTGCAAGTGTGGACTAGTTAAATATCTTTGCAAGGGATTTGAATTCATAGTAACACAGTTGGACCCTGAGTGCTATGCCCCAGAAATTTATACCAGCTTCATCCCCTCAACCCCAGTGAGCCCTGGTCCTAGTCTAGTCATGACCACACAAAACCAGTCCTTCTCCATCATTTGCTTTTATGGTTAAGATGTTCTCCCCAGGCCTCTACCCTGCATGTACTCTTATTTGGAATTCCTAACCCGTCCTTCGTCCCATTAGTGTCATCTGTAAACTTAATGATGACCATGTTCTGTATTTCAGCCTCCAGGTCTTTTAGAAACAATGTTCTCTGTATTTATTTCTAAAGTCCTGAGCAGATGCCATGCTGCCTGAGCACAAGCACTGAAATTTGAACCAAAGAAATGTGATTTTTGAATAAGGCTGCTTCCCCATAACTAGTGCTAAACTTTATACTACAGGAGTTTAATTTAATATAGGAGTTGGTGTTGTAACCAAAATGAAACTTACATCGGAGTTGCTCTGATACATCTAATAATATGATTGTTATGCTACAAGAGGAATGACATTTGTGTAAATGACTTACACACATTCTATTTCACAGCCACATGAAAGTTTTAATTTTCCTTATACCTTTGCAAATACCAACTCACAGTAAAAGACAAAGATTCTATCTAGACCTTCCTTCTAACCATTATACCCAGAGGGCTGAGACTTCCTTGCTACACCCAGTCTTCTATACCTTCCGCCCACACCCAGGTCCTTCAGTAGCATATATTACCATTTTCAGCATCTACATACTAGCAGGCTAGAAATAGCAGAAACTGTGGCTTCTGAGGCTGTGGAATTTTTGTGTATGGGATGATGGCAGTTGTCATATCCCTGTTCTACAGAGTAACGAGGGTATATGTAACGTTGGGAAATACATCTTAGACAATGCATTCTCAGATTGTTGTTCCTGCGATTTTGCCTTGCATGCATAGGAGCATCTAATATACAGGATCGGTGCTGTTACTGGAGTGTTACATCAAAAAATTGAAGTTCAAATATTATTCATGGTTGGTGTTAAAAGCTGCCAAATAATACTTTACTTTGCTGCCAAATTTCTGAGTTCTTTTATGGAGGTAAAATATTGAAGAGTCTTTCTGCCAGTCTCAGCCCTCTGAGTTACATGCCCCCCAACCCATCCCACTCCCATATTTCACTTCCTGCACTTGCGAGATCCAAAGGCCACCCAGGTAAATAGCGGTCACCACAACAGCCCAGAGGCCTGCTTTGCTTTCTCTAGAATTTGTGGGTCTCACCCATCAAACTCAATTTTCACCAAAGGAAGATCCTCCCATTTCCCTTAACCAGCAGCTGCCATGGTTTTCTCTTCTGTAGCTTTTCCTTTCATTGTCAAAAAGCCACTGTGGGGCTCCCTTAGGCCCGTCTTCCCAGCAGGTAGTCCGTAAGTGTCTCTTCTGTTTTTCAGACTCCTATTCCATTTTATGGCATATGCCTATGAATTGTATGACAAGACGAAGGAGATGTTGTGATGGCGAAGAGTTGTTTGGGTGGGGACTAAATGGGCCATGAAATGCGGGACCTCTACATTTTAAAAGTGCCGTTAGGCCCAGCGCAGTGGCTCATGCCTGTAATCCCAGCACTTTGGGAGGCCAAGGCGGGCAGATTTCCTGAGGTCAGGAGTTCCAGACCAGACTGGGCAACATAGTGAAACCCCGTCTCTACTAAAAATACAAAAATTAGCTGGGGATGGTGGTGGGCACCTGTAATCCCAGCTACACAGGAGGCTGAGGCAGGAGAATCACTTGAACTCAGGAGGTGGAGGTTGCAGTGAGCCAAGATCGTGCCATTGCACTCCAGCCTGGGCGACAAGAGTGAAATTCTATCTGTAAATAAATAAATGTGCCATTAAAGGTCCCAAAATGTAAAGCTTTGTCTTTTCTTCCAGTCTCTCTCCTGATCTGTCATGGTATTTTTAATGTGCTATTTAACATTGTTCTACGTAAAGAAAAGTTAAAATTTTAAATAATTAGCATGAGTGTTACCATTCATCTTTATATTGTGCATGTAAGATTTCAATGCTAATAACATAAGAGCATTTGTTATATGCAAAATTACCAAAATTATGTAAACTTGTATTTCACAGCTTGTATAATACACACATATGTATTTTGTTCTTACCAAAACCATAGAAACATTACACAAAACTAACTCAACCCTTCTTATCTCACTTAATATGTGTGCTTTCTACCAATACTTTCTACCTTCAGATTAATAAGTAAGGAAGAACTGAAAGAAAAAAGAACAACTAGTTGCCTTATCTTTCCCTGTCCTTCTATATTATCATTTTCAGCAAAAGTGGTTGGCTAATACAGAGAAGTAACATGAGGAAGAAAGGATATGATCAGGCTCTTTGGTTGTTTGTGTTACTTAGAATAAATACCATTGCCTTCTTCCTGCATTCAAAAAAAGTTCTGGGGTGAAAGAAAGTGTGGCCTCTCGGACAGTCAGCCCCACCACTCCCTACTTACACATACTTATCTTGCACGCACTTGAGCATCATTGAAGTCCCCCACTGGCATTACGGCTCCACCAGAACTGTGTGCTCACGGGGCATTGCAACACTATATGTTAATATGACAGCAAGGATCTTTGGACACGCATATTGTGCACAGCTCCTCAACTCATGCGCGTGTCCCATTATCCCATTGGACTTCATTTACAAAGCAGCGGTTCAAAGATAAAATTATTGAGAATTTCAAGATGTCAACAGCAGAGCATTAAGCCAAGCACAGGGCTCTTTGGAGCATGGGGCCTTGTGCAACTGTACTGGTTGCGTGTCTTGAGGTTGACCCTGGGACTGAGAAAGGGTTCAAGGATTGGGTAGCTGGGAGAAAGCAGGTGGAGCAGAAATCCTTCACTCTGCCAAAAGAAATCTTTTATGATATTATGAAAGGCCCCTAAGCTATTGTACTTTCTGGTCCAATTTCTGTTAAGAACATCTGAAATTTTTGTTTATATCTTTGGCTAAGGAGGTAGAGAAGATAGGAGGAGACTCTGCCAATATTTACATTAGAGTTGACAAGGAAACTTTACTGAGGCAGAAGTGAGAGATCAGGTAGTGAACCTATACTATATAGACTTTAATTCCTAATCATAAAGGAAATTTAAAAATACATTTTTAGTATCCCACTTATATGTTTAAAACAACTACTGGCCCTTAAAACTGCGGAATGGTGATCAGAGCAAAATAAGGAAAATTTTTCCATCCAGCTTATTTTGTATGAGAGTTTGATTTTGTGCAATTCAAGATTGATGTCATTATGCATTTGTAAATGTCAGAATTATCAAATTACATAATGAAATTTATAGTAATGTCTTTATTTGGGATTCAATAAGCTATCTTCCAGCCTGCAGTTTTCTGAAATTGGACTTTCCTTTGAATTTTGAAAAACTTTCACATTTCCAAGAGTCTATATTCTATTTCATACTGGGTTTCTGTGCCAAGGTGGCTGTTCTTTCAAACTTTCTCATCAACTAATGTTTTCTTATACAAAGTCTGTAGAACCCCATAGCTAAAGCTCTTTAGATTTGTAATGATTTGTTTCCAATATTTGAGTAGTTGTGTATGAAAATATCAAAGGCAGTTACTGAGTTGGTACTGTGCCTTCCCATGTACATCTATTAAGCATAAGAATATAAATTGGCAAAGTACCAGCCCCAAAGTGTTCCTGTCACTCACCCACAATTACCTTCTGAATAGTAAGGACAAGGTGATAGCTGGAAACAAACAAACAAACAAACAAAACAAAACAAAACCTTTCCAATGGTTGGGTGCTGTGCCCAACTGAGAGAACTGCTTGTTGTCCCTGGTCATAGGACAGCATCCATATAGGAAGAATTAAGCCGCAGCCCAGAAAAATCCTGCTGTATGGATGGCCACTTTGGTTCATTTTGTTTCTAGTATATTTTCTCTTGGGAATGATCCAGTTTGGCAGTGTGGGCTTGCCAGTTAGTTACCAGTCCTCTTCCTTACTAGATGTCAACAAAACTATCTGCAAGACTCAGGATAAGATGCAGGACTTCTGCCTTTTCTCTACACTGTGTCCATCTCCTCCTTTCAAAGATTCGCTGACGAAGGCGGGACACGGTGGCTCACGCCTGTAATCCCAACAGTTTGGGAGGCCGAGGCGGGCAGATCACCTGAGGTGAGGAGTTTGAAACCAGCCTGGCCAATATGGTAAAAGCCCATCTCTACTAAAAAATCCAAAAAAATTAGCCGGGCATTGTGGTGGGCGCCTGTAATCCCAGCTACTCAGGAGGCTGAGGCAGGAGAATCTCTTGAATCCGGGAAGCGGAGGTTGCCGTGAGCTGAGATCATGCCATTGCACTCCAGCCTGGTGACAGAGCAAGATTCCATCTCAAAAAAACAAAAAACAAACAAAAAAAAGATTTGCTGACAGAGATGGCCTTATTCCACAAGACCTATTTCCCCCGCCCCCCGGGAACTGCCTCACACTTTGCTCTTCTTTGCTCTTCATAAACAGCAAAGTACCTATTAGTTTCTCTTATAGTGGATGGTGGGGAACAAAGATTCTCTATCTCTCCACAGCCTGATTCTTTCTTTTTTTTAAATTATTTTGTTTTATTGTTTTTTTTTTGCATATTGAAGAGTTTATTTTGTTTACAAACCCTAATACATATCAGCCACTGTTCTAAACCCTATATGAAACCATTTAAACTTCCTAACAATCCCATGTAGTTGATTCTTTTTTTTTTTATAATTATCCTTTAAGTTCTAGGGTACATGTGCACAACATGCAGGTTTGATAAATAGGTGTACATGTGCCATGTTGGTTTGCTGCACCCATCAACTCGTCATTTGCATTAGGTATTTCTCCTAATGCTTTTCCCTCCCCCAGCCCCACACCCCCTGACAGGCCTCGGTGTGTGATGTTCCCCGCCCTGTGTCCAAGTTATCTCATTGTTCAATTCCCACCTATGAGTGAGAACATGTGGTATTTGGTTTTCTGTCCTTGTGATAGTTTGCTGAGAATGATGGTTTTCAGCTTTATCCATGTCCCTGCAAAGGACATGAACTCATCCTTTTTTATGGCTGCATAGTATTCTATGGTGTATATGTGCCACATATCTTAATCCAGTCTATCATTGATGGACATTTGGGTTGGTTCCAAGTCCTTGCTATTGTGAAGAGTGCCGCAATAATCGTATGTGTGCATGTGTCTTTATAGCAGCATGGTTTATAATCCTTTGGGTATATACCCAGTAATGGGATGGCTGGGTCAAATGGTATTTCTAGTTCTAGATCCTTGAGGAATCGCCACACTGTCTTCCACAATGGCTGAACTAATTTACACTCCCACCAGCAGTGTAAAAACATTCCTATTTCTCCACATCCTCTCCAGCACCTGTTGTTTCCTGACTTTTTAATGATTGCCATTCTAACTGGCATGAGATGGTATCTCATTGTGGTTTTGAGTTGCATTTCTCTGGTGATCAGTGATGATGAGCATTTTTTCATGTGTCTGTTGGCTGCATAAATGTCTTCTTCTGAGAAGTGTCTGTTCATATCCTTTGCCCACTTTTTGATGGAGTTTTTTTCTTGTAAATTTGTTTGAGTTCTTTGTAGATTCTGGATATTAGCCCTTTGTCAGATGGGTAGATTGCAAAAATTTTCTTCCATTCTGTAGGTTGCCTGTTCACTCTGATGGTAGTTTCTTTTGCCGTGCAGAAGCTCTTTAGTTTAATCAGATCCCATTTGTCAATTTTGGCTTTTGTTGCCATTGCTTTTGGTGTTTTAGACATGAAGTCCTTGCCCATGCCAATGTCCTCAATGGTATTGCCTAGGTTTTCTTCTAGGGATTTTATGGTTTTAGGTCTAACACTTAAGTCTTTAATCCATCTTGAATTAATTTTTGTATAAGGTGTAAGGAAGGGATTCAGTTTCAGCTTTCTACCTATGGCTAGCCAGTTTTCCCCACACCATTTATTAAATAGGGAATCCTTTCCCCATTTCTTGTTTTTGTCAGGTTTGTCAAAGATCAGATGGTTGTAGATGTGTGGTGTTATTTCTGAGGGCTCTGTTCTGTTCCATTTGGTCTGTACATCTGTTTTGGTACCAGTACCATCCCAGCTTGATTCTTTCTTATTCGTATTTCTACACTTATGCCTTGGCTTTAAGGTACAACAATACACTTTGGAAGTTGCAAAGTTAACTATTATTTTTTAATCACGTAAATCCTAATATCAATGAAAATGTCCTAAAAGCCATTAGATATACAGTTTCTTCTTAAAGGATAGATCTTACTTTGCGCCTCGAAGCCCACTTTACTGTGAGGCTTGGCTCCACTTGAGTTTGGACTTTGGAGAGCAGGGTCTGCTGTCCCCACGGGTTTAGTGGGCCCTGTGAAAGCATAGACAGTATAGTCTACGCTTAAAAACGTGAAATGTGAGGTTACTTGGGACCATTTCTTGGGAATGGTTTGTAAGTCTCTCTGTACATGGTCTGTATGTTGTAGCCTGTCTAGCATCTGAACTGCTCACGAGCGAGGAGAGAAATGGAGGCACTGGCCTCGTTGTCTGCAGCCAGCATTTCTTTTCCTCAGAAAAGACCCTAAACTTAGAATTTCCTCAAGCATAGAAAACATGTCCCCACTGTTCAGAGAATCAGGAATGGCCCCTTCTCCCTAACCCAGTGGAGTTCTGGGTATAGCTGCCCTGCAGAGGGTGGATTGATAGACAGAACTCCTTTTGTCATGCTTTCCCACCAGTCACACATTGTAGCCATTTCAGATTCAGCCATGCGTGCCAGATGGAATTAAATGCTTTTTTTAAAGTCTCCAAAGCAGGAAAACATCTTTCTCTGACGGGTATTTTTTTACATATTTGTTAATGAGTGTCTGCACAATAAAGATGTGGTCTGTAGCTTATTTTCCAAGGAGGAATCCAATTTGGCTCTCATGTATGTTGCTGCTACTCAGATACAGTTTAATTCTTTAATTGAAGCAGCTGCAAAATAGCTTGTGGACAATGCAATGTTCCACAGGCTTTCCTGGAGGGGTCTGGGTGGAGACCACCTTCACTTTTGTTTTCTGAATCCCCTAAGCCCACCAGAGTGACTGTCAAGAAAATGTCTCTGTGGCTGGTTGACCCAGCTGTTGGCCTGTTAAAGCTGCAGTTAGGTCTCCACCTGACTTCACAGACTTGATTCTACTCTTTGTAGCCAGAAAGATGCTAGCATGATGCCCACCCTGGGCAAAGGAGTCAGCCAGTTACTTCCAACTGCCCTTCCAGAGATTTCTCCACTGGCTCAGCTTCTGCAGCCTGCCAAGAAGGCAGTGGTTATTATAAAACCTCTTCTTTAAGCACAGCACATGCACTTTAACTTTCCTGACTTGTAGAAATACTTTTGGTGCAGGAAAGCTTAGGTGGTAAAAGAGGGCAAGAGCATTTGGGGAGAAAAAGGGCTTGCTGAAGCCCACAGGGGCTTGTACTCCTTTGCCCACCAACATCCAAAGGATGTGTCAGTGAAAGAAGGAACATGGGACCTAAGAATTAGCTCAAAAACTCTACTTACAGAGACTTTCCTGGCTGTGGGCCAACTAAACTATGAGCTCTTCAAGGTGTGAGACTTTATCTTAGTTATTTCTATCTGTCCAATATATCACAGGTGCTCAGCAAATGTTAATGAATGATGATGATGATGATGATATCTAGCCAAAAAGCCCTTCTAATATCTATCTGTTTGTTTCTATTCAATGTAGGGCCTTGCTCCTAGCCCGAATGTGAGACTTTCTGGCACATACATAAGTGGTCCCCAGCTTTCACAGAAAGTTGCACTATTCACTTTTGACCTTTGTCTTTTTTGCCCACTTCATTTTTTCTGCATTTTTCCCCCATTGGTACTTTATCCTCAGCTTGTTCTTTTGATTGGTCAGCTGTTTGAGTTCTGTCTTATCTGTCTTGGACCTTGTTTCCCTATTATTTATCCTTTCAAGAATATATTCAGATGTGCTCATATTGTGCAGGCGTTTACAGAAGATGATTATTAATATAACATCAGCTAATATTTCACAGTGTCTACTACTCACCAGGAACTGGGCCGATCTCTTTGCACGCATTATCTTGTTAATTTTCACAACAACCTGATGAGATAGGCTAAAGTATCATCTTTTTTTTTTTTTCCTCGTGGGATGGAGTCTCACTCTGTGGCCCAGGCTGGAGTGCAGTGGCACAATCTCAGCTCACTGCAACCTCCATCTCCTGGGTTCAAGCGATTCTCCTGCCTCAGCCTCCTAGTTAGCTGGGATTACAGACACGCACACCACGCCCAGCTAATTTTTTTTCATTTTTAGTAGAGATGGGGTTTTACCATATTGGCCAGGTTGGTCTCGAATTCCTGACCTCAAGTGATCCACCTGCCTCAGCCTCCTGAAGTGCTGGGATTACTGGTGTGAGCCACCACACCTGGCCCATCCTGTTTTATACATGAGGATTCTGAGGCTTAGAGGGAAAGTTTTTGCCCAAGGTGATGGTCTCATCTAGAAAGTGCTGAAGTTGAACTAGAATCCACATCTAACTTCTAATTACTGTCACTTGCATTATAGCTTGCAGAATGATGTAGAAGAGGTCTTCAGAATGAAACAAAACCTCTGCACCAGCAGACCTCTCACCCATGGGTGGACACTCTCCCTGAAAAAGCCCTATCCATCCAAACTCAGTCTTTAATTACTGCCTGCCAAGTTGCTTCTGACCAACTCCAGGCAAAAACTGTAAGTCACATTCAAAAGCCTTCCCTGATTATCCCAGTATTACTTCTTCTCACCCAGTGTTACCTCTTCTCACCATGTTTTGGGAAGAGCTGAAGGAATATTCTGGGGTACTAGACACTGGGAGGGAAGCTTTCCCTTACTGTTACTTCTTGGGTAATAATCAAGCATTGAAGGAAGAAAACATTTATAAGCAGGAACTGGTTGTAACAACCAGGCCTGTGCCAGGCCCATCTCTTGGCTTCATCTCATTCAGTTTTGACCGCAGTCAAATAAGAGAGGTTTTTATGGTTGAGGAACTTGGATCTCAGAGCAGTTTAGTGACTTGCAGTGAGCACAGGTAAATAAAAGTTTTCACTGGAATTTCAATCCAGGGTGCTTGACTCCAAACGCCATGCTTTTCTATCTACTAGGGATGTACACAAACATCCAGAAATCCAAAATGGTCTGGGGAACCAGCTCCATTCCAAAGACTAAGATTCCATGCTTGGAAACCTTAGTTGGCTGGGTGAATGGAAAAAAAGTTTCTTAAGTGAGGATTAACAAAAGATTAGACATTCTTACATATCACCATCAAACATGAAATGTTAGGTTAATGGGACACTTTCTCCCTTCTTCCACTCCAGGTAAATAAACAAGCATCATGTGTCCACGTGTGTATTTACGAGGTACTCTCTGATGTTCTATGGGAAGGGAATGAACCAGTGTTTTCCATTTGCCACACTCTAGATCAGCGGTTCTCCAAATGAAGGGGTGGGATGGGAAGTGTGGGAAGTGTGATTTTGCTCCCCAAGGGACATTTAGCAATGTCTGGAGACATTTTTGGTTGTTATAGCTGGGTGGGGCATGAGGGGTGTGCTACTGACATAGGACAGGACAGGGCTGCTGCTGAATATCCTGCAATGCACCCCCTCGCCTCGCCCCCCCCACCCCACACCCAACAGAGAATTGCCAGGCCCAAGCTATCGATAGTGTTGAGGATGAAAGCCCTGCTCTGGGTCTTAGGATCTGGGAAATAGTATGCTTTCTCTCAGGTTCCTGGGATTCGAAAGAAGGGATTATTCCTACAATATTTTCCTGGATAAAAATAACCCCTGAAACTAAGAACCACTCAGAGAGTCAGGGAGCTCCTGGTAAATTTAGGAACTTTGACAATCCTAGTGAAAAGCAGGAGATTTCTTATCACTCAACTTTTCTGCTTGCTGAATTCCAGCTTAAAATTGAGATTTTGGCAGCCTGTTCCTTTTCTTTTCAAAGCAGTGCTTCATTGATTATCACATTTGTCCCAGGTTTGTTCTTTGTATTTCAGGCCCCTACTCACAGTGTGAAGGTCTGGACAATGAGCTTCACATCTGGTGTTCTGGCTCTGTTCAGGTATTCCAAGTGCAGCAAAGAGGGATACAGGGCAGCATGGGGGCAATTCAGGTGAGAGAGAAGCGCTTTTACCTCTTGCCTTTCCCTGCATGTAATTCAGCCAGTGAAGTGTACCCTCCTGGTTTAGTAATTCTCACAGAAGCATTCAGAGACAGAAAAAAAATGGGACTGATTTTTATCTCTAGGCAGTAGTGGCTCTGAATTTTTAAGAGAGTTTCACAGTGAAGTCACCAATTAGTGAGATAAGATGTTTTTCCCCTTCTGGCTACATACTGACATTTTACCCATTTCATCAGGCACTTTTAATTCTGGCAACGTTTTTTATTTATAGATTCAGAAAACTGCAATAGGGAGATTTAGCTACATAATTTTAGTACATTCATTCATTCATTCAACAAATATTTATTTATAAAGCACCGAATACATACTTAGACCCTGTGCTGGGTGCTGAGGCTGCAACTGTGTCACTTGTGTAAATTGCTTTCTGTCGCTGAGTTTCAATATCTTTATTTGTAAAATAGGACAAACAACAGTACCTCTTTATAGGATTGTTTCCTGAATTCAATGAGATAATATATGTGAAGGGCCGAGCACATCTTAAGTACTCTAGAAATGTTCACTGACATTGTTATGAACAAACACGGACCCTTCTGCCACTGAAGGGTCTCGTAGAGAGGACAGGTAAACAGGCAATTCACATATAGTGTGAACCGTGCTGTAAGGGATGGAGATCAGCAGGGAGAACTGCAGGAATCCACAGGGTGGAGTACAAAAGAAACCCTAACCTGGACTTGGGAGTTCAGGGAGGCTTCCTAGAGGAGGTTTCAGTGGAGCTGGTGGGGAGAGGGAGGAATTGATATATTTGGGTATTTTACATACGAGGTGCTTGTAGTGCTGTAGAAAAGGCAGTTAGAAACACAGATCCATTTTTAAAACAATATGACTTTGAAAGCTGAGAAATAATCAGATCTCCCATTTTAAGAATAAGGAAGTTATCAACAGAAATATGTGTATATATCTTAAAAAATGAAAACTTTTTTTCATTTTAAATGTTCATTCCTGAAAGTTTAGAAAATATTCTTAAAAAGAAAATGCTCTGTAATCCTGCTACCCAGAGATAACAACTATTTTCATTTATATGTATATCCTTCAGGTTTAACTGCACAGAGACATGTTTTATTTCCCCTTAAAACAGGATAATTCTATTTTAGAGTCTGCTTTTATTCTGCACACTGTAATGACCATTTTTGACATCATTATATTCTTCTAAAATATAATTTCTAGTGACTACAAAGTATCCATAGTTGGATCTACAATTTGTTTACTCATTAATTGATTTATTGAACTTTGCTTTCAAGATTTTTCTCCATTAAAAATAATGCTATAATGATCATTGAACCAAGATTCTTTGGTAATAAAAAAATTAAGGAGGAAGGGAATGTAGGTAGCTTAAGCAGAGAAGAAAAGGTAAAGCAGCCGGCTTGAAAAGGGTAGGATCCAGGGCAACACAGGAGATCTAGATGTCGGCACCCATGGTACCTGGATCCTACCCTGTCTTAAGATCAGTCTCCTTAAAGTTCCACTCCATGGAATAAATCACCTCCAGCCACTCTCAGTCGGCTTGACCACACCACCCAGCTTTCAGATTCCCTGGAGAGAAAGTCCAGCGAGTTCAATATGATTGCTTGCCTCAAGGGAGACCAGGGAACCTAAGTAAACAGTATATAACGGGCTGGGCGCGGTGGCTCACGCCTGTAATCCCAGCACTTTGGGAGGCCGAGGCGGGCGGATTGCCTGAGGTCAGGAGCTCGAGACCAGTCTGGCCAACATGGTGAAACCCTGTCTCTGCTAAAAATACAAAAAAAAAAATAGCCGGGTGTGGTGGTGGGTGCCTGTAATCCCAGCTACTTGGGAGGCTGAGGCAGAGGAATTGCTTGATCCAGGTAGGTGGAGGTTGCAATGAGCTGAGATCGCACCACTGCATTCCAGCCTGGGTGAAAGAGCAAGACTCTGTCTAAAAAAAAAAAAAAAAAAAAAAAAAACAAAGTATATAACCACAGCCAAATGATTTCCTGAAAGAAAATCCAGATGCTGTGACCAGAAGGAGGATATTAAAGAAGAAAACCAGCAGTGGTCACTACAACCATCTTACAAATAAATCTTTGAACAAATCTGTGATTATCTCCTAAAAATAAATTATAAGAAGTGAAATGGGTATGCAGCAATTAAGGCTTTTGATACATATTGCCAAGTTACTCTCAAGAAAGTTTATCTCCAGAAATTCATTCCTTTTTTCTTTTTTTATTGTGGTAAAATATATATAACATAAAATTTGCTGTTTTAACAATTTTTAAGTTTACTATTCAGTGTTATGAAGTACATTCACGATGGTATGCAACCATCTCTACTAGCTATTTCCAAAATTTTTTTATCACTTTGAATAACAACTCTGTAACCATATGCAATATCTCCCTATTCTTGCCTCCCCCTTCCACCTTTGGTAACCTTATTCTACTTTTTGTGAATTTACCTATTCTAGATCATTCATATAAGTGGAATCATACAACATTTGTCCTTTTGTGTCTGGCTTATTTCACTTAGCATGTTTTCGAGGTTCATCTATTTTATACCATGTTTCAGAAAGTCACTCCTTTTTACATCTGAATAATATTCCATTTATGTATGTATATAAATATATATATATACATATGTGCCATATTTTGTTGATCCATTCATCTGTTGATGGACTCTTGGGCTGTTTTCACCTTTTGACTATTGTGAATAATGCTGCTGTGAACATCCATGTACAAGTATGTCTGAGTTCCTCTTTTCACGTCTTTTGGGTATATGCCTAGGAGTGGAATTGCTGGATCATGTGATGATTCTATATTTAACTTATTGAGGAACCACCAAACTTTTACCTAGTGGCTGTACCATTTGACAATTCATTATTGATACTAAACACTAGGAAATGTTTCACTGGCATACCAGACTTTCATGATCTGACTCTCCAAGTTGTTGAAACAAGAATAGTTCAAATGCATTTCTGCCAAAAAATAGCTCTTACCAAAAGCATATTGTTGTCATTTTTTTACAGCAAACTTGTCAGTTCTGCCCTTGATTTTTTGAGCCCAGACAACATCATCTACCTTTTGACAGTGAGCAGATGAAGGCATTCCTTTGTAATTTTGTGTGCAAGTTTATGATTGCTTTCACTTGCAGCACACCTGGAATTCTGACTTCATGCTCCAGGACTTCTGGTGCCCCTTATGTGATGACCCTCTGGACTGTAATTCAAGGTTGAGGGCTTCACGGGTCTCCATTCCACTCAATTCTCTAGTTTGAGCATCTCCCCCATTGTATTGGGTTAAATGTTTCTCACTGCTGCCACTGGCTGCTCCGTGGAACCCCAACTGAGCTAATGCCTCCTCCCACTATTACTCACATCTGGGTTTGATGAGGCTGAAAACATAAAAATTCTGTAATTTTTTTCAAAGTTTATTACCTAAAGTCCAGCCATAGATAAGACTGGGTAAGAGAAGCAAGGGGCAGGAGGCCATACAAGGGGAACATAGATACCTCAAGGCCCTCATAGTTACAACCGTTTATTGAAAACCCTTATGTTCTAAGTGCTGTGTTAGACTCTAGGGATACATCTGTGAGAAAACATAATCCCATCATTATGAAAATCATAGTCTAGAAGGAAAGACACATATGAACTGGATAATCCCACCAATAAATATGTAAATACAAATTGAATCAAGTGTCCCAGGAGAAAGAAATGGTTCTGTGAGAACATATGATACAGAAATGTGATTTCACCCAGGCAAGGGATGTGGGTGGTCCAAGAAGGCTTCCATGGGAAAATGACCCTTGAGCTAATATCTCAGTTGAGTTAACAAAGTGTGCCTGTGTGTGTGTGTGTGTGTGTGTGTGTGTGTTGGGGGGTGGGAGTGGAATGGGTCTGGGAGGAGTGGAGTGGGAGGTAAGTGGAGAAACAGAAAGGCCCTATCCTTGAAGGGTGGGAGAAAACCACCAACATCCTTAAGCATGAAAGGCCAGATAGAGAAAGGTGAATCAGTAAGGAGACAATTCATATTAAAAAGCACTGATCTTCCTACTTTACCCAGCAAGAAATGGGAAGCCATTTGACAATTTTTTTTTTTTTTGAGACGCAGTCTCACTCTGTCACCCAGGCTGGAGTGCAGTGGTGCGATCTTGGCTCACTGCAACCTCCGCCTCCCGGGTTCATGCCATTCTCCCACCTCAGCCTCCCGAGTAGCTGGGACTACAGGCACCCGCTACCACGCCCGGCTAATTTTTTGTGTGTGTTTTTAGTAGAGACAGGGTTTCACCGTGTTAGCCAGGATGGTCTCGATCTCCGGACCTCGTGATCCGCCCGCCTCGGCCTCCCAAAGTGCTGGGATTACAGGCGTGAGCCACTGCACCCGGCCACCATTCGACAATTTTAAGTAAAGTAGCCAAAAAATGGATTGGAGGGTATTTCATTACCTCTAGAGGGGCAGCAAGGGAAATAGTAGCTTTCAAAATTTCCAAAGATGCTTAAGTCACATGAAAACTTTCTGGATCTGCCTTGCAGCTCCCTCTCTGTGGAGGAAGTTGGAGCAGCAGAGCTCTTTCCCTCACACATTAGCTCTGGCATCCTGCCACATCTGGTGCAAAAACCAATGGTAATGTTCCACTCCATTTCTTCTTGGCTCTCCAAGGTCAAATATCTAGATGAAGAGTAGCTACTGGTTTAGCATTTGTGCCTATTAGAATTAATTAGGTTTTTACAACTTTGGAAACCACACAACAGGCTTCAGGAAGGAAAAATATTTGTCATTTTGCCATCACACTTCGGAGCATTTATAATTCCCAGAAGCAAAAACTGTTGAGATTAAACAAGCTCATGCACCTGCAGCAAGACCTGTCAGTGCCCAGGAAAACCATGACCTTTGAACCTTGCAGTTATTTCATTCTCAACAGCTTCAGGAGGTGAATCTTAATTTGATCATTTATTCAATCAAAGAATATTTATTAAATCCCAATGTCTATGGCACTGGGAATGCAAAGATACAGGCCCTGATCTCAAGAAACTTCCTTCCAACCATCCTGAACCTTCCCAACACACACGTGCGCACACACACACACAAACACACACACACACACACACACACACACACACACACACACACCATAGTTATGTTTTCGGGACAACTTGAAGCATACCTGTGTACATAGTGGAATATTTTCATGAGGTAAAAAATATATTTTAATTAATAAAAAGAAACAGCAACACATGGCTGGGCGCGGTGCCTCACACCTGTAATCCCCGCACTTTGGGAGGCCAAGGCGTGTGGATCATGAAGTCAGGCGATCAAGACCATCCTGGCTAACACGGTGAAACCCTGTCTCTACTAAAAATACAAAAAATTAGCCAGACGTGGTGGCATGTGTCTGTAGTCCCAGCTACTCTGGAGGCTAAGGCAAGAGAATCGCTTGAATCTGGGAGGCAGAGGTTGCAGTGAGCCAAGATCGTGCCACTGCACTCCAGCCTGGGTGACAGAGCAAGAATCTGTCTCAAAAAAAAAACAAAAAACAAAAACAAACAAAAAAAAAACAGCAACACATTAAATACTTCATTAAATACTTTTATGTATCAGGCACTGTAATAGATGTTTCCAGATATATTATCTCATTAAATCCTGATGAGGAAACTGAAGTTTAGAGTCAATACATAACTTTGTAGAATTTGAATATGTGTTTCAATTCTAAGCAAATTACCTCTCCACTTTTGTTTCTTGGTGAAGTTGTCTGCAAATTCCTCCAGCTATAAAAAATAATTTCCTCTTCTGAATTCCCAAAGTACTACAAGTGGTTCCCGCTCATGTGATACTTTAGTCAGCCTCATTTCACAGAGGGTGTTTACATGCATCTTTGGCCCTGCGGCCCTCCATGACAGAAGGATGTCTTGTTCATCTTTGCATTCCCCCAGGCTGCACAGGAAACCTTACGCACTAGGAATATGTGCTCAGAAAATGTTTGTAGAATGAAAGGACTAGCTAACATATTCACTGCTGTGCCTGAGTTGGTCAGAGCCTAGGGTCAGAGTCCAGGGCCACAACGCAGTTTCCCCTTCTCACCCCTGGCTCTGTAGTGTATCATCAAAAGTCTCATGGGCCTGCAGTGTAGACAGTCCAGTTCACAAACCCAAGCCTGATCACACCTCCATAAGCAGGTTCCCTTTGCCACCTTTCTGGCCTAGCAGTGCACACTCTACTGGTTTGCTCTCAGGAAGCCAGACTCCAGGTTGCAGCCCATGCAGATCCTGGCAAAAAGCTAGGGATAAGATCTGAGCAGAGGATTCAGGGGCCTGAGTATTCAGAGCATGGTCTAGAAAGGGGTGCTAGCTCTAGGTGGGCATAAGTCCTTGGTCCTGTGGACTTGCCCCATGGAAAGGGGTATGACTGAAAGAGAGCTGGGGCTTGGCCTTCTGAAACAAGGGTCCTCTTGGCCAGCTATAGGTGTTGGAAATAGGAAGCCTGAGAAATAGTGAGTGAAGTAAGTAAAGACAAAACATTTCAAAAATATGCATTAGATTCATATTTATCAGTAAATGTGATTAAAAAAACTTCAGAACTAAATTTAAGGAAGACATAATGCACATTCGTGAGTTAATATTATTACTTTGTTTGATTCTTTTTTCTTTTAGTATGCTCCCTGGGAAAATGACCCTTGAGCTAATATCTGAGTTTCAGTTAACAAAGTGTGTGTGTGTGCGTGTGTGTGTGTGTGTCCCTGGCAGAGCTTGATAGCACTAAGCTTTTATGGCTGAGGTTGGGATAGGAGGGGCAGGATGAGGAGAGAAGAGAAATGCTGCCGTTGTTGCTGCACTACCAGCAGCCATCCCAACCTCCCGAGTTAAGCATTTGAGCATTTAAAAAGCTATGAAGCCAGGTGCGGTGGCTCACGCCTATAATCTCAGCACTTTGGGAGGCTGAGGCGGGTGGATCACGAGGTCAGCAGTTCGAGACCAGCCTGGCCAAGATGGTGAAACCCCATCTCTACTAAAAATACAAAAATTAGGCAAGCACGATGGCAGGCGCCTGTAATCCCAGCTACTCGGGTGGCTGAGGCAAGAGATTTGCTTGAACCCAGGAGGCGGAGGTTGCAGTGAGCTGAGATCACGACACTGCACTCTAGCCTGAGTGACAGAGCAAGACTCCGTCTCAAAAAAAGAAAGCAAAAAAAAAGCTATGAATCCTGTTTTATGCTCATTCTGTATATCCAGTCAATCACCAAATCTTATCAATGCTATCTCTTAAATATCTCCCAAACCTCTCTTCTAAGTTAACTTTCTCACTTTAATCAAAACTATCATCTTTCATCTAAACTAACCTCTTTTTTTCTTCTTCTGTTTTTGTTTTGTTGTTGTTGTTTTTGAGACGGAGTCTCTGTCACCAGGCTGGAGTGCAGTGGCGCGATCTTGGCTCACTGCAACCCCCGCTTCCTGGGTTCAAGTGATTCTCCTGCCTCAGCCTCCCAAGTGTCTGGGACTACAGGTGCACACCACTATGCCCAGCTAATTTTTGTATTTTTAGTAGAGACAGTGTTTCACCCTGTTGGCCAGAATGGTCTTGATCTCTTGACCTTTTGATGCACCCGCCTCGGCCTCCCAATGTGCTGGGATTACAGGCATGAGCCACCGCGCCATCTAAACTAACCTCTTAAGTGGTTTCCTCCAATTTACTTTCTACATAGCTGTGAAAGTCAACTTGCTAAAAGTAAATTGAATAATGCCGTTTTCTCTCCTAAAATTCTGCAATGGCTTCTCATTTATTGTAAGATGAATTCTGAAATCCTTAGGTCTCTATGATCTGCCCTACCACCCTCATCTTGTCCCACTATTGCCTTAACTTGCTGAGCTCCAGCTGAATTGGTCTGCTTTCAAATTCTCAAACACACCAAACTCCTTCCCATCTCACAGTATTTGCGTATGCTCTTTCTGTTGCCCCAAACACTTTATGTCCCCTCCCTTCTTTTCCTCAAATCTTAAATGTTCCTTCATGAGAGACTTCTTCCCTGGCCCTCAGACATGGTCACATCTTCTAATGTCTGCTCTCATAGAGTCCTGCCCTACTTCTTCTTACCATTAGCACTACGAAAATTAAGTAATTGTTTAACTCATTGGCTTAAGGACTGTCTTTCTTGCTAGGTTAGAAACTTCATGATGCCAAGAACTTAATCATAGTAGGCATTCCATAATTAAATTCTAGCACCTCCTATAGCCGGGCACTCTACTAGGCACTGGGCTATAGGAATCGGTAGTGAGTCTTAGACCTCGGGGAACACATAGTTGAGCAATTAATCCAGCAAATTCTGTAAACTTCTGTCAGTTTCTCTTTTCCTATTTATTTTGGTTCAACTCACTCCATATACTACTTTGTCTAGCTTTCAGACAGCAATTGACTTTTTGACAAATACTAAAGAAAAAGAAAAGATTTAAAACCTCTGTCTTTTTAGTGTCATCTGCTATTAGTTTTCCCTTTCCAACTAATAAATGGACACTATTTTTCTTCAACCTCTCCTCACGTCTAATACATTTAAAGAATGTCTGTCTGTGTCTCTCTTTGTCCCTTGTAAATTGTAATGCATGCCTTCCTTTGGATTTTTTTTTATTATAGACATTTAAAAAACATTGTATTTGCCTTCCTTCTTAATGACTCTTACTGTCTGCAAACTTTTCATTACCTTCCATCTTCTAGGCAATGTCTTTGTTGTTGTTATTGTTAGATGTGTCTGTGTATTCTTTCTTTTTTTCCTATCCTCTGCACAAAGATAACTTTTATGCATTTTCATGTCATTGCCTTAAGAAATATTCAGGAGTCATTTCATTTGTTTCATTTTATTTATGATTATAAAAATGGAACCCATTCATAATAAAATGAAAGAAAGATGGGGAGGGAAGAAGGGAAGGAAAGAAGAGAAGAAGGAGGAACAAAGGGAGGAAGGAGGTGAGCATGGAACTCTAATTTGATTCTGCTGAGAGCTGGATTACATAAGGACATGATAAGGATAGAGAGGGGGAGGACGGAGTTTGAAAAAAATAGCTAGAATAGATAGGGAACCGAGAGAAATGCAAGGATGAAAAAGGAGTCTGAAAATGGTACATGGAGCTAAGAAAAGGTGAAAATTCCATATTCACCTGGCTTTCAACCCACTATCAGCCAACTTAAAAACCAAAACCCTCCATTGCCCTGAGGGAAGACATGGTAAACTAACAGCAAATCATCATAAACTCTTCTCTCTTTGGGTAAAACAATTCAGAGATGGCAGCCTATACCTGGGTCAATAACGTCGTCTTCCTAAAGGAAGCTCTGATAAACAAATAATATAAAACTTTTCATGTATTATGTTTTAAATATATTATTTGACACATACAAAACATTATCTGTGCCTATATGTTACTTTTAAAGCAAAATAATACACTCAGGGCCTGTGAATCCACCACTCCACCCCAAAACTAAAACATTACCAATAACTCCCATCAACCTATGAGTTACCTTACTACCCCATTTCCCTGATTTCTCCTGTCCCACCCAAGGTAACCATTATTCTAAATTTTATGTTTATTAACCTATTCGTATACACATAAACACACAACTTCATTACAAATATATGTGTGCTTAAGCAATATGCATGCGCTAATTTTAAACAGATATTTATAAAAGCAAAAAGAGCAAACATTTGCCTACAGTATACGAGAAGCATACAGCTATTACCTATGTCACATGCTTTACCTGGTTACACTATCCTTGAATTGGGGATGGGAGTAAAAAATGAAGGCTTCTGTCCAGTAATGTACACTTTTGGAAATGGAAATGAAGAGATCTATCACAAATGGTTTTCATAGAATATCAAAAGGGTAGGTAGGGAGAAGAAAAACGTAGAAGCACTTTGAAAGCACTCTCTAGAAACGGAAAATCAGGCCGGGTTCAGAAGCTGACGCCTGTAAATCCCAGTGCTTTGTGAGGCCAAGCTGGGAGGATCACTTGAGGAGTGATCAGGAGTTTAAGACCAGAGTGGGCAACATAGCAAGACCCTGTCTCTACAAAAAAAATTAAAAGTTAGCTGGGTATAGTGGTGCACACCTGTATTCCTGGCTACTTGTGAGACTGGGGGAACCTGAGGCAGGAGGATCACTTGAGCCCAGGAGGTCGAGGCTGCGATGAGCTGTGGTTACACACCACTGCACTCCAGCATGGGCAGCAAAGCAAGACCTTGTCTCAAAAAAAAAGAAAGAAAAGGAGAAAGAAAGGGAAAATCAGTGAATCTGCCAACAGGACAAGTTTGGGGGTTAACACTGTATTTTCCTTATTGCTTTGCATACTACTAAATGGTTAATAGCAAACTCCCAAAAATAAAATGTTTTTTGACTTAATTCTCTAAACTGAAAAGGTTTTCACATTTTCTCCTCCATTAAAGATTTATTTTCATTATAAAAGATCTAGGACCATTTCTTAATAGAGAAAAAGTACATAATTGGGAACTTTCACCTTCAAAGCACAAAGAGAAAATAAAGATTCCCTACTTGGAAGGAGTTCTTTTTCAGTTTTTTTCATCTTTATAGATAAAAAGACTCAGTATCATAAAAAGGTAAATTCTTCTTATTTGAATTATAAATTCTATGCAATTCCAAAGTTCCAACAGATTTTGTTTAGATACTAGATAATCTGATGCCGAAGTGTCTATAACTGAGCAAAGACTAACGATTAACAAAGCCATTTCTAAGAAAGGAGGACTTGCTCTATCAGATTTCAACACAATATAAAACAATGGTAATTAAAACAGTGTGGTATTAGTACAGGACAAAGAAACAGGGCAGAATAGAGGTCCAGAAACAGACTCATGAATATGTGGGAGTTTAATACAGGACACGGGGCATTTCAGATCACTAAAGAAAGGAGAGATGATGTAATAAATGATGCTGGTATAATTGGACTATCCATACGGAAAAATATGAAATTATATACCTATCTCATAAGTACCCCAGACCAATTCTAGATTGGTTAAAGACTTATCCATGAAAGAAAAAGAACTTTAAAAGTTTAAAAAGAAAATATAGAATATCTTTATGAACTAGTTATAGGGAAGGACTTCTTAACACACAAAAAGAGAAAATTAAGAAGTCTGAAAGTGATGAGTGTGGGCAAGGATGTAAATCAAGAGGAGATCCATACGGACACTGGTGGAGGGAGTATAGTTGGAATAGCTGGAATCACCTTTGGGAAACAACTGGGCATTATCCTGTAAAGTGTCATACATATACCTGTATATGACACAGCAATTCCACTCTTAGGTATATACTCTAGAACGAGCTTCTTAAACTTTAATGAGCATCAGAATCACCTGGAGTGTCGCACAATTTTGGATCCTCACTCCCTGGAGATTCTAAATCATTAGGCCTGGGGTGAAGTCCGTTAATTTGCATTTCTTTGAAGCACCCAGCTGATGAAGTTGCTGCTGGTCCCCAGTCACAGTTGGAGTAACATTCCTCTAGATTTTCTTACTTGTATATAAGGAAACAGGAACAAGAATTTCAAAACCACATTGCTTATAATAGCAAAATCTGGACACACATATCCATCAGTAGGAGAATAGATAAATAAATTGTAGGATGTTCACACAAAGAAGTATTATACAAAATTAAAAAGGAACAAACTGTAAGTGCATGTAATAACCTGGATGAATCTTAGAAGCATAAAGTTAAGTGAAAAAATTAAGACACAGGAAATTACGTACCATTTTTATAAAGCTAACACACTGAATAATATATTGCTTATGAGTAGATATGTGGATAAAGCTGTAAAATATAAAGTAAGGAAATAATGGCAAAGAAAAGAATCACATAACTCAATGCAACAGTATGGGTATTACGGTAGCTTTTTTTTTTTTTTTTTTGAGACGGAGTCTCCCTCTGTCACCCAGGCTGGAGTGCAGTGGTGCGATCTCAGCTCACTGCAAGCTCCACCTCCTGGGTTCACGCCATTCTCCCGCCTCAGCCTCCTGAATAGCGGGGACTACAGGTGCTTGCCACCACGCCCAGCTAATTTTGTTTTTGTATTTTTAGTAGAGACGAGGTTTCATGGTGTTAGCCAGGGTGGTCTTGATCTCCTGACCTCGTGATCCGGCAACCTCGGCCTCCCAAAGTGCTGGGATTATAGGCATGAGCCAATGCACCTGGCCCTATTACAGTAGCTTTTACAGTGGATGGTAGGTTCTCATGTGCTTCAGAACTATCATGTAAGTTACATATAGTCTGCTGTATATGGAAAACACATACATAATATACATAAAATGGAAAAAAATTTAAATGAGAGTCAGACAATAAGGTGAGCTAAAGGAGACAAGAAAAGATTACAAGGAAACTAAAATTATAATAACAATTAAAATGTTCATTGAACATAGTAAATAACAGAAATAGTCCTGAAAAAAATAGGTATAGCAATGTGGAAGACAAACTTGAGACAACCTCTTGCAGAGTGAAAAACAAAATGTTTAAAAAATAATCAGAAAGGAGATGATGTGCAGAACTGAGGATAGAGATCTAATAGATTCCTGAAGCAGAGATTGGAGCAATAGAAAGAAATACGAATTCAAAGCTATATTTATTTATTTATTTCACCTTTCGTATTCTACCTTAATCCAAAAAAATCTAAATAAGTTATTCACTGATTTTTTTCCCATAAGTTATTGGGGTAAAGGTGGTATTTGGTTACATGAGTAAGTTCTTTAGTGGTGATTTGTAAGATTTTGCTGTGCCCATCACTTGAGCAGTATACACTGCACCCTATTTGTAGTCTTGTATCGCTTGCTCCCCTCCCACTCTTCCCACCAAGTCCCCAAAGTCCACTGAACCATACTTATGCCTTTGCATCCTCATACCTTAGCTCCCACATTATCAGTGAGAACATGTTTGGTTTTACATTCCTGAGTTAGTTTACTTAGAATAATAGCCTCCAGTCTCAACCAGGTCACTGCAAATGCCATTAATTCATCCTTTTTATGGCTGAGTAGCATTCCATTGTATAAATATACCACAGTTTCTTTATTCACTTGTTGATTGGTGGGCATTTGGGTTGGTTCCATGATTTTGCAATTGTGAATTGTGCTGCTATAAACATGCGTGTGCAAGTATCTTTTTCATATAATGACTTATTTTCCTCTGGGTAGATACCCAGTAGTGGGATTGCTGGATGAAATGGTAGTTCCACTTTTAGTTCTTTACAGAATCTCCACACTGTTTTCCATAGTGGCTGTACTAGTTTACATTCCCACCAGCAGTGTAGAAGTGTTCCCTGTTCACTGCATCCACACCAACAACTACTGTTTTTTGATTTTTTGATTACAGCCATTCTTGTAGGAGTAAGGTGGTATTGCATTGTGGTTTCGATTTGCATTTCCCTGATCATTAGTTATGTTGAGTGTTTTCTTTTACTCTTTTTTTTCTTTTTTTCTTTTTTTCTTTTTCTTTTTTTCTGATGGAGTCTTGCTGTTGTCACCCAGGCTGGAGTGCAATGGCGCGATCTTGGCTCACTGCAACCTCCACCTCCCGGGTTCCAGCAACTCTCCTGCCTCAGCCTCCTGAGTAGCTGAGATTACAGATGCCTGCCACCATGCCCAGCTAATTTTTGTATTTTTAATAGAGACGGGGTTTCACCATGTTGGCCAGGCTGATCTCAAACTCCTGGCCTCAGGTGATCCACCCGCCTCGGCCTCCCAAACTGCTGGGATTACAGGCGTGAGCCACTGCACCAGGCCTATTGAGCATTTTTTCATATGTTTGTTGGCCATTTGTAAATCTTCTTTTGAGTATTGTCTATTCATGTCCTTAGCCCACTTTTTGATGGATTGTTTGTTTTTTTCTTACTGATTTGTTTGAGTTCGTTGTAGATTCTGGATACTAATCCTTTGACAGATGTATAGATTGTCTGTTTACTCTGCTGACTGTTCCTTTTGGTGTGCAAAAGCGCTTTAGTTTAATTAAGTCCCAACTATTTATCTTTGTTTTTATTGCATTTGCTTTTGGGTTCTTGTTCATGAAATCCATGCCTAAACCAATGTCTAGAGGATTTTTCCAATGTTGTCTTCTAGAATTTTTATAGTTTCAGATTGTAGATTTAAGTTCTTAATCCAGCTTGAGCTGATTTTTGTATAAGGTGAGAGATGAGGATCCAGTTTCATTCTCCTACATGTGGCTAGCCAGTTATCCTAGCACCATTTGTTGAAAAGTGTAACGTTTCCCCTCTTTATTTTTTTGTTTGCTTTGTCGAAGATCAGTTGGCTGTAAGTATGTGGGTTGATTCCTAGGTTCCCTATTCTGTTCCATTGGTCTATATGCCTATTTTTATACCATTACCATGCTGTTTTGGTGACTATGGCCTAATAGTATAGTTTGAAATCAGGTAGTGTGCGATGCCTCTCAATTTGTTCTTTTTGCTTAGTCTTGCTGTGGCTATGCAGGCTCTTTTTTGGTTCCATATGAATTTTAGAATTGTTTTTTCAAATTCTGTGAAGAATAATGGCAGTATTTTGATGGGGATTGCATTGAATTTATAGATTGCTTTTGGAAGTATGGTCATTTTCACAATATTGACTCTACCCATCCATGAGTAAGGGATGTGTTTCCATTTGTTTGTGTCATCTGTGATTTCTTTAAGCAGTGTTTTGTAGTTTTCCTTGTAGAGGTCTTTCACTTCCTTGGTTAGGTATATTTTTAAGTTTGTTTTTTTTTTTGCAGATATTGTAAAAGGGGTTGAGTTCTTGATTTGATTCTCCACTTGGTTGCTGTTGGTGTATAGAAGAGCTACCAATTTGTGTACATTAATCTTGTATTCAGAAACTTTGCTGAATTATTTTATTAGTTCTAGGAGCTTTCTTGGAGGAGTCTTCAGGGGTTTCAAAGTAAACGATCATATCATCAGCACACAGTGACAGTTTGACTTCCTGTTTACCAATTTGGATGCCCTTTCTTTCTCTTGTCTGATTGCTCTGGCTAGGACTTCCAATACTATGTTGAAGAGGAGTGAGGAGAGTGGGCATCTTTGTCTTGTTCCAGTTCTCAGAGGGAATGCTTTCAACGTTTCCCCATTCAGTATTATGTTGGCTGTGGTTTGTCACAGATGGCTTTTATTACATTGAGGTATGTCCCTTGTATACTGATTTTGCTGGAGAGTTTTAATCATAAAGAGATGCTGGATTTTGTCAAGTGCTTTTTCTGCATCTATTGAGATGATCATGTGATTTTTGTTTTTAATTCTGTTTATGTGGTGTATTGCATTTATTGACTTGCATATGATAAACCATTCCTACATCCCTAGTATGAAATCCCCTTGATCATGGTAGAATATCTTTTTGATATGTTGTTGGATTGATCCAGTTAGCTAGTATTTTGTTAAGGATTTTAGCATCTATGTTCATCAAGGATATTGGTCTGTAGTTTTCTTTTTTTGGTTATGTTCTTTCCTGGTTTTGGTTTTAGGGTGATGCTGGCTTCATAGAATGAATTAGGGAGGGTTCCTTCTTTCTGTATCTTTTGGAATAGTGTCAAAAGAATTGGTACCAATTCTTTGAGTGTCTGGTAGAATTCTGCTGTGAATCCGTGTAGTCTTGGACTTTTTTTTTTGTTGGTAATTTTTAAATTACCATTTCAATCTCAATGCTTGTTATTGGTCTCTTCAGGGTATCAAATTCTTCCTGACTTAAGCTAGGAGGGTATTTTTCCAGGAATTTATCCACCTCTTCTAGGTTTTCTAGTTTATGTGCATAAAGGTGTTCACAAGTAGCCTTGAGTGATCTCTTGTATTTCAGTGGTGTCAGTTGTAATATCTCCTGTTTCATTTCTTAATGAGGTTATTTAGACTTTCTCTCTTCTTTTCTTAATCTTCTTTTCTTCTTTTCTTGGTTATTCTTGCTAATGGTCTATCAATTTTATTTATCTTTTTAAAGAACCAGCTTTTTGTTTCATTTATCTTTTGTATTTTTTGTTTGTTTCAATTTCATTTAGCTCTGCTCTGATCTTGGTTATTTCCTTTCTTCTTTTGGGTTTGGGTTTGGTTTGTTCTTGCTTCTCTAGTCCCTTGAGGTGTGACCTTAGAATGTCAGTCTGTGCTCTTTCAGTCTTTTCAATGTAGGCATTTAGGGCTATGAACTTTCCTCTTAGCACCGCCTTTGCTGTATCCCAGAGGGTTTGACAGGTTGTGTCATTATTGTCATTTCGTTTGAATAATTTTTTAATTTCTATCTTGATTTCGTTTTTGACCCAATGCTCATTCAGGAGCAGGTTATTTAATTTTCATGTATTTGCATGGTTTTGAAGATTCCTTTTGGAGTTGATTTCCAGTTTTATTCCACTGTGGTCTGAGAGAGTGCTTGATATAATGTCAGTTTTCTTAAGTTTATTGAGATTCATTTTATGGCCTGTCATATGTTCTATCTTGGAGAAAGTTCCATGAACTATTGAGTAGAATGTGTATTCTGCAGTCGTTGGGTGAAATGTTCTATATATATCTGTTAAGTCCATTTGTTCCAAGGTATAGTTTAAATCCATTGTTTCTTTGTTGACTTTCTGTCTTTTGATGACCTGCCTACTGCTGTCAGTGGAGTATTGAAGTCCCCCACTATTACTGTGTTGCTGTCTATCTTATTTCTTAGGTCTATTAGTAATTGTTTTATAAATTTGGGAGTTCCAGTGTTAGGTGCATATATGTTTAGGATTGTGATATTTTCCTGTTAGCCAAGGCCTTTTACCATTATATAATGTCCCTCTTTGTCTCTTTTAACTGCTGTTGCTTTAAAGTTTGTTTTGTCTGAAAAAAGAATAGCTACCCCTGCTTGCTTTTGGTGTCCATTTGCATGAAATGCCTTTTTCCACCCCTTTACTTTATGTGAGTCCTTATGTGTTAGGTGAGTCTCTTGAAGGCAGCAGATAGTTGGTTGTTGAGTTCTTATCCATTCTACAGTTCTGTATCTTTTAAGTGGAGCATGGAGGCCATTTACATTCAATGTTAGTACTGAGATGTGAGGTACCTTTGCATTCATCCTGCTGCTTGTTGCCTGTGTACCTTGGTTTTTTTGGTTTTTGTTTTTGCTTTTTAACTTGTATTTTTGTTTTATAGGTCCTGTGTGATTTATGCTTTAAAGAGGTTCTGTTTTGATGTGTTTCCAGGATTTGTTTCAAAGTTCAGAGCTCCTTTTAGCAGTTCTTGTAGTGGTGGCTTGGTAGTGGCGAATTCTCTTAACATTTGTTTGTCTGAAAAAGACTGTATTTTTCCATCATATATGATGCTTAGTTTCGCTGGATTCAAAATTCTTGACTGATAATTGTTTTGTTTCAGGAGGCTGAAGATAGGGCCCCAATCCCTTCTAGCTTGTAGGGTTTCTGCTGAGAAATCTGCTGTTAATCTGACAGGTTTTCTTTTATAGGTTACCTGGTGTTTCTGTCTCACAGCTCTTAAGATTCTTTCCTTCATCTTAACTTTAGATAACCTGATGACAATATGCCTAGGTGATGATCTTTTTGTGAGGAATTTCCCAGGTGATTTTTGTGCTTCTTGTATTTGGGTGTTTAGGTCTCTAGCAAGGCCAGGGAAGTTTTCCTCGATTATTCCCCCAAATATGTTTTCCGAACTTTGAGATTTCTCTTCTTCCTCAGGAACACCAATTATTCTTAGGTTTCATCATTTAACATAATCCGAGACTTCTTGGAGGCTTTGTTCATGTTTTCTTATTATTTTTTCTTTGTCTTTGTTGGATTGGGTTAATTTGAAGACCTTATCCTTGAGATCTGAATTTCTTTCTTCTACTTGTTCAGTTCTATTGCTGAGACTTTCCAGAACATTTTGCAATTCTATAAGTGTGTCCAATGTTTCCTGTAGTTTTGATTGCTTTCTCTTTATGCTATCTATTTCCTTGAATATTTCTCCCTTCACTTCTTGTATTGTTTTTTGGATTTCCTTGCACTGGGCTTCACCTTTCTCTGGTGCCTCCCTGATTAGTTTAATAACTAACCTCCTGAATTCTTTTTCAGGTAAATCAGGGATTTCTTCTTGGTTTGGATCCATTGCTGGTGAACCAGTGTGATTTTTTGGGGGTGTTAAAGGGCCTTGTTTTGTCATATCACCAGAGTTGGTTTTCTGGTTGCTTCTCATTTGGGTAGGCTCTGTCAGAGGGAAGGAAGGTCTACAGCTAAAGGCTGTTGTTCAGAATCTTTTGTCCCATGGGGTGTTCCCTTGATGTAGTACTCTCCTCCTTTTCCTATGGATGTGGCTTCCTGTGAGCTGAACTGCAGTGATTGTTGTCTGTCTTCTGGGTCTAGCCACCCAGCAAGTCTACCCAGTTCCGAGCTGGTACTGGGGGTTGTCTGCAGAGTCCTGTGATGGGAACCATCTATGGGTCCCTCAGCCATGGATACCAGCACAGTATTTAGGGTGTCTCCCAGGTCCTGCAGAAGCAGTCCACTTCCTTCAGAGGGTCTGTGGGTCCTCTCAGGATTGCTGGTTGTTCTTGCAGTTGATCTGGAGCTAAAATTCACGATGCGAGCCTCCGCATGCTGCTTTGTCTGTCCGAGTTGGAGCTGCAATCTAGTCCTGCCTCCCGTCCACCATGATGATCCAATCTCCTCAAAGCTATATTTAAAGAAAGTTCTCAGAGGCTAAAGAAAAGTGTTTGTCTTTCGGATCAAAAGTGCTCTCCCTAATACTGGCAAATTAATGCAGAAACTCATATTGACAGATTTCTGGCCAAAGTTCATAAAATTAAGGATAAAACATGACTTCTATAAGCATCCTAGCAAAACACAAATACTAGAAAATAAACAGGCTACCTATACATAGAACAAAAATCATGCTAGCTTCAAAATTCTCTGCAACAGTGCTACAAGAAAATGATCTCATTCTGCTTGAGGTCAATATTGACATTTTTAAAAAAGAAAATGATTTCAAAATTTATTTGGAAAAACAAATGAGTATGAGGTGATGGAAATCTCAGTTACATTGACTTGATATTTACAAATTTGTGATCAAATTAAATTATTGCATGCACCCTGAAAATATGTATATTGATTATGTATCAATTTCAAAAATGCTTTAAATAAATATGCCTAAATAAGAAAAGTTTGAACAAAATAATAAAAGTATAATGAAATAGACTTGAATCTGTAGATATTAAAATAAATGATAATAATGAAAATGCTGTGAAACTGATTAAAAATTGAGAGTTCAGTGGAAGAGAATAGAAAATCTAGACACAGAATTATATATATTGTTTATCAGTATATCATGAATATCCCACATCATAAGATGCACACACATACACACAAAGTCCTCATTTAATGTCATTGATAGATTCTTAGAAACTGTGACTTTAAGTGAAATGATGTACAGCAAATCCTCAAATAATGTCATTTTGCTCAATGTCATTTCATTGTAATGTTGATGAGGAAAAAAGTGGTTTTGTTACACATCATTTCACTTAAAGTCACAATTTCCAAGAACCTCTTGATGACATTAAGTGAAGACTTACTATTACTTAGTATGTGATAAGGATGGGCTTACGGATAGGTTATTCATTATATGATACTAAAATAATTACTAGACTACTTAAAAAATAGCAAACTTAATAGTATACATCAAATCATTTTCAATGAATTAAAAGTTTAAATCTTTAAATAATATAAAAAAGAACTAGAAGAAATATAAGTGAAGATGTATCTAATCCTTATATGAGGAAGGACTTACTAAGAATTAAAAAAAGAAACCAAGAGAAAAATATTGATGTGTTTTCCTATAATTTTTTTTTAATTCTCCATGTCAAAAAACCATAAAAAGTGATAAAAGTCAAACTACAAACTTGAACAGAATATTTATACTGTATACAACTAAAGGATTGTTACTACCAAAATTAAAAGCTATGTTACAGAGGATTCTGGAAAGATGGTAGAATAGGAAGCATCATGAATCTGTCTCTTCACTCAGACAACAATTGCACTGGCAGAGTCTGTCTCATGTAACTGTTTTAGAACTCTAAGGTCTATTAAAGTCTTGCAAGTTTCAAGGGAAAGCTAGGAAGGTGAATTGCAGTTAATTTTGGTCAATTTCAGCTCTTAGCTCAGTAGTGACTACCCATTCCCCACCTCTTAGCCCTATGGCAGGTAGCTGTGTATGTGTTCCTGGAGCAGTTTGCATACAGCTTGCAGGAAGTCAGAGTGGTCAAAAAATACCCCATCCTCTAAATACCAAGGATCTCTACTCTCATCTCTGATTACTGCTTCTGACCAAAAGGTGCAGATAAAGAGGCAGGCAACCACTGTTGTTGCACCTCTCTCCATTGATGTAAGCCTCTCCCCCTCTGGCTGAAGTGACTGTAGGGGATTTAAAAGATTGGTGCCTTTTTGTTTTGTTTTGTTTTTTTACTCTCCTCCTTTTTTCCTCTTTTTCCTTTCACACATTAAATACAGGAACATTCAAAAGCAACTGTGTATACAGGGAAAAGTAGAAAGTACGCATACCCAAGAAAAGGTGCAGGCTCAAAAAAGACCTGAGAAGACCTTAAGTTTGTACCTCAGGCTGATCCTTGGCACAGAGGCAGCCTACAATAATTAAACACACACATACTCACCCACACTTACACACACACACACACCAAAAACAACTAAAAATCAGCAAACCCTAGGGAGGAAGAGGATGTGATTTCCAGAGTCACCACATTATTAGATTCAAATGTCCAGTTTCCAACAACAACAACAAAATTACAAAGCATACAAATAAACAAGAAAGTATGGCTCATTCAAAGAAAAAAATAAATAAATCCATAGAAACCATTATTGAAAAAGACTTGATGGCAGATCTACTAAGCAAAGACTTTAAACCAATTCTCTTGAAGACGTTAAATGAAGATGTGGAAACAGTCAAGAAAATGATGTATAAACAAAATGGAATATCAGTAAAGAGAAAGAAAACCTGTAAAGAAACAAAAAAAAAAATTCTGGAGCTGAAAAATATAGTGACTGAAATAAAAATTTATTAGAGGAATTCAAAGGCAAATTGGAGCAGTCAGAAGAGAGAATCAGCAAATTCAAAGACAGTGGAAATTATCTAGTCTGAGGAACAGAAAGAAAAAAGATTGAAGAAAAATGAACAGGGCCAAAGGGACCTGGGGGACACCATTAAGTGGACTAATATACACACTGTGGGAGTCCCAGAAGGAGAAGAGAAAAAGGATCACAGAAAATAATCAATGAAATAATGGCTGAAAACGTCTCAAATTTGATAAAGAACATGCACATAAACATCCAAGAAGCTCAATGAATTCTAAATAAGATGAATCTAAAGAGACCCACACCAAGACACTTTTAATCAGATTTTAAAGGCCAAATCAAATCTTGAAAGCAGCATGAGTGAAGTGAATTGCCAAATATAAGTAATTCTTAGTAAGATTATCAGCAGATTTCTCATCAGAAACTTTGAAGGCCAGAAGGCAGTGAGCCAATATATGCAAAGTGCTAAAAGAAAAAAAAAAACTGTCAACAAAGAATCCTATATCCATCAAAATTTTTTCTTCAAAAGTAGGGGAGAAATTAAGACATTCTCAAATAAAGAAAAGCTGAGAGATTTTGTGATGACTAGACTTGCTCTGCAAAAAATGCTTAAGGGAGTCCTGCTTGTTGCAATGAAAGTATACTAGACAGTAATTCAATGTTGTATGAAAAAATAAAGATCTCAATAAATATTAAGTATATGAGCAAATATACAAGCTGGCATTATTGTAATAATAGGTTTTAACTCCTATTAAGACAATAGGTTTTAAACTTTTTTTCTGCATGTTTTAACAGACTAATACCTCTTTTAAAAACAATTATTAGTCTAGAAGCTAGTGTTATTGTTACTTTGGTTTGTAACTCCAATTTTTGTTTCTACATAATTTATGAGAATAATGTATTTAAAAGAATTATCAGTTTATGTTTTGGGGACACACAATGTATCAAGATGTAATTTTGTGACATCAACCATTGATGTAAAAAGAGAAATAGAAGTTCCTCTTCAAAGACTTTCCTCCCTGTCTAATTAGGAATAAATAGTAACTTCTCTTAAAAGCAAAATTTATTCAAAGACCTGTGCTAACATTCTTAAATATCTGCTAGCCATAATAAAGAAATCAATGTACTTTATGTTCTTAGCTCCCACAATTTAGCCTAAATATTTGCCCTGGCATGCTTATATTGGTCCAAGCAAGCATTAGGTCATAGCCTGTTCCTCTTCCTTATTTAAAAGTGTTTTTATCTTTCTCAGCATTCCACAAGTTACTTCCTCCTTCCTTTGTTCTCCTCTACCTTTGCCTCTTTTAAACAGTTCTAAGTTGCTAGCCAATTGGGACAAATACAGAATGTGAGGTCCCGTTCCAGCCAATGGAAACCAGACATAGCAGTAGGGTGGATGCGTCAGGTTATAAATGACCCTGTCTCCTTTGTTCAGTATACTCTCATGGCAAAACTGCTTGCAGGTGTACCCTTTCTGCAGGAAGTAAAAATGGCCTTACTAAATAAATTAAATTTATGTTCAAGTGCTATTTCTTTATGGCACCGGAGAACAAGCATTTCAAACAATTGAGAAGGGTGAGGACAGAGCTGTAAAGGAGCAGAGTTTTTGTATGTTGTTAAAGTTAAGCTGGTATAAATGCAAATTAGAGTGTTATAATTAGGATGTTAAATGTAATACCAAAGTAACCACAAAGAAAATAGTTATAGAATATGCACAAAAGGTAATGAGAAAGGAATTTAAACATTTCACTAAAAAATATCAACTAAACACAAAAGAAGATAGTGATATAGGAAAGGAGGTACAAAAAAGCTGTAACATAGAAAACAGCAAAATGACAGATGTCCCTCCTTATCAGTAGTTACTTTAAATGTAAATTGATTAAACTCTCCAGTCAAAAGACAGAGGTTGGCAGAAAAGATTTTAAAAGAAAAACAGGATCCAACTCTATGCTGTCTGCACAGAGATTCACTTTAGACCCAAAAACACAAACAGATTGAAAGGATGGAAAAATATATTCCATAAAAATAGTAACCAAAAGAGAGTAGGGGCAGCTTTATTAATATCAGACAAAATAGATTTTAAATTTTAAAAGATTATAAGAGACAAAGAAGGAAATTATATATTAATAAAAGTTTCAGTGCAGCAATAATATATAACATTATGTTTACACACCTGATTACAGATCACAAAAAAATATGAAGTGAAAGTTGCCAGAATTGAAAGAGAAACAGACACTTCTGCAATAACAGTTGAAGACTTCAATATCCCATTCTCAATAATGATAAGAAAACAATACAGAAATAAAGAAGTAGAGGAGTTAAACAACATAATAAACCAACTAGATCTAACAGACACACCAAACACTTTACCCAGCAACAATAGCATATACATTTTTTCTCATTGCATATGGGACATTTTGCAGGATAAGCCATGTGTTAGGCTGCAAATTAAGTTCAAATGTGGTATACAAATGCAATGGAATATTATTCAGCCTTACAAAAGAAGAAAATTCTGACATATGCTACAACATGGATGAACCTTGAGGACACTATGCTAAGTGAAATAAGCCAGTCACAAAAAGACAAATACTATGAGTTCATTTATATGAGATACTTAGAATAGTCACAGAGGCAGAAAGTGGAACGATGGTTGCCAGAGATTGGGGGAGGGGGAATGAAGAGTTAATGTTTAATGGGTACAGAGTTTCAGTTTTACAAGATGACAAGTTATAGAGATGGACAGTGGTGATGGTTATACAACATTATGAATTTACATAATACCACTGAACTGTACACTTAAAAATGGTTAAGATGGTAAATTTTATGTTATGTGGATCTCCCCACAGTAAAAAAAAATTGGGAAAAAATGTTGGTCATTAGGAATTAACCTTATCAACTTCTTTTATATATCTATCCCAAACATCTTTAGAGTTTTACCCAGGTATCCTCATCTCCTTTTTTAGAGAGTGACATGGCATTTAGCTATCTCCTATTGAAAAGCAGACAGGTTTCAAGTTAATAAATCTAAAGTTTGCCACTCAATTATGGTGGGGATTATATAAGTTTATTTTTTATCTCTACATAATTATTGAGAATTAAACGTAATAAACATAATATCTCTTTTCTTTTCTTTTTTTTTTTTTTTTGTCTTTTTTGAGACGGAATCTCGTTCTGTTGCCCAGGCTGGAGTGCAGTGGCGCAATCTCGGCTCACTGCAAGCTCCGCCTCCTGGGTTCACGCCATTCTCCTGCCTCAGCCTCCCGAGTAGCTGGGACTACAGGCGCCCATCACCACGCCCTGCTAATTTTTTGTATTTTTAGTAGAGACCGGGTTTCACCGTGTTAGCCAGGATGGTCTCGATCTCCTGACCTCGTGATCTGCCCACCTCGGCCTCCCAAAGTGCAGGGATTATAGGCGTGAGCCACCGTAAACATAATATCTCTTTTTTCCAAATGTGAGTGGCTTGCTTACAAACATGTCTCACATTAAGTGAAAATTGCTACGACACAAAGGTAATGGCTATACCCAAATGCAAGTTTGAGAGAAAGCCTGTTTAGCTTTTTCAAATTACCTAAATAAAAACAGGGGTGTTTGTGATAAGACATTGGAATGAAGGATAAGAAAAATGGGAAAGAACTGTAGTGAGCCGGAATTGGAGAAACAGAAGTGTTTTGTGCATTTGCTGTTCTTGTGTTCTAAATGCTTTGTGAGTGTAAAAATCAGAAATTAAATTTTGGCAACCTCTATACAAAAAACTAAGGATCCCTTCCGGATTCTATACCCACCCTTTAGGTTGAATTCCTTGTTTTTCAGCTGCCTTGTGTCTTTATATAATATGACTTTGTACTTCACAGCATGAAGGAAAGCGTTGTACAGCCATTGGAGGCAAATGGATCCCTATTTGCTTTCATAGTCTACCATTCACTAGTTTTGTGACCTGAGATACCCCTTGAAACATTCTCATATCTGTAAAATAAGAATAATAATCCCTATTACTATATCAGAGGAGCTACTGAGAAAATAGTAAGCTAATCCTAGCTAACTTACAGTTTTTTACTTTTATTATTTAAAAGAAAGTACATTGCAAATCAGTAAGAAAAAGGTGGAAATTCCCTTGCAATGTGAAAACCACTTCATAAAGTAATCATCAAAAACACAGAAATTGTAATCAAATTTGAGCATCTTAAACCCACAACACTTTTTCCATCTATATAATTGATAATGATTATTTGCCTTTTTTAATATTAGGAGACCATATTTAACAGCCATCCTAAGGCCACTTAAAATTAAAGTAAATGGTTGTGCATGGCTTAGAGCACACTACTCAGGGCAGATTTGGAGCCATTCTAGTGGCAAAGGGGCTTTGAGACTTTATTCTGATTTATGCAGTTCATCAGATATTTTTAAGCAGCTGATATTATAAATGACCACACAAGAAAAAAAAAAAAGATTATCAGAAGGCTTCTGCCTGAAAATATGAAGTTTAATAAATCACGATTGATGTCTTTAAGGCATTGAAGAGTATGCACTGAATAGTATATTCACTGAATTCAGGAATTTGAGTGGGGTAGGGGGTCCTAAATGTTATTAGGAAGCCCTGTTTTATACAGTGAGTTATAAACACTGAAGTCATTACCTCACAATAGCTGGTAAGAGCTTGCATAACAGAAATGTAAATTTTATATTTATGTCAGATGCAAACACAAAATATGATAATAGCAAATGCAACAGAAATTAAGGTGGGTTTTTGTAAGCTCATATAAATGTGTGCCACAGATTGAAAATTTTTAAATCAATTACACATGGAATGATTAAAGCATCACATTCTTTTTAGTTTAGAATTACACTTTTTATTGTCAAACTGTTGAGGATAACCAAGAATTAGCACCGTGGTTGCAAACATTTTTCTGTTTGCCTTTCTGGCTCTGGAATCAAGGACTCTGGTCTCCTATGTGGAGAAGCTTCACCTCAGTCCCACTGCACTAGTAGTCTTCAGTGATAATATTTGGAGAATGACAGTTTGGATGATCATGTTAGTAACAATTCTAAGGAATGGAAATAATCCATTCCATAATTAAACAGAAATCATAAGCCGCTATAAAAGTAAAGTCATAGGAAAAGAAAGTTGAAAATGTAAAGCCTCAAATGGTTTTATTTCATATATGAAAATCCTTGATTGATTTGTTCATATGCTGCTGTGGATCGACTCCACTTACACATCCCAGTTTAGTTGAAAGGCCACTTTAGACAGTGTCCATTTCATTATCAACCCACGTTCGTGTTTCATGGGGCTGACCATGCTTGTAGGCTTAGGGCTGCATTGGTCATGACTCATGACTCCAGGTAGGAAGTGATTTCTGGCCCGTGTGTGTGTGTGTGTGTGTGTGTGTGTGTCATGTTTACTCAGAACACCTGAGCATGTGTTCTCTCGCTGACCCTCTCCCTCTCTATTCTCCTCAGGACTACTGGCTCTCTCTCCTCTACAAGCGCCTGATCGGCCCCAAAGTCTTGGCTGTGCATGTGGCTGGGCTCCAGCGGAAGCCACGGCCTGGCCGAGTGATCCGGGACAAACTAAGGATTTATGCTCACTGCACAAACCACCACAAGTAAGTCCTCAGAAAGATGGCAGAAAGGCCACCTGAGGGGCTCCCACCCCATACCATTTGGGACCCCTTCAAGACTCATCTCCATTCACTAATCTTATCAAAAACTTTTTGCCTCTGGAATCACCATACCTGCTCTTTGGAGGTTTCAAATAATTTCTGGTAAATAGCTTTTACTCCAAGTAAACGCTCCCTTCTCATACTTAGAGGATTAATCATAAAAGGTTCCTAAAATTCTTGCCATTTGTTCATTTACTTATTCATCCAACACATTTTTATTGAGCATTTTCTCTGTGCCAGTTGATGTAATGCCCATGAGGCTTTTTTGTGTGCCTAAGCTTTAGCCAAGTCAAGAGGTATAAAATCTTTTCCTATGATCCACCAGCAAAGCTTGAGAAAATAAATCTCCCTTTCTAAGATGCATGCTGGAGAGATATGCCGCTAGAAACCTAGCCCTAGACCAATGCTTGTCAAGCTGGGGGTCCCCAGAACTAAAGGAGTGCCCAGAGATGGTCATGCCAGCTTTAGAGCCATTTCCAGTGTTTTGAAAATCTTTTCAGCTATTTTAAAAATTAAGAGGCTAAGTGAAATCTGGGCTTCCTTTTCTGAGGGCTCTGGACAACAACCTAATGTGGTAGTGTGGGGTTATCCTCTTTTTGATCTGAAGAACTGGTTGTCATTACAGTTGTCTTTAAAACAAACAGGAAAATTAATTGTCAATAAATATAAGCTTGGCAGATAAAAAATTTTGACACATGAAGACCATAAGGGAAAACTATAATCAGGGGTGGGGGGTGCCTAAAGCAAAATCCATCTGGCCAAATATGGCTTTCTTACATCACTTCCTGTTTAAGGCAGAGTAGGCTGCCCTGGAAAATATAATTCTTTCTCTTTCTCTTAATGCAAAGAAAACCTGGTGGGGGGATACGGGGCAGGGAATGGTAAGCAAGTGCCTCCAGCCAGACCTTCATTCCAGCCCAGGCCTATCAGGAACTGATCAAGGGGAGTACCTAGTACAAAGAGCTTGGAGTGGTCAGGTTACAACAGATGCTCCTTCTGCTTCCTTGATGAGAGAGGAGCCAAGCCAATTAATTTATCATGATAAGACTTTTCAAAGAATCACTCTGAGGAGAGGGGGGGCAGGGGCCAGTTGTCTTGTCAGTAGATACAAGTGCCTATTGTAAATGAGGGGAGGCTGGCTTGGGCAGAGGCCAGAGGCTTTCAACATCCCTTTTGCTCAACAGGAAGCTCAATCCAATACCTGACAGAGAGTGACTGCTTTATGGCCTTGGCCTGGAGTTATCTGATCATCACACAAGGAAACATTGTATTCCTTGTCTCTGCCCTGGCCCTGAGGTAACCACCCAAAAGGTGGACCCCCAGACTCGAGATAGAAAAATTACTCTTGGCACCTTATATCCCTGTTGGAAAGCATATCAGTCTGTGGTCTTTATACCGCTAATCTGAGGACTTGGGGGAAAAAATATCTGCAGCCATGGGCTTAGCAGGATTTGCGTCTCCTCATAGAAGCCTCCTCACGTGATCTCGAGTGTTCATCCTCATTCTTTAACATCCTCATGGGAAGTTGTCATTAATATTCTGAGTGTACCATGAACTCAGGGCCAGTGTCTCATTCATTTTTGTATTCTTGGTGTCTAATATAGTGACTGGCATGAAGATCCCAGGAAAGGTTTGCAAATGAATGAACAAATGCAGAATTTGGGCATCAAGATGTTACTGTTGATTTAGAGTTAGAGCTTTCTTCCCCTTTGATATTACGACATCAGCCAGAAGGAAATGGTATGGTGGAGTGGTTAGGAATTCTACCATTCCATAGCATGAGACCTCAAACAAGTTACTGAAATTATCTGCATTCAAGACTGTCTGTCTACACCACCAGCTCTCCTCTAATTTCTATGCAAAGTCACTCCAGAACCTCTCTAGAGAAACGGTGTCACTGGGCTTCTATCAGTACAACCTCTCTCACTCTCTGTTAAAAAGACAGAAAGAAAAGACTTTCATAATCCGTTCTACATGTGACCCTAATGATAATAACTGGGTTGAAGGTGTTTTTGTTCCTATTAGATTCATAAAGAAAACCCACAGTGAATGCACGGAGCTGGCTGAGGTTGCAGGGCTCCTCCATGTCAACAGGTGTCAGTGTCCAGCTAGGGCAGCTCAAAGGTAGAAGAAGTATCTGTTCACCTCTCTGAGAAATCATGTGCCATTAAGGAAGCACTGCTGAGTCATTTATCTGTGGCCAATAGGCCAAAATCACAGAATTATCCCAGAGTGGGCATGGTGGATTCACACTATTCAACCTTGACGAATACTCTGAAAATATTTGTCCCAGGTCAAAACAGGGATTGGGGAGAAGGTATAAACTTATGAGTAGAATCATCCAGAGAAAGTGTCTATTAAAATAACAACCCCTGCACTCCAGTGTGTATTGAATACTTGCTGTGTGACAAGCATCTTTCCAGATATTTGCACTTATTTTATTGAATTTCAAAGGTTCTACGGTATCACATCTACATGCAAATAACAGCATTAATAATGCAAAGAATGTTACATTTGGAAAGAGCCCTTAGAAATCATTCAGCCGAGTGCCTATTCAACACAGGAATCCATTTCACATCTCCCTGACAGTCATGCAACCCCTATGTGGATACCTCACCGCCTGTCATGGCAGCCCCTTGCATTGTGGGTCATTTCTGATCTTGTAGAGTGCTGTCTCTTATGATTAATTTAGGAGAAAAAGTTAGATCCTCATACCACCACCAGCAGGTGCTTTTCTGTTTTCTGTTCTAGAATTAACAAATTAGGACACTGACAGAATGGCAGTTCTCATCCTCGATCTTCTTGTTCAGAGAACAATCAAGTTTTGATGAGGAAGCCTCTTTTTATGAGCCATTCTGCTGAAACAACGTATGTTTCTGGGGTGGAGATGAGGTCCTTAGCCAAGTTCAGAACCAATTGGAACCTGGTGGATGCTGAAGGAAAATTAAGCCTTTTGGGGTTCAAGTTCATTTATTATTGGCAAAACATGACTTCCTGTTTTTCAGAAGAAGTTTTTTTAAAGACTCATAAAAATGGTTCCTGAGGCTTCTTGGACATCAAATGGCTCTTACAAAACAATATTTTGATGAGTTAAGTGTAAATGAATCAGAAACATGTGGATTAAATTTCCCTTAAAATACACAGGGGCTTTGAAATTAAGGGAAAAAATGTTTGGCAAAACATGGCCTGGCTTTTACCGAACCCAAAACCTTTGAATTAGATTTGGAGACAATGGATCAACCCAGTTTCAAGCACATTGACTTTCAGTGGGAATGACCGTGGACTGCAAAGCATCATCCTCCTTTCCCTTTCCCAGCCTCCCAGCTTCACTGGAGACATTTCTAGAACATGACTGTTTTCTATCTGGAAGTCAAGATGCACCTCCCCATATGACATTCCCCACCTCTTACATTTAGGATATTCCAATTCCAGCCTCCTTTCCCTGACTCACTTCCGCCTCCTCCCATGGCAACACAGAGAAATCTCAGGCAGGAAAAGAACAGCCAGAAAAAATGAACTCCAGATACATGGATTCTCTGCTGGTGAAAAAAAAATCTCACCCATGAGTGAGACATGGGGCAAGATAGATGGTCCTCTCAGACAACTTCTCTCCTGAAAGGAACATTCACTAAGATAACCAAAAGCCACCTGGACTTGATAACCTCAGAGGGCCAGCAAATGCTTGCAGGCCAAGCCTTCAGACACCATTTTCTCCAAGATTATTTTTCTGTGGTCAGAGAATATATGTTCCTCAGGAATTTGGATTCTCAACACACTACTTTCAGGTTGGTGCTGCACTCGCCAGCCAAGAATGTGTCTTTGCAGCAAAAAGGCCTGGCTTAATGTCCTTGCCCATAAGCCAAGCAGGGAGAGGGATGGCTGAGGCAGTCTTTAATGCCAATTCCTACCTGAGAAGGCGCTATGAGTTCTGAGAGCCTCTATATGTGGGTCTCTGGGCTGTACTGGTTTGTCTTCCCCAGGGGAACTATGTAAGTGGAAATCAGACCACTGCCAAACAGCTTGAAAAAGACAGCTTTCCCTGCAGCAGTGCTGTGATTTCAGGTCTCCCTCCCACCCACCACTTCCCCACATCCCACCTTCTCTTCTGCAGTCTCCAAGGGCTCATTCTGCCCCAGCTCTGCAGAGGAGAAACTCATAAATGCAAGCATGTGGCTCTCTCCTCCTCCACTGCTGGCCTTTGAGAGTGTTGTTTGATGGTAGCTAGCAAAAGAATTTACTGCAGTCTGGCAAAATTGATACCCATCCACATGTATTTTGCTCCCACTCTGAAGCCTAGAGATCCTGCAATTAATGGTGTCTTCCTCAGTTTTACAGATAGCTAAGCTAAGCTGAAACCCCACCAATGGGATAGAGTCGATGTTCTTCTTTAATGATGGTCAACACTGATTCAGGCTGCCAGCATCCTTCTTCAGAGTTCTGGGGACATAAGTCTGCTTAAATCAACTGGCATTCTCTTCTGACCTAACTCATTTAGCTACAAAAGCTAGTTCACATGTTGCAGGAGATTAAGAAGGACCGGAGGAGGAGGAACTGGATGAAAGAGTCGTTTTAATAATTTATCAGAACACAAATGCAGGCATCCAAAAGCCTTGAACACAATAATGTACCCTCCTGCAGATGCAAAAAAAATCTTCTGACGCACAGCCAGCAGGATATACTTCAGTAGTTCTTCTCATAATCTTAATGGATTGTTCTAAGCAAGTGGTTCCCAAACCCAATTCATCTGCCAAATATCCCAGAAAGATTTTTTTAAGTATAGATTCCCAGTCCCTAATCCCAAATAGATTGCATCAAAATCTCCACGGAAGAGCCCTGGAAACTGTGCTTCTAAACAAAAACAAAAATAAAAAACTCCATGTCACCATACTGACCTGTCCTTGGTCACTCAACTCTTAATTAGCACCTTTAGAAGCAGAGGTGAGTGACCCAGGATGGAGGGGTGTTATTTCTATAAGGAATGATGCTTTCCTCTGGGCAAAGTTGACTTAGAGTTTCTCTGAACTCCTCCTTTGAAGGTGGGGCTGGGTCATTTTTTTCTGTTTCCTCTCATTAACCTATCCAGATGGGGCCCTAAGGGACCCCTTAGAAACTAAGCATTTTTTCCTACAGAGAGAAGGAAATCATTATAGTTTTGCTGATACATGCTGAAGGGCTAGTGCATGTAGGCATATAGTTCTCTCAGACTTCTGAAGATCTTATGCTCATTTAAAAAGATTCCAAAATGGTGAATAGTTTTATAATCTTGAGGTAGGTAAAACAGCAAAAGAAGAAATCAAAAAGATAAATTTGACTACATAAAAGTTTTTTAACTTTTATATATTAAAATACAATGTAAATAAACTGAAACGGTCAAAGAAAACTGGGGGAAATTTTGCAGACAAAAGACTGCTCTTTAATAAATAGTTTTTATAAATCAACAGAAAAATAGGCAAAGGTGTCCGGGCATGGTGTCTAACGCCTGTAATCCCAGCCCTTTGGGAGGCCAAGGCGGGTGATCACTTGAGGTCAGGAGTTCAAGACCAGCCTGGCCAACATGGTGAAACCCCATCTCTACTAAAAATACAAAAATTAGCTGGGCGTGGTGGCGCACGCCTGTAATCTCAGCTACCAGGGAGGCTGAGGCAGGAGAATTGCCTGAACGCAGGAGGCGGAGGTTGCAGTGAGCCCAGATCGTGCCACTGCACTCCAGCCTGGGCGACAGAGAAAAAAAGAAAGAAAGGAAGGAAGGAAGAAAGGAAAGAAAAAAGGAAGGAAGGAAGGACAGAAAAAGAAGGAAGGAAGGAAGGAAGAAAGGAAGGCAGGCAGGCAAAGGACATGGTCAGCTTACAAAAGAAGAAATGAAATGGCAAATGAAAAAATGCTGCATGTCAGTATTAATTTTTAAAAATACAAATTAATACAACATTGAAATCCCATTTTCACCTCTCAGGTTGACAAAGGTATTTTAAAAGAACACATTGGAAGTGTTCTTAGGGGTATGAGGAAATAGGTGCTCTCATATAGAGCAGGTGGGAGCAAAATTAGTGAAAGCTTCCTAGAGAGTTAATATCAATGGCATCAAAAAGTGTGTATCTGTCAGGATAGGTGAGGTTATGCTGCAATAATGAATAGCCCCCAAATCTCCAAGGCTTTCAATAAGAAAATTTATTTCTCATTCACACTACTTGTCCATCATGGCTCAACTGTACCTCTGCCCACATCATCTTCATTCAATAGAACAGCCTTTGTCAAGAACATTGTCAGTCTTCTGGCAGAGGGAAATGAAACATGGCAAAAGATGGGCTGAGTCCTAAAGCTTCTGCCTAGAGGTTTTTGCCATGTCCACTCACATTTCATTGGACAAAGCAAATCACGCGATCACTTAGTAGGGCAGGAAGAAAAAATCTTCCCACAGGGAGGTGCACCACTGGGAATGAACTGGAAAATTTGGTGAGGAATCATACAACACACGTTTCCCTTGGACTAATGATTCCAACGTCTAGGACTTTATCCATCAGAAATAATCAAAAAGTTTATACACATGACATAATTTATAATGGCAAAAATGTTCAAACATGAGTTGTCTGAACTGCAAACATAGGGGATTAGTTAAGTAATGTTACACTTCTATGATTGAAAAGTTTAGCATTCTTCTACAAGTAGAAAAAGAATCACATGGGAATATGTTTAAGATGTTCATTAATGGAAAAAAATCTCTGTGAATAATGTGATTCCAGTTATGTAAAAACTGAGTAATAATGTGTCAAAGTACTCAATAAATATTTGTCAAATTAATAAACTAAAAAATACTGGAAGGATGTTTGCCAAAATATTATCATATCTCAAGATATGAGGGTTATGGGGAATTTTCTTTTTCTTCTTTTTGTTTCTCAATATTTTTCCTTTTTTGCAATCAGCATGTTTTACTTCCATACTATGGTAATATATGCCATAAAATATATACATTATATTTTCTAAAATCATTGCAATAAATTTAAACAAAAACAAAAGAAGTATGGCAGGAAGTGGCTATCATCTTTGCAAGAAACCACAATAACAAGGCCTTCCTTTCTTTTAGGGTCTATGGTGGCCAAGTTTTTAAGTGCCATTTTCAGGGCTGTTCATATTTTGTACAGTCTATAAATTATTTAGAAGCATCTAACTGACCACTTTGTTTCCATCTTTCACTTCTCTCTTTCTCTGGATCTCAGCCACAACTACGTTCGTGGGTCCATTACACTTTTTATCATCAACTTGCATCGATCAAGAAAGAAAATCAAGCTGGCTGGGACTCTCAGAGACAAGCTGGTTCACCAGTACCTGCTGCAGCCCTATGGGCAGGAGGGCCTAAAGTCCAAGTACGTGCCAACCTGAAAATAGCTCGGGAGCAAGTGCAGCAGGAGCTGAGGGAGGGGGAGGCTGAAGACACCAAGGTTGCTGCTAATTCTCTCAAGGGCTCAGTGGGATGGAGTAGGACAAAGAGCGGTCTGGGGTCAGGTGACTGCTGACTCCTTTTGGGAACATGTTCAAGCCCCTCCCTATCTTAGATTCCCCAGTTGTAAAGTCAAATGGTGGAGAAAGTATTTCTCAACAAGGATACTCTTGGTATTTGAGCCAGATGATTCTTCGTTATACACAACTATCACATTGTAAGCTGTTTAGCATCCTTGGCCGCTGCTCACCAAATGCCAATAGTGCCCCATGGTCATGTAGCAACCAAACATCCTGGTAGTTGAGAACCATGTCCCTCACAGCTGTAACATTCTGTAATGCTGACTCCCTTGTTGTTACCATCTATTAACCTCACAGGGCTTACAGGAAGGAGCACTAAACAAAGAGTTTAGTGCTCAAAAGGTCAGAGATAAAGAGTCTGTCCTGCCCCTAACTTTATGACTTGAGCACATCACTGCTCCATCTCAGCTTCTTCATCTGAATAATAGGACAGAGATTATATTTTGAGGGCTCTGTGACCCTTTCAAAACTCTACAAATAAACGATTCTGTGACACTCCCTGCCTCCCTCAGTCTCTATTAGAGACTTGACAACATGGATCTCTACAAACAAAACAACTCTAGGCCACAGTGAGAAGGGCCTGGTCAAGGGCAAGGCCACCCCAGCTCCCCGAGTGAGGCCTCTCAGGAAGGGTATGGGATGCTGCACAGACTGGAGGCATTCCTATTCCATTTTTAATGTTTACCAAGTTTAACAAAGCTGTAAACTTGGAGCAGGTGGCTTGCACTCCAACAGCTGCCCACAAATATTTGTGCTATAATTATTCACTGTTTCACTGCAACCTTGGTGGCTTGCATTTGGCTTCCAATTGTATTTGCAATGGGAGCAAAAAACAATCTGGGAAGTCACTTATTGAGTGACTTATTTAGCCCACGCTAGATCTTCATTTTCAGTCTCGGTTCACATGCTGGCTCTTTTTTCTGGCTACATGTACATTGCGTCTGTTTTTCTTTCTTCCCGGTCCTACCTATGTCAGCAGGACTCTATTGAGTATTTTATCCCCTTTCTCTTCACTTCTGAGTAGTTCATGATGAGTGTGCTGAATTCCTGGCCTTCATCCTAGGCAGGAGACCTGGTTCTGGTCCCTGCTTTACCACTAAATAATCATATGACCTGGGAAAATTATTTTATCCTAATCCTTTGGCCTCAGTTTCCTAATCTTCAGATTTCAAGGGTTGTTGTACATGTGGTAAGGTCCTGTGCAGCTTGAAAACTCTCATCCTGGGTGTGATTTTCTGAGGATCATGAGTGCATTTAAATCTCCTGCTGCCATTAAATAATGATCTGCAAAGCCATTTCTGACAGAAGGGCTGACTCTGCAGCAGTGATTAGGGTCCTCTGGTTAGGGTCCTCTGGAACCGAAGAGCTTAGGAGCTGAGCCTGCCCAGTGTCAGGAAGACTGTGTGCACTGTGTGGAGGGGACTGGCCAAATGCTTTAGTCTAACAAGCCAAGGTGTCCATCCCTGCTCTGTTACTTGCTGGCTGTGTGTCTTTAGGCAAGTTATGTCATCTCTGTGAGCGTCAGTTTCCTCGTCTGTGAAACCTCTTTTGTGGAGCGAAGTAAATGAGGTAATCTGTGTAAAGTTCCTGACATATAGTAAATGCTCAATAAATATCCATTGCCTTCCTTTTCCTCAACTCAGAAATCTGGCTGGTTGAGAAAGAGGAAGGATACAATTGCTTTCCCTAAGAATGTTCTTCCAAAGAGGAATGTTTTCAGACTTTTAAGATAATGTGTTGACAAAACATTTGTTAGGATTATGATAAAAAGTCATGCTAAGAATTACAAAAAAGCAAAAGGATGAAACAGAAGATGATAGTCAAGGGTAGCATTTTTTAATGAGCTTATTTTCCCTCCAACCAAGGATGCAGGCAGGACTCTAAACCTATTTACCCCACCCCTACGTCCCTGCCTCCAAGATGATTCCCCTGCTGTTTGGAGCTGGCCATACCTTAACCCCTGTCTTTCTATACCTATCCTTAAGGGTGACTAAAGGGACTGACTCCCACTAGCTAGCGATATGTCATATGTTCAACTTTTGCCATCACCATAATAGTGAGGAGTTGTGTTACAACTTTGTTAAGAATGTAGGAAACCAGCCAGGCACAGTGGCTCACATCTGTAATCCCAACACTTTGGGAGGCTGAGGCGGGGGGATTACTTGAGGTCAGGAGTTCGAGATGAGCCTGGCCAACATGGTGAAACCCCTTCTGTACAAAAAAAATACAAAAATTAGCCAGGTGTGGTGGTGAGCACCTGTAATTCCAGCTACTTGGGAGCCCGAGGCAGGAGAATCACTGGGAGGCAGAGGTTGCAGTGAGCTGAGATCACACCACTGCACTCCAGCCTGGGCAACAGAGCAAGACTCTGCCTCAAAAAAAAAAAAATGTAGGAGAGGGACAAGGACAAAGAGAATTTCATTCTACAGGGATCCTTAAGAAGGATTTAGTAACACCCACTGAGCTCAAATAATAATGTCAGGTAATTGGAAGAACATTGGAACTGGAATTAGAAGGTGAGGATCTGAATTCAGATGCTACCATTTATCTTTGTGATCAAACCTGAGCTTCCTTCACTGTCAAATGGGATTATTATGAGACTCAATTTGGAAAATATGGTTGAAATAAAGCCTTCCACAAACCCATGCATATGCATACATCTATAAATATAAATACAGATACACACATAACGATTTTACATATGTTGGATTAGAGAGTTTTGGATTGGAATTCAAGGGAACTGGATTCCAGCCCCTGATCCTGCCACTAATTCACTGTGAAATGTTGGGCCCTTCATTCTTCTGAGTCTGTTCTGCCTATAAATTACTGCCAGTTTAACACCTCTCCTATTCTAGACCTCATTGGCTCGATCCTGGGCTGTGCCATGGTGGACTGTAAGCTGCCAGACAGGAACTGTCATGTACATGTTCAAGACCACATCTAGTGCTCTGCTCAGCAACTACTAAAGAGCTGAGTGGTCTGCGATGGGGGTCTCACAGGAAGGGTGTGGTTTCAGTGAAGCAGACTGTGCAGAAAGGGATGAAAGAAAATGCTAGGAAGTGATTTCAGCCTTTGGTGTCTCTTTCTCTCTTTTATAAGCCTCTGGGGCCAGACTCTGTGTTCTGTGTCTGCTAGTTCTTGCTACAGCTTGAAGCCATATTAGCTCAGAAGGGGATAGAAAGTTCTGGGAGCAGAAGAATGTGTAACTGCTCCTGTCTGGAGGAACCAGGAAGAGGATATAGAGCAAGTCAGTGCCCCCCGCCCCAATTCAAGCCACCAGTTGGGTATTCTGGTCTAGTGTTTCAGGAGTAGGGAGAGGCCAGAAGACTTCTTTGATTGCTCGAGGACATGGGGTAATTCTCATTCTCTTAGAATTGCCACTGGGCCTGGGAAGATTTGAAATCTCTGAAAGGGCAACTCTGTGTGAACTCAGAGCTAAGGTATGTCAAGTATCACACAGGAAGCACCCTTGGGGTCACTATTTATGTATGGTCTAGGCAACCACATTCACAAGAAGGTTCTTGTTTCCCATCTCAGTGAATGAACCAATCGTAAGACCCCCCTACTCCAGTCCCAACTCCTTATATAAGAGACTGTTCTTATTCTAGGAACCAGACAAAAAGTAGGTGCTCTCTAGCCCATAGGACAGAAGTTTTAGAAAATTGCAGTGTGTACAAACAAGAGTATTCTGCATCTGGAATACATATTCTTCAGGGAATAGCTGAAGGAAATGGGGAAATTTAGTTCAGAGGAGAAAAGTAAGGTAAGTCATGAGGACTTTCTTCAGAGGACTGCCAAGTGAAATTAAACAGATTTGGCCTAGAATACTCCAAAATGACAGAAAACCAAGGAGTGCAATTTAAAAGAGATAGATTTCACTTCAAAATGAGCTCGTTTTCCAAAGGCTTGCCTGGTCTGACCGAGGTCAGGATAGGCTTTCTCAGGAGGTAGCCTATTAATCAGAGTGTGAGCAGCCATCTCAGAGGTGCTCTAGGATTCCTTCCTCAGTCGGGGGTTGGACAAGAGATTATAGCTTCCCTTTGAGCTCTGAAATTCTATTCTCTTCTGGTCCCCATTCCCCCTGTTTCCTCTTCACTTTTGGAGCCTGTGTTCTCAGTGGTCATCAGCAAAGTCAAGCCACTAAGAGGCCACACAAAGAGGCTCTATGACTAGAGGAAGTGGTGGCAGTAGCTGGCTAGTTTTGTTTTCCAGAAAAAATCCAGCTGTGGGTCCCTCCCTTGTCATGTTCCCTGGTTTCTCACCTTTCTCAGAAGAAGATGGCCCCATTCACATCCAGAACAATGGTTCCCATTCTGGATAAGTCAGAGGAGATTTTGGGGGCATCTGCAAAATACAGAATCTACCCATTGCCTTGTGTGATCACAAAGCAATAGCCACTGTCCTCTAGGGCAGTGGTCCCCAACTGTTTTAGCACCAGGGACTGGTTTCATGGAAGACAGTTTTTCCACAGACTGTTGGGGGCTTGGGGGTGGTTTGGGAATGAAACTGTTCCACCTCAGATCATTAGGCATTAGATTCTCATAAGGAGTGTGCAACCTAGATCCCTTGCATGTGCAGTTCACAATAGGGTTCACACTTCTATGAGAATCTGATGATGCTGCTGGTCTGACAGGAGGTGGAGCTCAGGTGGTAATGCTCACCCACCACTCACCTTTTACTGTGCAGCCCAGTTCCTAACAGGATTGGTCCATGGCCCAGGGGTTAGGGAGCCCTGCTCTAGGGAATCATTTGTACCTGATAAATATCTCCAGTGTCTCTCAACAAACAGAAGCAACATGAAGTTCGGCCTCACAAGCCAACTGACATCTAAAATCGAAAGGACTTACCTTTCCAGAGAAAAAGCAAACCAAAAACAGGTGTTAGATCAGATCCCAGTGTTCTCCCTTATGTGCCTTGTTCAATTCCATTTGGAGGGAAAATACTCCAAAAATTAGGAAAGAGGGAAGCAACTTTCATCACATTGGCTGTTCTGTTCTGACACATTGACCTGAGGGAACAAGCGGATGCTAAGAATCCTGAGGTGGAGTGACACTGGGAGGTGATCTGGCTCTCTCCCCCAGCCTTCAGTCTGTGGCCAAGCCATCTGGACCAGAGGATGCCCCACATTTAAAGCCCTCTCAGAAAAGAGTGACCACAATTTCAATCCTGTCTGAACACTTAATTGTATAAGAACACTGGGGCCCACTGTACCTATGGCTGCAACTTTATAGATAATGAAAAACTTTAATAGCCATTATCTCATTTAACCTTCTGACAGAACCATGAAGCATATAGAATAATTCCTGCCTCCCTTCCATTTTAGAGTTGAAGACACTGAGTCTTAAAGTATTAAGTGACTTATTCAAGTGTCACACAACTAGTAAGTGACAAAGCTAGAAGTCCCTAGGATCCAGTTCCCCTGACCCTTACTCTAGTGCACTTTTTTCAACAATGTGCTACAACAACAGTCCAGTACTATAAAATTACAATTACATAAGATGGATATACATATGGATAACTGGACTCTGTCATGATATTGTCTGGGTTCATTTCATCATAGGCTCCTTACAGAATGAATATATTTGAAGAGTATTAGGTTACCCAGAAGTTTTCTCCTTCAGGCTAATTCACACCAGTTTCATTAACTTTTCTTCACAAGTCCAGAATTCAGACCGTCCCGCCCCTTTTTTTTTAGACAGACTCCCACCCTGTCACCCAGGCTGGAGTGCAGTGGTGTGATCTCAGCTCACTGCAACCTCTGCCCCCCAGGTTCAAGCTATTCTCCCATCTCAACCTCCCGAGCAGTTGGGACTACAGGCATGCACCACCACGCCCAGCTAGTTTTAGTATTTTTAGTAAAGATGAGGTTCCACCATGTTGGCCAGGCTGGTCTCAAACTCCTGACCTCAGGTGATCCACCTGCCGCAGCCTCCCAAAGTGCTGGATTACAAGCATGAGCCACCATGCCTGGCCTCAGACCCTTTTTTTTTTCTTTTTCTTTTTTATTATTATTATACTTTAAGTTTTAGGGTACATGTGCACAATGTGCAGGT